>NC_000004.12:182557744-182860774 GCF_000001405.40 Homo sapiens | reverse complement strand
TCTCCTGACCTTGTGATCCACCCGCCTCGGCTCCCCAAAGTGCTGGGATTACAGGCATGAGCCACCACACCCAGCTACAGCAGGGTTTTTTATGGGGCTGCTGGCCTCCACGGATTCATTCATTCATTCCTTCATTAGTGAACCCCTGCAGTTTGCTAGCACTGTATAGAATACACATAATACAATATATAATGTGCGTAATTTGGGGGAATGGGGTCCAGTCCCTCAATGAGCTTCTAATTTAGCTGAAAAATGAGAAGTGTAACACTGGAATAACGCATTCATTCATTCTGCAGATGACATTGCATGTGTCTTGTGGACCAGGTATCGTCCTGAGAGGGGGCTTTTTGAAGCCAGGGGCTACTTCTTACTTATCTTCCTGTCCTCGGAGCCAGCCTATTGGCTGATTTGTTACAGTAACAGCAGACTGACCTGATTTGTTAAGGTGATAGTAGTTGCTCTAACAGATAAACTCCAAAACCTCAGTGGCTTAACATGGTGGGTGTTAATTTCTCTCTCACATAAAGTTTCTGATCAGGAGCAGGGTGTGGCAATAGGATGTATGCTCTGCTCCATGCAGTCATTCAGGGCCTCAACCTAACAGAGCCTCCACCGTCTGCAATAGGTGGCTCCCAGGTTACCCTCAGTTTCAACTTCCAGCTGGCAGATGAGGGAAGGGCTACAGCCGTGCTGTCCAACACAGTAGGCACTGGCTGCATGTGGCTCTTTAAACTTACATTGGAATTAAGTAAAATTAAAAATTCTGTTCATCAGTCTCATTAGCCACATTTCAAGTGTGGCTTGTGGTTACCATATTGGACAGCGCAGATACAGAATATTGCTGACATCATGGAAAGTTCTATTGGGCAGGAGTGGTCCAAAGGATGGTGCATGGGAAATACAGGGGGAGGGAGGGAAGGCCTGGAATAGGCACACACCACTTCCACAGTTCTAGTGTTCAGGGAATGCTTAGCAGGTAGGAATGTGAGGGAAGAAAGAATGTGATTGGAAGAAAAATGTCAATGGGTTGAAAGTAACTGAAAAAAAATAACAAGATTTATAAATTGAGAAAAGGAAACCTTATAACTTTGTTTATTTATTTATTTATTTATTTGAGACAGGGTTTCTCTCTGTCACCTAGGCTGGAGTGCAGTGATGCAATCTCGGCTCACTGCAACCTCCACCCCAGGCTCAAGCAATTCTTCTGCCTCAGCCTCCTGAGTAGCTGGGATTACAGGTGTACATTACCACACCCCACTAACTTGTATTTTTAGGAGAGATAGGGTTTCAACATTTTGGTCAGGCTGGTCTCAACTTCCTGGCCTCAAGTGATTCGCCCACCTCGGATTCCCCAGGTGCTGGGATTACAGGTGTGAGCCACTGCGCCTGGCCAGAAAAGGAAACCTTATTTCTTATAAATGGTTATAGCCTGCAAGAAGGCCATTCTGCAGGCTGGAAAGTACAGCCTCTGGCCAAGGCCAGAGACAGGCACTTGGAGGTTGGAGGAGCTGGGGTAGGAGATTTATGCTGAATGGGTTGGCTAAACAGACCTAGTCAACAGATTACAGGAGGAGCTATTAATATTCATGAAGGTGGTCCCAACACATGTGTATTAAACAAACATGCATGTAACATACAACCCATGTTCACCTTGGGGTGGGGACGTAACATTTCAGTGTATTACAGTTAGGCCCTATGAATCCAAAGATCTTTTTAGGACATGAAGGCACTCAGTGCACAGCCTCTGTCAACTGGACAGAACAGTTCATAGTCACTTGGTGGTCTTCTTATCAGGAGAAAGTTATTGAAATCAGTCTCTTGTCCAATCAAAGCTGTAGTCGTGGCTGGTGGAACAGGGGCTCAGTTAGCATCTGGTGGCTGGTAAGCTGCAGTTGCTTCAACATTGCTTATCTCAAGGCCAGTGCTTGTTTAGCTGCTAGAGAAGAAGAAAAAGCTTGTGGCAGTTAGATCATGGTTTATTTTTGTTCTTTTTTTTTTTTTTGAGACAGAGTCTCATGGTGATGCCCAGGCTGGAACACAATGGCGCGATCTCGGCTCACTGCAACCTCCACTTCCAAGTTCAAGCGATTCTCCTGCCTCAGCCTCCTGAGTAGCTGGGATTACAGGTGTGCACCACCACACCCAGCTAATTTTTGTATTTTTAGTAGAGATGGGGTTTCACCACGTTGGTCAGTCTGGTCTTGAACTCCTGGCCTCAGGTGATCCTCCCACCTCGGCCTCCCAAAGTGCTGAGATTACAGGCATGAGCCACTGCACCCGGCCCAGAGTATGGTTTATTCTTTAAGTGTAGAGTTGCATGACTTAACCCTTACCTGGCACGGCCAGGTCTTGTTTCTAACTTGGTATCTTATTGCCATGGAGAGTCCATTGTGTCAGTCTTATGATCTCTATCATATGCTGGTCAGTTGTATCTAAAGTGTGAAAAAGAGGGAGTCTAGCGAGGTGTGTTTAACTTCCCTTCTTGTCATGGCCAGGAACTCAGGTTTTATTAGTTAGTTAGTTTGTTTTGTTTTGCTTTGTTTTGAGACGGAGTCTCGCTGTGTCGCCCAGGCTGAAGTATAGTGGCGTGATCTTGGGTCACTGCAAGCTCTGCCTCCCGGGTTCACGCCATTCTCCTGCCTCAGCCTCCCGAGTAGCTGGGATTACAGGCGCCCGCCACCATGCCTGGCTAATTTTTGTATTTTTAGTAGGGACAGGGTTTCACCATGTTGGTCAGGCTGGTCTTGAACTCCTGACCTTGTGATCCACCCGCCTCAGCTTCCCAAAGTGGTGGGATTACAGTCGTGAGCCACCGCGCCCGGGCCGGCACTCAGTTTTTAAGGTTTCTCAGGGGTCTGCTTGACCAAGAGAAGGTTCAGTTGGTTAGAGAGCTTAGGGTTTCATTTTTAGTTTACAAAAGAAAGAGGAAGAGCATTCTAGACAGGGCCATAGTGAGGATAGGATCCCAGAGGCAGGAGGGCGCTTGCAGGGTTTAGAGTTCAGGGAGGAGGCCAGCATTGCCTGGTGGGGAGCAATGGGCCGACCGGTGATAGGTCAGGTGACCCTGGTGCTGGCCTTCATCGTACAGCCTGCTTCGGAGAAGCTTCTGCCTCATCTTCATTATCGACAACGCTCTCAAAATGTCCCAGAGCCTCCAGTTTGGGAAACGGTGGCCCAAGGCAGAGCAGAGCAGGAGTGCTGGGCACTGGCTGGCGCGTTGCTTCCTCGAAGCAGAAAATGTTTGCAATTTGGTGCTCACTCTAAGGCTGAAGGAAGTGGGGAGGCCCCTTCTTCATGCTCCTGCAAATGCCTCCATGTTGGCCAGGTTCCGAAGACAGGAGGAACAGAAGTCACCGTAACCCAGTTAAGTTAAACAAATGCTTGATGAATAATAAGGCGTCTTTCAGTAATAACATGGATAAATGCTTTAGAGGACTGAATGCACGCCGTTTTATGCAGATCCCGGAGGGAGACAGCACTCGGCGCACAGCCTCTGTCAACTGGACAGAGCTAGTTCATAGTCACTCAGTGGTCTTCTTATCAGGAGAAAGTTATTGAAATCAGTCTCTTGTCAAAAGACAAAACCTTGGGGGTTATTGGGTGCCTAAAGCAGAATGTGAGAGCTGGCGCTGCTCTGAAATTGACAGAGAGAGCGAGTGTGGCCGCGCTGAACCGAGAGGACATGGCATCGCCAGGGAGCAGCCGTCGGGCTGTGCACATGCAGCGGAGGTCAGGCCCGGTGATGCGGCGGCGTGCCGTGCTTTGCTGCCTGCATTTTAAGAGCAATACAGTAAAACTGCAGAAAATCAAAAGCAGAAACGAGCAAAGGTTACAAAGGAGTTGGAAGTTGTTTAACTTGTTAAAGGGAAATGTAAGAACTGTATAATACAGGCTTATTCTCAGGTGGATGAGAACCTATGACAAGGAGAGCAGGAGTCCCTTCAACTCCACAGAGGACAGCAGAGGTGAAAGCGAGCCTCAACTCTTGATTGAAAGGGTGAGTGAATGCTGTGTCCCTGAAGATGGTTAACATTTTAATTAATAACCATCTCTTATGGAGAGGGGAGGCTGTCCGCTACACAGAGGCAGGAGCTGGGACTGGCCAACACAGTGCCTATTTTTGAGTCTGTAAGTTCTCAGATGTTCTCTCGAGATACTCTCCGTTTTCATGACAAACATCTCGCGCTAACCCACCGGCACCTGGGGCAGAATACCTCTCCTCTGTGCCTGTTCCCTTTCGAGCAGAGGAGGCTCAGTTAGCTTTACTCCTGGCCCCTCCCTGCCCCTTTACCCCTCCACCTTATGACTGGCTATTTGAAAAATGTGGAGATTGGCCAGGTGCGGTGGCTCATGCCTGTAATCCCAGCACTTTGGGAGGCCCAGACGGGCGGATCACGAGGTCAGGAGTTCGAGACCAGCCTGACTAACATGGTAAAACCCTGTCTCTACTAAAAACACAACAATTAGCCATGTGCAGTGGTGCACGCCTGTAATCCCAGCTACTCAGGAGGCTGAGGCAGGAGAATCGTTTGAACCCGGGAGGTGGAGGTTGCAGTGAGCCGAGATCGCACCACTACACTCCAGCCTGGGTGACAAGAGCAAATGAAAAATGTGGGGATTATGAGCTGGATGTGTCTGTTCAGCGGTGCCCGTCCTTCCTCCCTTGGGAGCACTGCCTGCAGGAGCTGCTGCTCTCTGCTGCTCCTCCAAGGGCACCTCTTCCTCTCCTCGGGGATGGAGGACTGTCCGCTTCTGCGGCCGTTGTTAGGGAGTCTTTGGTTCTCATCCCGAGCCTTATCATCGAAGTGGATGCTATTTTAACCTCCATTGCCACTCCACTGTTTATTCTCAAAAGATTCCAAACTCAGGCAAGAAAGAGAGGTGCTGTCTGGGCCGGGGAGGGGGTGCCCTGCAGGACCCCAGCAGCCTAGCTGCAACATTGAGCTCCCCACTTTTACACCCCAGAATCCATTCTCAATGCCTGTGTGCGCTGTTGCAAAACAGAAATTGAATCACGTCGCTTCTTGCTGAAAATCTCCCACTGGTTTCCATCGCAGCTGGAATCAGACTCCACTCCTCTCCATGACCCCAGGACCTGGACTCTTGCTCTGCAGTGGCCACTCTCCCCTTGCATTCAGGCCTCCCGCTGCGGGGACACCAAGCTTGGCCAGGCTGTCAGGATGTTGCGGTAGTCTGGAACGCGCTTTGTTGTCATGCATGCCTCTGCCTGCTGCCCCAGAGAGCCTCCTCAGTGCCTGCTCCTGACTGGCCCCTGTCCCCACGCTTCCCCATGACCTTTGTTCTCTTGACAACACATAGCGCTGACATTATCACGTGTATGTATTGGCTTCCTCGTGTATTGCCTGTCTCCCCCACTAAAACAGGGAGCCTTCCACGACAGCAGATCTGGTCCAGCCGCATCTCCTTTGCATGCTCAGTGCCTCGCATACAGTGGTCACTCAATAAGTGTCTGTGCAATGAGGGAAGGAGGAAAGTGTCCAGTGAAGGCAGCCTAATATACAGGACAAACCCTGAACAATGAACCAAGACATGTTAAGGGAGGAGACCACCCCACATATTGTCTTATGCCCAATTTCTGCCTCCAAAGAGAGAAGAAATAAAAACTAAAAGGCAGAAATGAAATCCACAAGCAGACAGCCCCGTGCCACACCCTGGGCCTGGTAGTTAAAGATCGAGCCCTGACCTAATCGGTTATGTTATCTATAGATTACAGACATTGTATAGAAAAGCACTGTGAAAATCCCTGTCCTGTTCTGTTCCGTTCTAATTACCGGTGCATGCAGCCCCCAGTCTCGTACCCCCTGCTTGCTCAATCGATCACAACCCTCTCACACAGACCCCCTTAGAGTAGTGAGCCCTTAAAAGGGACAGGAATTGCTCACTTGGGGAGCTCGGTTGTTGGAGACGTGAGTCTTGCCGAAGCTCCTGGCCGAATAAAGCCCTTCCTTCTTTAACTAGGTGTCTAAGGGGTTTTGTCTGCGGCTTGTACTGCTACTATGTGGGACTTCAGAACTTGCTCACCACGAATGATTTGTGTGTCCTTGTGCTTGTCACCAGCCTGTGTTTACTCACTTCCTTCATCTCTGAGATAAGGAGCTTCGACCAGCACCACTGTATGGGCTTTGCACTGGGCAGAGTCTTGGGCAGGGCAGACAGAGGTCACCTTGAGGCTCCTCTTACTCCTCGTTCTCTCTGGTTTACTTACTTCTTAGGAAATGCTGTTTCCCTGGCCCATGACTTCTGATGGCTTTCTCTCTGCCTGCTCCTCTCCAGTATTTAGTGTGGCCACTGAATTATTTAACTGTGTGTTTGGAGACCAAGTTTGAAGGGCAAATAAGATAACAAATGAAGCAGCGCTGTTTGCATCATTCCTTTCGCTGCTGGGGATGCTTGAGCTTTTATTTTTCTTGAGCATCTTGACTCTACTAACATAAAGAGTAAAACAAATCACATACACAAATCAAACCCCCAGCCCTGCCAGAGCCGCTGCGGCCGAACAGCAGCGATTTTAAATGAGAAGATTACAGCCGCAGCTAATGGAACAGGAGCGAGAAGCACTTGACTGGCAGCACCAAATGCGCCTTATCACCCCCGAAGAGTGTACTATTTTAATGTTAAACACAGTAAATTGCAAACTAGTAAAGTCACATTCAGACTTTCCTCCCCTCTGGTTGTCCGGTGACAGGCACGTGCATTAACAAGTTTCTCCTCGTTGTGAGGCTTCTCAGCAGCCCGCTCCAGAGGCTTTATCTACTTCGGTACCTTTCGTTGAACCATGCAATAAAGTCTCCTTTTAAAATACAATGCATTTCCCCCAACCCTATTCTTCTGGGGCTTTTATAACTCACAATTGACAAAGGCCTCACTAATGGAAATGCAAATTTCCTACCTGTCAAAGACTAAGAATGCTTTCTGAAAACACTGGTGGGGCAGAAAGTACATTAGCATCTGCGTATTAGGGAGAGAAGCTGCTTCCCATAAATTTGTGGGACAAAAATGTTTATTTGATGCTGGGACAGAAATCAAATAGTACAGATAACATCTCCCGTGCAGACAGGACAACTTCTTGGTAATGTTAAACTTTTGTATGTCTTTGATTCCAGCCCATGTATTATTTAGAGTTAAATAACACCAATGTTGCTTTTATAAAGGCTTTGATTTGGGGACCAGATGGGGCAAGAGGGTTGGGTGCTCTGGGTCTCCCTGTCTTTCTGCCATGCTCTCCACCTTGTGGAGTAAAACCCAGCTGAAGGTCCAACCGATGTATGGCTGCAGTGGGCATCCTCACTTCTTAGCGAGTACCTTTCTTCCTCTGGTTCACCACTGCCCTTTTCAGTCATATTCTATTATTTATTTATAGAGACAGGGTCTTGCTCTGTTGTCCAGGCTGGAGTGCAGTGGCACGATCATGGTTCACTGCAGCCTCCAACTCCTGGAATCAAGCAATCTTCCTGACTCAGCCTCTTGAGTGGCTGAAACTACATCATATTCTATTGTTACCATCACTTAAGAGTGTGTGTGTGTGTGTGTGTGTGTGTGTGTGTGTGTGTGTGAGTATTTGAAGAACACAGAGTGAAATATGGTATTTGCCTGGGATTTTGGTGGGGAGCAGGCCCTGGAGACGGGTCCTGGAAAGCCAGGCTAGTTTGCTCCAGCTGCCGTAACAAAGTACCACAGACGGGGGTGCTCAGACGACAGGAATTTATCCTCTCAGTTCTGAAGCTGGCGTCCAAAAATCCAGGTATCCACTATGTTGACTTCTTCTGAGGGCTACGAGGGGAGGGTCTGCTCCAGGCCTCTCTCCTTGGCTTGTGGACAGACACCTTCTCTCTGTGTCTCTTCACACCGTCTTCCCTCTATGCCTGTTTGTGTCCAATTTTCTGCTTTTTGAAAGGACACCAATTGTATTGGATTAGGGTCTGCCTTAATAACCTCATTTTCACTCCATTACCTCTGCGAAGACCCCATCTGGAAATGGAGCAGGGACCTCTCTTAGGGGGCTGCCACGCACTTCCCCCCCACCCCAACCAAACATGAAAATAAAGGAAAATCTTGAGTTCCTTCTAGGGAAATTCCAGGCATCCAGCTCGCCCTGAGAAGTACATGAGCAGCTTGATAAACAAGAAGGTAATAGTAGCTTAAAACAATAGCCAAGGGAGTTAGCGTCCTGAGATGTTTGGTTCCCTACAGAAACCAAAGATAACATCTTTTTAAATTATTTATTTATTTATTTTTATTTTTGCAGAGACAGAGTCTCACTACATTGCCCAGGCTGGTCTCAAACTCCTCGCCTCAAGCAATCTTCCTGTTACTGGAAAGGAGACCTGATCCAGACCCCAAGAGAGGGTTCTTGGACCTCACACAAGAATTCGAGATGAATCCATAGAGTAAAGTGAAAGCCAGTTTATTAAGCAAGTAAAGGAATTAAAGAATGGCTACTCCATAGGCAGAGCAGCCCCGAGGGCTGCTGGTGCCCATTTTTAAGGTTATTTCTCGATGATGTGCTAAGTAAGAGGTGGATTATTCAGGTCTCGTTCTTTTAGACCATGTAGGGTGACTTCCTGATGTTGCCATGACTTGTAAACCATCACGGCGCTGGTGAGAGTGTATAGCAGTGAGGACGACCAGAGGTCACTCTCATTGCCATCTTGGTTTTGGTGGGTTTTAGCCGGCTTCTTTACTGCAACCTGTTTTATCAGCAAGGTCTTCGAGACCTGTATCTTGTGCTGACCTCCTATTTCATCCTGTGACTTAGAATGCCTAACCTCCTGGGAATGCAGCCCAGTAGGTCTCAGCCTCATTTTACCCAGCCCCTATTCAAGATGGAGTTGCTCTGGTTCAAACGCCTCTGACACTTTCACCTTGGCCTCCTAAAGTGTTGGGTTTACAGGTGTGAGCCACTGCGTTTGACCTAAAGATAACATCTTAACATAAGTCCTTGAGTTGTTTTTCAGAAACCCAGACCCCCACCAAACAGATCCACTGGCCTGTAGACCTCACAAAAGGGGGAGCTGAGGACTGAACTCGGACTGGCATTCTTTGTTCTAAAGTTCTTCCTGAGGGGCCCGGAGGAGGTCGTGCCCTTGAGTCAACCCTAACATATCTTTCTGCTGACTCCAGCACACGTAGACAAAGCTCTGCCTCCTTAACCAACTGCAAATCAGAAAATATTTGAATCGAACTGTGGGCCCCTGCTTTGAGATGTTCCACGTTTTTAGGCCAAAGCAATGTACATCATGTGTTAGCCTCTGATTTTGCCTGTAACTTCTGCTTTCCTGAAATGTACCCCTGCCTTTGAAAACCCTTACTTGCCAGGCATCGGAGAGTGCAGGTCTTCAGTGTTGCTTGGTGCACTGCAATCTGTGCCTCACTTCATTTCACCAGGATCCCAAAGCCACTGATTGACCTTGCTGGGCCAGATGAGCAGACCCCACTTGGGTCAGTAGCAATCTCCAAATAAGGTCACACTCTGAGGAGTGGAGGGGGGGTTAGGACTTCAGCATATGAATCTGGGAGTGGAGGAAGAGAGAATTCACCCCAGCAGCACTATCTATCTGGAAATATGCGGGCGTCTGATCAGCTGAGCTCTCCGTCAAGGAGTGCAGGGACAGACTCGAGAGTGGTGGCTGTCCCTGCCCTTGCCCCCGCCCGCCACCCCGTTCCCTTTCACTGTAGTGTGCCAGCAAAGTGACTAGAGCTTTCCAAGGACCCAATTACCGGCTTCTCCTCAGTGGCCCTGCACGAGTCCTAATGTTCAACACAACATTTTAATTACTTTTTAAATGCACCCTAATCATGATGACACTGTAGCGGAGAGCCTGATGACAGTGGCTTTTCCTGCAGAAGGCTGTTCTCCGTGAAACAGACTGCTCTCAGCAAAGGCGGAGAGGCCAAAGCGCGGGCATTTCACGTTAAATGAGGGCAGGAAAGCCTCACCTCCTCAGTGGGCAGTAGAACTTTTTGGATTCCCCCTGGTTTAAAGGGTGGCAGGGCTGTGGGATGTGGCTCAGTGAAGCTGCAAACAGATGGGTCCGGTTTGGTGTATTCTTGGTTGGCGCACAGAGCAAGCCAGGGTGACTGACCCAAGTCCCTGTTGCATCCTCTGAGGCAGAGTGATTTGTCAAAAATTTAGAGCTGATGGAAAAATTAACTGTATCTCATTTACTTGCCCACGTCCTCACAAATGGGAAAGAAAGAGAGACCATTACCCTCCTTCAATTCTGGAGTATCCCTAAGAAGAGTTATAGGACATCATCATCACCATCATCATCATCATCATCACACTGGCTTAAAACAACAGACATGTCTCATAGATGTGCAGTCTAGAAGTCTGGATTCAAGGTGTTGGCGGGCCCTGCTTCCTCTGAAATCTGAAGGGGAATCTGTCCTTGTCTCTTCCCGGCTTCCCATGGCTTGCTGGCCATCTTTGATTCTCCTTAGCTTGCAGATGTACCCCTCGATCCTCCATCTTCACATGGTGCTCTTCTGTGTCTCTGTCCTCACCTGGCTGCCTTTTTATGATAATGACCCAGAACATTATTTTACAATGTCTGGGCTGGGCGTGGTATAATCCCAGTGCTTTGGGAAGCCGAGGTGGGAGGACTGCTTGAGACCAGGAGTTCGAGACCAGCCTGGGCAACATAGTGAGACCCTGTCTCTACAAAAAAAAAAAAAAGATACAAAACTTAACCAGATATGGTGGTGCACACCTCGAGTCCCAGCTACTCAGGAGGCGGAGGTGGGAGGATCGCTTGAGCTGCCTGAGCCCAGGAGTTCAAGGCTGCAGTGAGCTACGATCATGCCACTGCACTACAGCCTGAGTGACAGAGGGAGATCCTGTCTTTACAAAATAAAATAAAATTATCTGAGCCAGAGGCTAGAAACTCATGGCCTGCATGTCAAATTTAGATATTGCTGGCCGAGCACAGTGGCTCATACCTGTAATCCCAGCACTCTGGGAGCCCAGAGTGGGCGGATTACCTGAGGTCAGGAGTTCAAGACCAGCCTGGCCAACATGGCGAAGAAACCCCGTCTCTACTAAAAATACAAAAAGTAGGTGGCCGTGGTGATGGGGGCCTGTAATCCCAGCTACATGGGAGGTTGAGGCAGGAGAATCGCTTAAACCCAGGAGGCAGAGGTTGCAGTGAGCCGAGATCGTGCCATTCATTGCACTCCAGCCTGGGTGACAGAGCGAGACTCCGTCTCAAAGAAACAAACAAAAAGATTTAGATATTGCTGTGATTTTTATGAAGTAAATTCAAATGCTTTTAGCAGGGATGGGTCTGTTCCAGTTTGTCACAGTCACCACCTGCAGCCACAGAGCAGGCCATGGTGACTGTCCCCATTGTCACTGTTTTAGTGATGTTTGGCCTTGGGTGTTGAGATTCTAACCTGTCAAGGCTTGGAGGTGGAGAGTGCCCCTCAGGTCTGGAGAGGGAGGGTGTGGGAGAGGCGCCAGAAGGACACCAGCAGGACTGTGGGGATGGCAGGAATCTGCTCCTACCCTCGGGAAGGTAACAGAGACCCTGTGTGCTACGCGTGGCCTTGGCAGCCTCTGGGAAGGCTTTGTGGGTGACTTGAGCCTGGGGGACAGGACTCGGGAGCAGAGGAGCCACAAGACTTGGGCTTGTCCATGAGTTTCCCTGAACCCCAGGGGGCTAAAGACCAAAAGTCTCCTCCGAGTTTCCTCGATTGCACGAATGCTGGAGGGGCTTTTACAGACCCGAAGAAGGTGTCTGGGGCCCAGAAAAATGACTGAGATAGGAAAGATGAGAGGGGCCCAGCCAGATCTATTTATATGTGGTTTATTGATTTTTATCTTATTTTTATCTATATATTTATCGTATAATATATAGATTATTATATACAATGTATTTATTACATAATATAGAATATGTTTATTATAACATCGTATTTTCTTACTTAGAATATAATAATGTATTATAGAATAAATCTATAAATATCACTAAATAATATATTTTTAAATTTTATGATATAATTCCTCACAGGATTTTTACCATGGGGAATTCTGAATGAGCATGGAAGCAAATAGTGGAAGGTGGCCAGATGCAGTGGCTCACGCCTGTAATCCCAGCACTTTGGGAGGCCAGGGCAGGAGGATTGCTTGAGCCCAGAAGTTCAAGACCAGCCTGGGCAACATAGTGAGACCCTATCTCTTAAAAAAAAAAAACAAAAAACTTAACTGGGCATGGTGACCCGTGCCTGTGGTCCCAGCTACTCAGGAGGCTGAGGCTGGAGGATCACTTGAGTCCAGGAGGTCTGGGCTGCAGTGAGCTGTGATTGCACCTCTGCACTCCAGCCTGGGCAACAGAGTGAGACCCTGTCTCAAAAAACCAAACCAAACCAAACAAACAAAAACACTGGGACGATCTGTTCTCAGCACACCGTGACGAAGGGAACCCCTCGCCCTCGGCCCTACCCTTCAGGCAAAGCATGGCCGGGGCCTCCCGGGCTCCCCACGTTCATGGCCCTTTCCTCTGGTGCATTGATGGTGGAATCTCCTCTTCTGTCTTGGAAAAGCCAGGGCAGGTTCCTCCCTGAGCTCCTGGGCGTGGGGTGGAAGGGGCAGTGCCACAGCGGCCTCCTGTCCTTGCCCACACCCAGGCTGTGGAGGCGCAGGAGTGCTGAACGCCACGCAGTCCCCGGCTTGGCCAGCCTCGGACCAGTGAGGTCTCCAAGCAAAAACCTAGAGCTTTGGCGAAACGTAAGCAATTTCTTTTGAGCAAATTCCTCCAGCTGTCTGTCCTTCGTCTCTAAGCTGTGAGATCAGGAACCTTTTCTTTGTTGTTCACCTCTTGCTGGGCGGTTAAGAACAGACCTAAGCCAACTTGTCCATAGTCTGGAAGATATCGCCAGCCTCCGACAATGGCGGGGAATTTCGCCTTCCCCACTCAGCCTCCCTGCCAGGTGGTGTGTATGATGAAAGCTAGTCTCTAGCCGATTGCTGACAAATGTACAGGTCGCAGCAGGCACAACACAAATCCACGCCTTTTACCTCTGGGCTTGGGGAAGCCCCTCTGCTCTCTGCCCTTCTGGAAAGATTCTCTGTGAGACACAAGTGAGAATATTCTGACAGCAGGATCAAGTTACCTTCTAAATGAATCCCGCAACACATGCTCTGCTGAGTGGCTCTGGGGCAGGGAGGAGAGGTATACCCAGATGCAGTCAGGATTCTAGACCTACGTCTTTCTCCCAAAGGTGAGAGTCTAGGGGCTTACAACTTCCACATCCCGTTCAAGCAAGAGCAGAGGACTTGCTTCTAGGCCACCAAGTGTCTCCAACACCACCAATTTCTTCCTTTCTTTCTTTTTCTTTCTTTCTTTTTTCTTTCTTTCTTTCTTTTTTTTTTTTTTTGAGACGGAGTTTCGCTGTTGTTGCCCAACTGGAATGCAATGGCATGATCTCAGCTCACTGCAACCTCCACCTCTCGGGTTCAAGTGATTCTCCTCCCCCAGCCTCCTGACTACCTGGGATTACAGGCGCGTACCATCACGCCTGGCTAATTTTTTGTGAAACGGGGTTTCACCATTAGCCAGGCTGGTCTCGAACTCTAGACCTCAGGTGATCCGCCCACCTCGGCCTCCCAAAGTGCTGGGATTACAAGCGTGAGCCAGCACGCTTGGCCACCACCACCAGTTTCACAAGGGAAAGAGAATTGCTAACACCCCAATACCAATGAAGGAAGCCTGTGGTACAGATTTAACTAAAACACGGAGCCTCTGCCCCTTCCTAGAGACTGGATTGGAGTTAATTCTCACACACACACACACACACACACACACACACACACACACACGATCTGTACTGTTTTTACTGATCTGTCTTAACATAAATTATGTGCACTCCAACGCCAGCACTGTGCCTAACAGATATTTGTTGAACGAACCAACATAATTTCCATTTCTTGAAATCAGGAAACTGTGTCAGAGGGCTGGGAGGAAAGAGCAGGCCATGGGGTGTGCTGGTCTGTGGAGCAGGTGACAAGGGGATCTGTGGGCAGGACAGGCTGGCATGATGATAAGTCGCCCTCACTGGTGGAAAGAACGCTAATTCCGAAGAGGCCAAGAACAGATTTAGCCTCCATGGAGGACATTTAGGGAAATATCTGGAACCCCCTCCTCACTTCCCACGGCTCTCCTTTGGGGGATCTTTCCTCAGCTCCTGGACAGGGTCTTGTCACCCTGCTGCTTAGACAGGCTGAGTGGCCCTTATCTGAAATGCTTGGGACCAGAAGTGTTCCAGATTTTGGATTTCGAGATCTTTGTGTTACACTTACCTGTGGAACATATGAAAATCTGAAAAGCTCCATTGAGCACACAAGATTTGGATTGGGGAGCATTTTTGGATTTCGGATTTTGGATTTTTGGATTTAGGGAAGCTCAGTCCGCAAAAGCTGGTGTTGATAAAATAAGAAGTTGAGGGACTCCAAAGAGTTGAAGCGTCTGGAGTGTGCAGGGTGAATGGAAGAGTCCCTGAATGAGGTGGAGAGGGTGGCGGGCCAGGCTGGGGAGGGACTTGCCAGCCCGTGGTGAGGATCTGGAAGCTCCCTGTGGCGGACCGACTCGTGTCCCCCCAGACAGACATGCTATGTCTTGACTCCCTGTACCCCAGAATATGAATTTATTAGGAAATAGAGTCTTTGCAGATGTAATCAAGTGATTATTAGGGTGGGCCTTAATCCAATGTTACTAAAGTCCTTATAAAAAGGGGGAAGTTTGGACACAGAAAAGTGGAGGCTTTGGAAAGAGTCACAGTGGGAAGATGGCCCTATGAAGACTGGGGTGATGATGCCACCAGCCAAGAAAGGTCTGGGCTGCCAGGAGCTGGAAGAGGCAAGGAAGGGCGCTTGTCCTACAGCTTTCTAAGGAGGCGTGGCCCTGCTGACACCTGGATTTCCAACTCTGCACCTCCAGGGCTGAGAGACGGCTCATTTCTACTGTTTCCAAGCCACCCAGGGTGCAGCTCTGTGTTAGGGCAGCCCTAGGAAATAGACTCCCTGTCACACCTGTAATTCCAGCACTTTGGGGGGCTGAGGCGAGCGGATCACCTGTGATCAGGAGTTCAAGACCAGCCTGGCCAGCTGATGAAACCCCGTCTCTATTAAAAAAATACAAAAAAATAGCCAGGTGTGGTGGCATGCGCCTGTAGTCCCAGCTACTTGGGGGGCTGAGGCAAGAGAATCTTTACAATCCAGGAGGTGGAGGCTGCAGTGAGCTGAGATCATGCCGTTTCATTCCAGCCTTGCTCTGTCTCAAAAAAAAAAAAAAAAAAAAAAGAAAGAAAAGAAAAGAAAGAAAAAGAAATACAGTCTCTGCGGACAGTGGGAAGCCAGAAAAGGACTTCAGGAAGGGAAAGGACTGCATGTCTGATCTTGAAATTGTTAGAGCGCTGCCGGGGTCAAGCTGTCAGTAGCAGTTCTTTATTTATTCACTTACTGGGAGTGTAAGCAAAAGACCAGAGGGAGGCCAGGCCGGTGCACCCAGTATTCCGTTCCTGCCCATCCAGAACAGCGCCAGGCCGGTGCACCCAGTATTCCGTTCCTGCCCATCCAGAACAGCGCCAGGCTAGGGCCAGAGGGACTGGGGGAGTCAGCTGGGGTGGCCCCTTTCACTGCCCAGGGAGTGTCAGCAAAGACTCGACATTTTATGGATGTGGGGACCCAGGGAGGGAGGGAAAGGGCTAGGAGTGGAGATGTGGGGAGCCCTGGGCTGGAGTGGGAAGTGTCTTGGACGGTCCTGAGAGGAGGTCTCAGCAGAGGTGCTGGACAGGATCCCAGCCCCAGTCCACATAAGGTGGCCTCTGAATGGAGGCGCCAGCCGGGAAAAGATTCCTGTAGGGTCTGGCTGAGTGGGCAGGGGCGGTGAGTCCTTGACCGCAACCCCTCCAGGCTGCAGTGAGGCTTAGTGCCACATCTGAGGTGGGGAGGGCAGCCCCCTGCCCTCCCTGAAGCCTCTCAGGTGGAGCCACTGCAATTGCCTGCAGTTGGGCTGGAAGACCACGCATGGGATTTGGTCCTGGAGTTGGACTCCTCCAAACCAGAGAGAATGTCAAGGTTGACAGCAAGTAGATCACATGGAAACGTGTCTGAGGTCCAACGGGGACGGTGGGGGGAGGGGATTTTGGATTGGCTGGTGCGGGTGGACAGAAATGCTTGATTGGAGAGGTATTTGGGAGGTAAAATTGATGGGGTGTTGAAATTGTCTGGACCCAGGAGCCAATCAGTCCCAGGGTCTGGAACTCAGGAGGGAGCTCTGGAACTCAGGTTGGAGAAAATAAGATAAGTCAAGAGCACAAAAATGGCAATGATGACCTGTTAAGAGACTGAATGTGGGAACAGACAATGCCCAACCATGTGTGCAAACAGATTCTGACCCACAGCCTGCAGCAACCTGCAAACCCATTGTCTGCAAGCAAGGAGCAAACCCATTGTCTCCAACAGTCAGTCCAGGAAGCCAGTGCTTCCAATCAGGCTGGGAGGGCACCAGGCTGCGCACAGACCACTACCCCATAACAATCTGCCTAAATGGCCAGGACTTGACTAATAACTGACAGCTCGCCTAATTTTTATCCCTGCTTCCAACCAGAGAAAGCCAAATATACCCGCTTAACTAACCACATAGGATGCCTGCCTCTAGCCAGCCCGCCTGCAGCTTCCCCAGGCCACAGCCTCCATCAGGCCACGCCTGACGCCTTCCCTTTTTTCCACTCTGAAGCTTTTCCATGTCCCTGCCTGCCTTTGAGTCTCTGCCAGAACGTAAGTGATGGTGGCTGACTCCATTGCTATGGCAAGCTCTGAATAAATAGCCTCTGGCTGTTCTCGTTGCTTTGGTCTTCATTTATTTCTCCACTCCCCACACTTCCCTTTTCCTCTTTCATTTTTTGGAGACAGGGTCTCACTCTGTCACCTAGGCTGAAGTGCAGTGGCGCAATTACACTTCACTACAGTCGTGACCTTGTGGGCTCAAGCAATCCTCCTGCCTCAGCCTCCTGAGTAGTGGGCCTACAAGTGTGTACCACCACACCTGGCTGAATTTTCTTTCCTATTTTTTTTTGGGATGGGGGTCTCATAATGTTGCCCAGCCTAGTCTCAAACTCCTGGGCTCAAGGGATCATCCCACCTCAGCCTCCAAAGTGCTGAGATTACAGGCATGAGCCACCGCACGACCCCCTTTTCCTCTTTAATTCTTATTTCCTGGGGATGCAAATGGGCATTCCTTAACTTCACTAAGAAGGGATGTTCCCAAGGCTGGCACTCGCAGCAGAATCTCTCTTTCTTCCCTCACGCCCTCTGCGTTCCCCTGTTCACTCTCTTCCCCTTGTCTTTTCCACGTTACCTGCTCTTTTTTTCTTCTCCCTGTATTCCTTCCTCCTTTACTCATTTCTCAGTGGTTACTTAATGAAAGGACAAAAGAGCTGGATGAGGTTGGTTGCTGATTCCTGGTCAGTGGCAGCCTTGCAGGAGCGGAGGGGTGGGAGACGGGGCCAGAGAGGAGCACGGCTCTGCTGTGACCCACGAGCACGTTGTCGCCTGGCGTGCGCTGGCTGACCTAACCGGCCTTTGGTATCTCTGATGTCTTTGGTGATGTGGACATTGATTTCAGTTTGTAACTGTCACTTTTGACTAATGTGGCTCTGGTGATGAACACGTTTTGAAGGGAAAGGAAAAACGGGACAATTGACTTGTTACTGAAAAATAATTAAAGCTAGGTTCCAGCAGAGGAGAAGAGGAGGAAGATGTCAGAATAATTTAGAGACGTGGTGAAGGCAGTGCACAGAACGCTCAGGTTCACAGCGTGCTCAGTCATCACCATAAAGAGAATAAGCACTTCCTGGGCTTGGCAAATCCAGATTCTCCTGCAGTCCAAAGAGCCCTGCGAAAGGATCAGCCAGAATCAGATTTACTCACTTTACCCGGGGATACAACTTGCTCAATCATTTTTAAAATAAAGACGGGTCAGGCTCTCCTCCCTCACCTGGGATGTGAGTGCAGGTTAGTTTTGCCCAACTTCTCCGTTCCTTAACAAAGTGCTTCCTAGGAAAAGCTGAGACGAGAAAGTATCACGTTTAGAAACAAGATAAACATTTCTAATTTGGACTTGTCCTCTTTAGGCGGTCTTCCAGAAGGCTCCAGAGCCCTTGATAAATTAGGGGTCCAGCTCAAATTCCAGGAGTGATTGTAAGGGAGATAAAGAAAAATGCTTGAGAGGACAGGAATTTGGAGAAACGTTTGTTTGTTAAGGCCAGGTTTGAGCACCTTGCCAAGTGAGGTCCTGGCTGCCTTGGCCTGCCCTCTGGGGTGCATCCTTGGTGGCATTCGAGCAGGCGAGGGCCGGCCAGGCCGCCCCTGCAGAAAGCATGGGGTTTCTCGAGTCAGATGGCCCTGGGTTCGATTCCTCGCTTTACCACTTCTGTGACGTCTGCACTCCAGCTGCTGACGTCACCTCTGAACCTGAGTTACTTCATCATAAAATGGGGATAATCAGTGCATCTACTTCACACACTTAGTAAATGGCTGAATGATAACGGACAGATAAAATATTTAGAACAATGATCCCCTTTGCAATAAGTGCTAAATTAAAGTACATCCCTTTCTGTCCTGCACAAACTGAGCAGAGCTCACTTGTCTGTCCTAGATGAGTGATGCTTTTTATTTATTTATCCATTCAAGCAAAAGTTTTGAGGCCTACTATGAGCCAGACACTGTTTTAGGTGTGGAGGCGGAGCAGTGAGCAGACGGGCCCTTCCATCGTTGCTCATGTGCCGTCAGGGAGCCGGGCAACAGGTAAGCAGACAAAGGAATAAATCCCATCATTTCCCAAGGTAAATGCATTAGTTTCCTATGGCTGTTTTAACAAGTGATCACACACCGTAACTTAAAACAACAGAAATCTGGCCAGACGCGGTGTCTCATGCCTGTAATCCCAGCACTTTGGGAGGCCGAGGAGGGTGGATCACCTGAGGTCTGGAGTTCGAGGCCAGCCTGGCCAACGTGGTGAAACCCCCGTCTCTACTAAAAACAAAAACATTAGGCAGGCGTGGTGGCCAGTGCCTGTAATCCCAGCTACTTGGGAGGCTGAGGCAGGAGAATCACTTGAATCCAGGGGGCAGAGGTTGCAGTGAGCCAAGGTCGTGCCATTGCACTCCAGTGTGAGCAATAAGAGCGAAACTCGGTCTCAAACAAAAACAAAGCAACAGAAATCCGTTCTCTCACAGTGCTAGGCTGGCGGTCTGCAGTCAAGGTGTTGGCAGGGCCCTGCTCCCTCTGGAGGAGCAAGGGAAGGGCCTTCCGGGTCTCTTCCAGCTTCTGCTAGTTGCTAGTTGCCAGCAGTCCTCAGCTTGTGGATGCATCACCCCAATCTCAGCCTCCTTCACCTGGCGCTCTCCCTGGGTGTCTCTGTGTCCAGATTTTCCTCTTCTGTTTTTTATTTCTATTTTTAGAGACAAGGTCTCTCTCTGTCATCCAGGCTGGAGTGCAGAGGCACCATCAGAGCACGGCAGCCTCAACCTCCCGGGCCAAGCAATCCTCCCACCACAGCCTTCCAAGTAGCTGGAACTACGCAGCTCGCGTTTTCTTCTTCTGAGTGATATTGGCTTTAAGGCCCACCCTAATCCCCTATGACTTCCTGTTAAGTTGATTACACCTCATGTTAAGTTATTTCCAAATAAGGTCGAATTCCCAGGTTCTGGGTGGACATAAATTTTAGGGGAACTTTATTTAACATAGTACAGCAAAATACGCTATGAGAACAAGAAAACTAGATAAAGTGCCAGAGAGTGGGGGTGGAGTTACTGTTGCTGGGGGAGTGAGGTGGGGGTCAGGGGGTGTCCCTCTGAATAGGTGACTTTTGAACTCACATACAAAGACAATAGGACGTCAGCCCCGGGAAGAGTAGTATTCACTTCTTAGGGTAAATTTCTTTCTTTGTTTCTTTTAATATATATTTTTAGTAGAGACAGAGTTTCACCATGTTGGCCTGGCTGTTCTTGAACTCCCGGTCTCAAGTAATCCGCGCACCTCGGCCTCCCAAAGTGCTGGGATTACGGGCGTGAGCCACCACACCCAGTCCTAGAGTAAATTTATTTTCAGACAATTAGTTTTCATCCTAAACCAGGACATCTCCATACAGACGACAGACTAAAATCAACTGGGAAGCTCAAAAACTATATGCAGTAATTCTCAGACCAATTAAACAGAATCACTGGCGGTTAGGCTTACACCTGGGTATTTCTGAAAGCTCCCTGGGTGATTCTGGTGAGAAGCTGGGATTAAGAAGCCCAGTGGAATCCCGGGCACATGGTGGAATCATATCTTCTAAATGCTTTATATGGATGTTCTCACCAAACCTCCTACTGTAATAGGGATTACCCATGCCTGGGTCCCAGGGCGTATGACGCATGCGTGGGGATGCACCCTCGGCATCAGGATTTCTCAGGCTCCCCAGGTGATCTTATCATGTCCCGTTTAGCCCTGGCTGTGTCCTGAAGATGTTTGGGGGTGAGGCATGCAGAGGAAGGCAAAAAATCGGGCTAGAAAAGGACCTCTGTGATTCCAAGAATGTAAGCCCTTGGAAGTCGCACGGTAGTCCCAGGGTCTCAGGCCCCCGATCAAGGAGTTGTAGAGAGAGGTGTTCAGAAAAGGAGATGGGAGGCAGTGGAGGGCCCTGGCTCAGAGCAGAGGCATGGACGTGGCCTGGCCCCAGTTCAAACCCCAGGCCATTCGGTATAGCATTTTCTGTGACCTTGAGCAAGCAGCTTCACCTCTTTAGCCTCAGTTTTCTCATCTGTGAAATGAAAGGAATAACAGTACCTGATCCACAGGGTTGTCATAAAACTGAAATTCAGGAGCACACAGAAAGCATCTCCCACAGGGCCAGACAGCTGTCAGCACTCAGTCAGTGGGAGCTGGGATGTTTCCTGAGAGGCATTTGTCCCCGCCCTACACTCTGGCCTAGTGCCCTGGGAGCTGCAGGATCTTAGTGGGGTGCTGGGTGACCATCAGCTGACCAGCTCAGCCCAGGATGCGGATCCTCCAGGTTGGAAATAATGCCAAGGATGGCATTTCTGACCTCGCTGACACCAGCGAAGGTTCTAAAGCGATGACTGGGTACAAGTTGCTGAGCTCCAGAGCTCTTTGTAGAGGGAGCTTCTTCCTTGATCTTTAGACAGAGCTTGGACCTGGCTTTGCTGCCTGTCTCTGGGGTGATGGGACCAGCCCGGAGCACCTGTCAGCACAGGGCCTGGCCAGCGCACAGTTTAGCCTTGATGAGTAGACGAACCCCCGACCCCTGTTGTGAGCATAGGTGGCAGCTGGGCTGTGGAGACCCCTTTTTTGGGGGGACCACAGATGGGCCGCTCCCTGGGATGCCACAGGCCCTGCCTTGGGGCTCCAGGATGTGCTCTACCACCCTGCCTGGCTCAGGGGCCAGCCAGCACCCTGAGCTGTTCCCGGTAACGCTATGAAGTGGAGCTGTCTTTTCCTACAGTGTGCTGCATCTGTCTTCATTGAAGCATACGCTCTTAGTAATTTCATCGTGGGGTTTTCCATTACAAAGTTTTGATTAATTCCATAAATATTAAAATAAGACAGATAATTAGAATCCAGGTACTCGCTGTTACACAAAAGCAGTAAAGTCGGCACTAAATTATTATTATTAATAATAAGCACTCATACAGCACTGGTAATAAGTGCACAGGAAAAGAGACTCACAGTCATAGTTATTAATATTGTTCCCCCCAAGGCAGTCTTGGGTAGTGGCTGAAGCCCTGTGTCCTAGGAGTGGGCTGAAGCACAGTGAGGTGAAGTGATTTGCAAAGACAAATAGGGTGGGAGCCTCATTTTTGCCTCAAGCCTGGGGGTGCGCTGACTTACTAGTCTCCTGCTTCTGGCCTCAGGAGGTAATTTCTCCCACTGGCTGCTTCCTGGCTTCCTCCTGTTCGGAGGCCGTTGGCAGGTCCTCCGTCTTCAGCAGCTCATGGTGGGAAGGCTGGGGAGAGGCGAAGGACTCGGTCCCGTGGGTGTTGCTTGAGAGCCGCAGCTGAATAATAGGGGTCTCCAAGCCTCTATATAAATCGTGTAGACAAGTTTAAACTATGAATCATTAAGGTA
This sequence comes from Homo sapiens, assembly GCF_000001405.40. Taxonomy (NCBI): domain Eukaryota; kingdom Metazoa; phylum Chordata; class Mammalia; order Primates; family Hominidae; genus Homo; species Homo sapiens. Next base: position 182,838,627 of record NC_000004.12, on the reverse strand, counting down.
GGAGGGAGGGTACACCAAATCAATAAATAGCAAAGTAAGGGAAAAGCTCTCATTACACTGAAGTTGAAGCACCAATTTTGTTGTGTTCGGTCACAGCTGTAATTGTCTCACTAATCACTTTATGGTGGATTCCCAAAGTGGCCACCTTGGAGAATGAACAAAGCCCTGTTCTTATTTTTAATCAGAGGAACAAGTCAACTATACCTAACACTTTTTCTTTTTCTTTTCTTAAGTACTTGTTGTTAAAAAAGCCTTCCTGGCCGGGCACGGTGGCTCACACCTGTAATCCCAGCACTTTGGGAAGCTGAGGCGAGCGGATCACCTGAGGTCGGGAGTCCGAGGCCAGCCTGACCAACGTGGAGAAAACCTGTCTCTCCTAGGAAATACAAAATTAGCTGGGCGTGGTGGCACATGCCTGTAATCCCAGCTACCCGAGAGGCTAAGGCAGGAGAATGGCTTGAACCCAGGAAGTGGAGGTTGCGGAGAGCTGAGATTGCGCCACTGCACTCCAGCCTGGGCCACAGGAGCAAAACTCCGTCTGAAAAAAAAAAAAAAAAAAAAAAAACCTTCTCAGCAGCTAACCAAGGAAATGGCACGGACTTTGCTCTTTGGGCTTCAGGTGGGGCTTTTCCCCACGCTGCGGGCCACGATGGAACATTGCTGATGTGTTGTTCAGACCTGGCACCAGGGCAGACCCAGTGGAGATAGGGACCCCATCTTTGCAGACCGCGGCTGTGAGATTCATGCGGGCTGATGTCACCCCTTCTCAGAAGGGCCCAGAACTGACAATGGGAGCTGCTACCCTGAGCCCATTTCTCACCAGTGAGGAGTGAAGTGGATAGGATGGAACACCTGGGAGAAATCTAGCGTCTGATTTGAGAGGTCCTGGGAGTCGGCAAGAAGGGCGTGCTTGGCTTGAGGAAGGATCACGAAAGCAGAAAGGATTCCGTGAGAGGGAAGACACACAAAAGCTGTGCAGAAGACAGTGGTGATGGCTGCACAGCAATGGAAACGCACATCACGACATGGAATTGGACGCTTAGAGATGGTTAAAATGGTAAATTTTACATTATGTATATTTCACGACAATGAAACAAAAAGGCTATACTGGGTCGTATTGGAATCTAAGGCAAAAGGAAAAACTAGTAATACCAATCCTGTCTGTAGTTAAAGTCTTGATATTTTATTCAAGGATTTTTTGCATAAATTTAGATTTTTAAAACATGATTGTGTTAAAATTGTATCTCTCTTGATTGCTGTGTGTTTTGGCTTAGAATTTTTAGCCTTAATCTAGGTTCTGCACAAGAGGGATGGGCGGTTCTCAGAAGGAAGCAGGGTCCTTCACCAAGGAGGATGGAAAGAGGAGGGAGGAGGTGTCTGTAGAAGCCAGGAGAGTTGCACAGGGGTGCTCTGAGCAGCTCAGGTGGACAAAGGACATTTCCTAATGCAGGAAAGTGGGTGTCTTCTCAAAGGCCATTGCCCACTGGAAGCTGGGCTTGCAGGAGGCCTGTCAGAAGACGAGTGAGCTGAAGTACTCCAAAGGCCTTGGAAACCACTCCAAGGGGTGTTAGAAGTTAAGCAAGATGGGGCGTGTCAGGAGCAGGAGCATGGCTATGAGGATGCCCCTGGAGTGGAGTGCAGGGGCCTGTCCACATGAGCTTTCTCTCTAGAAGAACCTTCAGGCAGAAAAAGGTGGAAGGAGCACCAAGATAGGGGAGGAGGTTAAGAGCTTTGACAGCTCTCAACGTGCTCTTGCCTCCTGAGGGGCCAGGGCTGTGGCTGGGGTGACATCCTGAAGCCCTGAAGGATGTGCAGCTGCTGGCAGTCTGTGAGGGCCTGTGAGGACGGGACAGGACAGTGAGGCAGCAGTGAGAATTGCTGAAGGATGTGCAGCTGCTGGCAGTCCGCGAGGGCCTGTGGGGACGGGACAGGAGAGTGAGACAGCCGGTGAGAATTGCTGAAGGATGTGCAGCTGCTGGCAGTCCGTGAGGGCCTGTGGGGACGGGAGAGGAAAGTGAGACAGCTGGTGGAAATTGTGTTGGTCCTCGGGAGCTACTAGAACACCTCAGCTGAGGATCAGGAAGGGACGCAGGGACTGATGAAGGTCAGCATGGGGTTAACAAAGACAAATTTAGCCAGATACCCCTGCATTTGGGGGAGTTCCCTGCTTAGTAGAGGAGAGGATGTGGTAGACCTGGCATTTCTGAGTTCTCACTTGAGCCTCCTTTCATGTGCTTATTTATTTATTTTCATTGTTGTTGTTGTTTGTAGAGACGGGGGTCTCACTATGTTGCCCAGGCTGGTCTCAAACTCCTGGCCTCAAGAAATCCTCCTGCTTTGGCCTCAAAGAGCTACAGGCATGAGCTACTGCACCCAGCCTAACTTAAGCTTTCCTAATTGGTCTCCTATTTTCACACTTGCCCCTGCTACAATCTCAGTTGTTATTTTCTTCAAAGCGCTGTCTAAAATTATCTCATTAATATTTTCTCACTAATTAATGTGTTTATTGACTATTCCCTGTCCCCCCCATTATATGAACTCCATAAGGGAAGGAACGGCATCCATCCTGTTCAGTTGGGTCTCTCCAGCACTTACAGAAGTGCCCAGCACATAGCGGGAGCTTGGTGTGTCTGTGTTGCATAGATGAATGCATGAGCGAATGAATGAAAATCTGGATTTCAGCAAAAGGCTTTGGGCCAAGTATTATGCAGAAGGTGAAGAAAGTGACCTGGAAGATGGCACGCTGATGCAGACAGTTACCTGGGTAAATAAGTGAATACTGCCTCATGGATCAGAGGGGTCTCTAGTGGAAGGCCACAGGTCTCTTGGCACTATCCATTCACCGTCAGTGACTGATATTTGAACATCTTCAGGTGCACTTAAAGTGTGGCATTCAGAGCAGGAGGCTGATGGCCTTGCTCTGTTCCCACCACTCTTAGGTCACTAGGCCAAGTTTAACGGAAATGGATGGCCCTTCTGAATGGGTAGGTCTCTAGAGGAGAGCGACTGGGCAAGGGCAGACTTGGTGGGACGGTGGCTGGTGCAGGTGGTAGTGGACAGATGGGATGATGCAGACATTTGTGGGAGAGGGATTAGGTTTAGTCCACGTGGCCCTAGGGAGCGAAATGAGGGGTGGAGGCTGGAAGTTACAGGCACGTGTTTGGCCAGTGCAGGGGAGACGCTCCTAACCGCTGGCACTGGCCAGCGCCGGACTAGAAGCCCTCATGAAGGTGAAAGTGTCTCCAAACAGGGCATCCAAACAGGGGGCTTAGTACAGGGCCTGGTCCGAGGTGAAGTTCAGAATAAACACGATTATCATTTCCCTCCGATGAAGGTAATCTGAGGACTTTCACTGACTGCCACCAGGGGAAGCGCTGGCCCAGTTTCCGCCCGAGGGTCCGAGGACAAGTGCATGGGGCCCTGGGAGAAATGAACCGCAGCGAAGAGGAATAGAGACAAGGTGGTGGTGGGGCCGGGGGAAGAAATGTCAGTGGATGCCCGGGACTCCAAGGCGCGTGCAGAACCCGCTGGCAGTGACTGAGGGGTTCGTGGCCAAGACATCTCTGGGCACAGCCAGCAGCCTCTCAGAGGAAGCCTGGATTCTGCAGGCGGGTGATCTCCCTGCCTTATCCAAATTCCCAACACCCCAGTGAGCAGAGATGTTCACGGAAGCCATCGAAAAACCCCAGAATTTTTGCGATGGTCTCAATCTATAGATTTGACTTGAAATACGTGGTTCTTATTAATTAGCTTTTTGCTCTGATTGTGTTTTGCAAGCTTATGGCAGAAGGATGCACTGTGCTATCTTGTCAACGGTGCCACATCTTGGAATTGAGAGTCATTGTGAGCAAGTGCATCCTCCGGTCACTCACCTCTCTCACCCCTAACGCCATTCTCCTGTTCTCGCCACGTCTGGGACTCTGCAAAGGGCATTTCTCCTTTGGCAGCTGACTCTTAGCCATTAGAGCACACTGGGGGACAGGAGAGGAGAAGGAGGGGAGGGGAGAAGAAGGAGGGGAGGGGAGAAGAAGGAGGGGAAAGGAGAAGGAGGAGGGGAGAGGAGAAGGAGGAGGGGAGAGGAGAAGGAGGAGGGGAGAGGAGAAGGAGGAGGGGAGAGGAGAAGGAGGAGGGGAGAGGAGAAGGAGGAGGGGAGAGGAGAAGGGAGGAGGGGAGAGGAGAAGGAGGAGGGGAGAGGAGAAGGAGGAGGGGAGAGGAGAAGGAGGAGGGGAGAGGAGAAGGAGGAGGGGAGAGGAGAAGGAGGAGGGGAGAGGAGGAGGGGAGGGGAGAGGAGAAGGAGGGGAGGGGAGGGGAGAGGAGAAGGAGGGGAGGGGAGAGGAGAAGGAGGGGAGGGGAGAGGAGAAGGAGGGGAGGGGAGAGGAGAAGGAGGAGGGGAGAGGAGAAGGAGGGGAGAGGAGAAGGAGGAGGGGAGAGGAGAAGGAGGAGGGGAGAGGAGAAGGAGGAGGGGAGAGGAGAAGGAGGAGGGGAGAGGAGGAGGGGAGGGGAGAGAAGGAGGGGAGGGGAGAGGAGAAGGAGGGGAGGGGAGAGGAGAAGGAGGGGAGGGGAGAGGAGAAGGAGGAGGGGAGAGGAGGAGGGGGGGAGAGGCCAAGGAGGGGAGAGGAGAAGGAGGAGGGGAGAGGAGAAGGAGGAGGGGAGAGGAGAAGGAGGAGGGGAGAAGGAGGGGAGGGGAGAGGAGAAGGAGGAGGGGAGAGGAGAAGGAGGGGAGAGGAGAAGGAGGAGGGGAGGGGAGAAGGAGGAGGGGAGAGGAGAAGGAGGAGGGGAGAGGAGAAGGAGGAGGGGAGAGGAGAAGGGAGGAGGGGAGAGGAGAAGGAGGAGGGGAGAGGAGAAGGAGGAGGGGAGAGGAGAAGGAGGAGGGGAGAGGAGGAGGGGAGGGGAGAGGAGAAGGAGGGGAGGGGAGGGGAGAGGAGAAGGAGGGGAGGGGAGAGGAGAAGGAGGGGAGGGGAGAGGAGAAGGAGGGGAGGGGAGAGGAGAAGGAGGAGGGGAGAGGAGAAGGAGGGGAGAGGAGAAGGAGGAGGGGAGAGGAGAAGGAGGAGGGGAGAGGAGAAGGAGGAGGGGAGAGGAGGAGGGGAGGGGAGAGGAGAAGGAGGGGAGGGGAGGGGAGAGGAGAAGGAGGGGAGGGGAGAGGAGAAGGAGGGGAGGGGAGAGGAGAAGGAGGGGAGGGGAGAGGAGAAGGAGGAGGGGAGAGGAGAAGGAGGGGAGAGGAGAAGGAGGAGGGGAGAGGAGAAGGAGGAGGGGAGAGGGGAAGGAGGAGGGGAGAGGAGGAGGGGAGGGGAGAGGAGAAGGAGGGGAGGGGAGAGGAGAAGGAGGGGAGGGGAGAGGAGAAGGAGGAGGGGAGAGGAGGAGCGGGGGAGAGGCCAAGGAGGGGAGAGGAGAAGGAGGAGGGGAGAGGAGAAGGAGGGGAGAGAGAAGGAGGAGGGGAGAGGAGAAGGAGGAGGGGAGAGGAGAAGGAGGAGGGGAGAGGAGGAGGGGAGGGGAGAGGAGAAGGAGAGGAGGGGAGAGGAGAAGGAGGGGAGGGGAGAGGAGAAGGAGGGGAGGGGAGAGGAGAAGGAGGAGGGGAGAGGAGGAGGGGGAGAGGCGAAGGAGGGGAGAGGAGAAGGAGGAGGGGAGAGGAGACTTTCTGTTCTCTGTTTGGTTATTGTTCCAGTTCTTGCTGCTCTAACAGCAGCATTTTGTCCTGTCCTGGGCACAACAGCAGCTTGTTCCAGCTGCCAGCTTCTGTTTAAGCTCCCAGAACCAGCCTCACCATGCCTCCCTAGAGGTCCCAGCCAGCAGCAGCTGGGCAACGTCTCTGCCCTGGGGGGTCCCTTCTCCAAAATTCCATCTCTTGATACATCCAGTCCCTTCCCATTGCTCCCCTAGCACTGGGGGTAATAGCTGCTTCCTGTTCATTATTATCAGTGTCCCTGGTCCCCTTTTTTTCTGTCAGCCCTTCATCACCTTTGTAACCAATTGCCTACGTTAAATTCCTTCTGTTGAAAGAACTGCCTGGATACTGCTGGACTTTTGACTCTTGTCAATGGAAGTGGATGACAGCAGGGTTACCTGTCTGAAGGTCAGTAGGAGGTATAATGTGTGTGGAGGATGACAACAGTGGTTGTAGGATGCAGGTAAGAGGTTCAGAGAGAGACAAGGTACACATAGTCTTGCATAGTCACTTAGGGCAGTGAAACTGTTCTGTATGATACAGAACATCATACAGAAGGAGGGGAGAGGAGAAGGAAGGGAGAGGAGAAGGAGGGGAGGGGAGAAGGAAGGGAGAGGAGAAGGAAGGGAGAGGAGAAGGAGGGGAGAGGAGAAGGAGGGGAGAGGAGAAGGGGGGAGAGGAGAAGGAGGGGAGAGGAGAAGGGGGGAGAGGAGAAGGAGGGGAGAGGAGAAGGAGGGGAGAGGAGAAGGGGGGAGAGGAGAAGGAGGGGAGAGGAGAAGGGGGGAGAGGAGAAGGAGGGGAGAGGAGAAGGGGGGAGAGGAGAAGGAGGGGAGAGGAGAAGGGGGGAGAGGAGAAGGAGGGGAGAGGAGAAGGGGGGAGAGGAGAAGGAGGGGAGAGGAGAAGGGGGGAGAGGAGAAGGAGGGGAGAGGAGAAGGAGGGGAGAGGAGAAGGAGGGGAGAGGAGAAGGAGGGGAGAGGAGAAGGAGGGGAGAGGAAAAGGGGGGAGAGGAGAAGGAGGGGAGAGGAGAAGGGGGGAGAGGAGAAGGAGGGGAGAGGAGAAGGGGGGAGAGGAGAAGGAGGGGAGGGGAGAAGGAGGGGAGAGGAGAAGGAAGGGAGAGGAGAAGGAGGGGAGAGGAGAAGAGGGGGAGAGGAGAAGGAGGATTTTGTCCAGAGGTTGGGTGGGAAAGTAATCCAAATGCTCTAGTGAAGGTGCCAGGGCTAGTTCTAAAGATGAGAAAAATTTACTTCCCAAAGAGTGTTTATGTTTCTCACATTAAAAAAAAAAAAAAAAAAAAAAAGATGAGAGTAAGAGCAAAAAAGGAGAAGAGGAAAACAAGGAAATGGAGCTGTGCAGACCCTCTCTTTGTTTTAGGCTGTATTTTTAGAGCAGCTTTCGATTCACAGTAAAACCGAGAAGGTAGAGAGATTTCTCATATCCTCCCTGCCCCCATATATGCATAGCAACCCCCGTTATCAATACCCCCCACCAGAGCATGAATTCATTACAATTCATGAACCTTCACTGACATGTCATTGTCACCCAAAGAAAATATTTTTGACATTAGGGTTCACTCTTGGTGTTGTACATTCTATGGGTTTGGGCAAATGTATCATGACATAGATCCACAATTACAGTATCATACAGAACAGTTTCACTGCCCTAAAATTCCTTTGCATTCCACCTGTTCATCCTTCCCCCCTTCATACCTAACCTTGGTAACCACTGAGATTTTTACTCTCTATAGTTGTGCCTTTTCCAGAATGTCACATAGTTGGAATCATGTAGTATGTAATCTTTTCATACTGCCTTATTTCACTTAGTCATATACTCCTGACCTCAAGCAGTCCTCCTGCCTCAGCCTCCCGAGTAGCTGGGACTACAGGTGCCTGCCACCACGCCTGGCTTCATTTCATCTTAAAGCTAAATAATAGTACATTACCTGAATGTGCCACAGTTTATTAATCCATTCACCTACTGCAGGACATCTTGGTTGCTCCCAGTTTGGGCAATTATGAACAAAGCTGCTATGAACACCCATGGACAGGTCTGTGTATGGATACCAAGGAGCACAATTGCTGGATCATATGCTAAGAGTACATTTAGCTTTGCAAGAAACTGCCAAACTGCCTTCCAACAAGACTGTGCCATTTTGCGTTCCCACCAGCAATGAACGAGAATTCCTGTTGCTCCACATCCTTGCCAGCATTTGGTGTTATCAGTATTCTGGATTTGGGCCATTCTACTAGGTGTGTAGTAGTTGTTGTTTTAATTTGCATTTCCCTGATGACTTAAAATGTGGGGCATCTTTTCTTATGCTTCTTTGCCATCTGTATGTCTTTGGTAAGGTGTCTGTTAAAGTCTTGGCTCAGTTTTAATCAAATTGTTTATTTTGTTTGTGTTGAGTTTTAAGAGTTCTTTGTATATTTTAGACAAGAGTCCTTTGTCGTGTATATCTTCTGCAAATATTTTCTCCCAGTCTGTGGTTTGTCTTTTATTCCTCTTGATCTGCTTGGTCTTTTCCACTGTGACACTTTTCTTCTTTTCTTTCTTTATTATCACTATAGAAAAGTAAAATATTGGGAGACTTCCTAGCTCAGGATCACTTTTAGAAGAAAGGGAGCTTTGAGAAAGGGAGGGAAAGAGAAAGTTATTAGGGATCATAGGGCTCTGTGCAGGAGGCAAAGGGCAGGTGAAAGCCAGAGAGGGGGGTCTGGACAGTGGGCAACACAGAAGCTCTGGACTCCTGAGAGGCAGAAGAAAGAAGATGCCGGAAGTTGGAGAAGATCTGAATGCTGGGGAGGAGGAATCTAAGAACAGCTTTACTTTGAAATTTTCCTCTGCTGTTGGACTGTCTCCTTCTGGCTATCATAGATTTTAAAAGAGAGTCGATTTTTTAAAGGCGAGTTATGAAATCATTTCTACCACATCTTTCCTGTAACACACAAGCTGCAATTCTTCCCCATTTGTACTGACAAATAAATAGTGCTGGGGGAGGCTGGAGGGTTGGGGGTCACCTCCAGCCATTCTTGCCTCGGTGTGAGGTGCTAGAAAGGCAAGCTGATGACGTGGCTTTCCTGGGGGCCATGGGGACTTTGATTCATGCATAGATGGCCTTCCCTTAAATTTCATTTTCTGGCTTACTATTAACAAACATCCTGGCCGGGCATGGTGGCTCACGCCTGTAATCTGAGCACTTTGGGAGGCTTAGGCGGGCGGATCACCTGAGGTTGGGAGTTTGAGATCAGCCTGACCAACATGGAGAAACCCCGTTTCTACTAAAAATACAAAAATTAGCCAGGTGTGGTGGCGCGTGCCTGTAATCGGGAGGCTGAGGCAGGAGAATCTCTTGAACCTAGGCAGATGTTTTGGTGAGCTGAGATCGTGCCATTGCACTCCAGCCTGGGCAACAAGAGCGAAACTCTATCTCAAAAAAGAAAAGAAAGAAAGAAAGAAAGAAACATCCTGAAAGAGAAGCCAGCACAGTTTACTTACCTTTTCGTTTCCATGCTGGGGCATCCTCTCCCCAGAGAGTGGAAGGGCCTCGGCCTCGAGGATCTGGAGAACAGCAGCTGTGCGGCAGGACTGGGCTCGCCTCCACAGACCCCAGAAGTGCAGAGTGTGCCCCTGTGAGAGGCACACTAACTGCGGTTATGTGAGTGAACCGATGGTCATTTAGGACTGAGAGGCAACAGCACAGTAAAGATTCTGCCTATCATTCTATGTGTGTCAGATGAAGTTGACTGTAAGCTTTATTTCATTACAACTGTACATTTCCTCTGTCTCAGGCTTTGTCAACTCAGACTTCAGTTACCTTTTTCTCACGTCTCCATCCCAGAGCCCCATGGAGAGGAGTGAGAGCGTGGCTTCCCGAGGGCTTTCCTTCCTCCTCCCCTCTGCCTCCCCAGATTTGGTCTGACAAAGCTTCTTTCTAGGGTCCTGTTATTTGGGGTCTCGCTGATGTCAGCAGAGGCCGGCCCCCTTTGTTGCACTGCTCCCTCTGGCCTGAGAATGGGAGCTGCAGGATCCCAAGAGCCCTTTATTTTCTGGGCGGTTCCCTGAAGCTGCTTCTCTCCTTGCAGGTGTCTCTCTGTGCTCAGCCCTCCCTCTGGGGAGGCTGAGTTGTCACTTCCCCATCAGAGGAAGACAATCTGTCTCTGACCAGTGTCCTGGCTAAGATGGGGCCCCGGTGGAGGTGTGTGAGCAGATGACTCAGAGACTCTTCTTCATATTAAAATATTCCAGTAATTATGTCAGGGCCGATCCGGCTCACGCATGGCACTTTACAAAAGATACACAAATCGTGGCCCAGTAGGCTCTGGGCCAGAACACACGCAAGGCACCGGCGTGCTCCACAGCACCGCGGGCGGATCAGAGCATCTCCAGCCTGTCAAAGACCCACTCCTCTGTATCTCTCCACGGGAGACAAGCCATTTGCCGGAGCCACATAATGGAGCATTCAGCCTTTGAATTGCCACTTCTCTGAAGACTCTACAGGGCTATGAGGGTGACTGCCTCAGGCCGGGAGGAAGGGAGGAAGGTAGGAAGGAGGTTTTGAGCCTTTATCTGACTAGAAAGAGGCTGCTATAGGCCCACAAAATCAAGGTCTCACCCCCTCACCCCTGAGAGGCAGCCAGGCGTCCTGGGCAAGAGTGATGCTGTCTCCACACCGCAGGGGCAGCAAGCAAGGCTGTAGACAGGGCTGTTCCAATGTGTGACCCCAAGAAGACACCTGCCAAGGAGAAGGAGGCAGTGCGGGCCCCTGAGAAGGAGCTGCCCAGCCTGCGTGTGTGTGCTGGGGGCCGAGGCTGTTGGTTTCAGTGCATTAAATCATGGACTGCTCTCCACTGCGTTACTATTCCTTTGGCTGCCCCGACAGTGCACTCCATTATGTCATTATTAATTATGAGGTAGCTGAAACGAGGGCTTCTCCACCCAGAGGGGCTCCAGAAAACAAGGGAAGGAGCCCAGCCTGTGTGTCCGCTCTGCAGGCACTGTGCATTTTCACAACACACTTTGGGCCCCAACAGATATGCCTACTGCAGGGCTGGGCCGTATTGCTGGTGGGGGCAGAGTCTGGGATCTGGGAGCTCAGTGGGATTCCAAGAGGCTCTCCAGGGAGCAGCAGCTCCCAACCCCTCTGCTCCTCTGAGGCTGTCAGAAGCCAGTGCTCAATCCCTTACCTGAGCCTTCTCTTTCGTTTTTTTTTTTTTTTTAGACGGAGTCTCGCTCTTGTTGCCCAGGCTGGAGTGCAATGGCGCCATCTCTGCTCACTGCAACCTCCACCTCCCAGGTTCAAGCGATTCTCCTGCCTCAGCCTCCCGAGTAGCTGGGATTACAGGAACCCACCACCACCCCCAGCTAATTTTTTTGTATTTTTAGTAGAGACGGGGTTTCTCCATGTTGGTCAGGCTGGTCTCGAACGCCTGACCTCAGGTGATCCTCCCATCTCAGCTTCCCAAAGTGCTGGGATTACAGGCATGGGCCACTGCGCCGGGCTGAGCCTTCTCACTTTCATCAGCCTGGCACTCCCTCCCTCAGCCAGGCTCCAGGCACATGGCTGAAATGGACTCTGGGCCTGGGAGGGCGTGGGGGCGCCTGGCCTGTGCAGCCTCTCAGCAGGCCTGGGCACAGCTCTTCCTTTCCCTCCGCAGGAACTCAGCCTCTCACAGAACCTCCGCCCTGCACAGACTTGACTAATGGCCCCAAGAACACACACACTGCCTCCAGAGCTTTCTTGTAGTGATGCTGGCACCATTTTGCTAGTGTCTGGGGTGGGGTGGGTGCCCCTTCTGAAAGGTTCTTTGCAAGAAGCAGGTGGAGGCAAGTTCCAGCCTCCTCACTCAGGCCCGAGGTGTCACTGAGTGCCAGCTCCTGCCGCCCTGGAGTTGCATGGGTTTGGCCTTTAAGGACTTCTGGAGCAGATATTTGATTTTTTTTTTTTTTTCTGGTCAGTTTTATGGTCACCTGGATCTGAAAGTTTTCAGTGAGGTGGGTGTGCGTGAATGCAGAATGAAGTCAGACTTAGTTCTCTCTCCTGTGTTGAAGAGTCCCCCCAGATTCGTGTCTCCCTGAAACCTGAGAAGGCACTCTTACTTGGAAATAAGGTCTTTGCAGACACAGATGGGATCATTCTGGATTAGGGTGGGCCCTCATCTAATGACTGGTGTCCTTAGAAGCAGAGGAAACAGAGACCCAGGGACACGCAGGAGACGATGCCTTATGCCAACTGAGGCCGAGAGTGGAGTGACATCTATAAGCCACGGCACACTGGCCACCGCCGGAAGCTGCAAGAGGCAAGGCAGCTTCCTCCCCCCGGAGCCGTCAGAGAGCGCAAGGCCCTGCCCGCGCCTTGATTTCAGACTCCAGCCTCCAGAACGTGAGACAACTTTCTGTTGTTTTTACCTCCACCCCCTCTCCAGTTTGTGTCACTTTGTTAAGGCAGCCCTAGGAAATGAATACTCCCTCCCACCCACTTCTCTTTGCCTCCACTCTGCTGGAGTGCCGGGCCTGGATGGGGAACAGGCCTGGCAGGGTTGCCCCTGGGACTACCCAGGGTAGCCTGACTGAGCACCTATGTAGGCAAAGAAAACAGAAGAAAACAAAACAAGACATCTGGTAAAATTTGAATTTCAGATCAACAACAAATTAACTTTTTTAGCATAAATATATCCCAAATATTGCCGGGATATACTTGTACTAGCAAATAATTGTAATTGCTCAGAAATTTATTTAACTGGGCCTGGGTGTCTGCCTTTTATCTGCAACCCTAGCCGCCTGCTCCGGCCTCCCTCCCCTGCCATTATCTTCCAGCCCAGGGCTCACAGAAGGGCCCTGGGGGTGGGCTCTGACCTGCTTCAGGAGCACAGCAAGGTGGCGGCGGCCAGCGAGCCTGGGCAGAACTGCTCTGAAATCCATGAGTGCCCGAGCCCCTGGCCCCCCATGCACCGCCAGCAGCCTGCGGTCTGAACATCATCTCTCCCAGCTGGGTGCAAGTCTGGCAGGATTTGAACATACGGAGGAGGCAGCAGGGAGGGGAGGGTGAGGCCTGCCTGGGGCGCCTTCCAGCAGGGGGAACCGAGCCTCAGGTGCTTCCTGCTGAGTGGTGCTTGGCTTTGGCCGGTGCACTTCGATTTGTTCTATTTTTAACTGTCTTCAATTTCCCTCCTGGGGAAAGGGAGAAGGAGGAGGGAAACAAGGAGGTGGGGAGTGGGGAGTGGGGAGTGAATCCGGGGGACTCGGGAGTGGTTGGTGGGGCTGTGCTGAATTCTGAGGAACAGCAACGCCAAGGCAAAGACAGAGGGCGAGGCTTTTTGGGGAAGAGAGAGAGGGTGGCCGGCCAGGCAGGAGCACAGGGCACCTGAGAGGGCTCAGGGACAGAGGAAGTCCCATTCTTGGCTGAGGAGAGACAGAGGGGCCTGGGCTTGGGTGCCAGACCAAGCTAGTCAGAAGGACTCTGCAGCACCCAGTGATTGATGGCACATAGCGGACATGGTGACTCTGAGCACACACGCTGGGGTGACTAGGAGGATGATGGTACCATTACCCAAAAACATCCCAGGAGAAGGAGGAACAGTGGGAGGTAGAGGCCCCAACCCCACACTGGGGGAAATGTCCACAGGCATTTGCGGATGGTGACTGTTCAGCAGTGCGTGGCTCATTCCAGAGCGCCCTGGCCTGCGGGCAGGGTGGCCTCTTGCCTCTGGGGGCTGGGACCGCCTGTTCCTGCACTGCTCATGGACTTACTGCTTCTGCAGACAGGCCCTGGTCTTCGGGGCCAAGGGGCACAGAGCCAGTTCCTTCTGTGAGCGAGAGCAGGACTCACGAGAAGGCCCATCCTGTAACTGGTGAGTGTGGAATGGCCACTCCACAGAGAACAGACCTGGGGGCCAGGGTGGCAGAGGGCTTGGGGAGGGGGCACCACATTCTGGATAAAGGACAGCTCTGCAGCTCTTTGTAGCAGGATGTGCCCTGGTCCTGGGGCCAGCAGGAGCAACGTTTCTGGGCAGGGGGCCTTTTCTGCGCTCTTGGACAGAAGGGCCCAGGGCTTAGCCCATTCATTCACTCACTGCTTACCCACTTACCCAACAAACAACAAGTTCTGTCACCTGTCTGTCACCTGCCTAACACTGTGCTGGAGCCTGGGGATACAAACAGGAGTGATCCCAAAGGGTTTAGAGTCTGAAGTCAGACACAGGAACCAACAAGGAGAGCCATCTCCGTGGAGGCAGGAGACCCCGGGAAGGAAAGGCCTCAGGCCTTGAAGCCACAGATACCTGAAATTGAATCTTGGCCCAGCTTCTCACGAAAGCTCTTTCGGCTTCAGTTTCCTCATCTGTAAAATGGGGAAACGTTCAAATCTACCTTCAGGGTTGTTATTGTTGGATTAGAGATGCGGAATCTAAATTCCGTACATAACGCATGGCGTGTGTTAGCCCTCAGTGAATCGCAGCTGCTAGATAATACACGCAGAGCACAGTGGACACCTAAAGCGTGGCTTGAGCTCATAATATTTGACCTCAAATATTGAAAATTGGTTGGGTTTTGTAACCGCCCAAGGGGTTCACCTTGCCCGCTGTGAGACAGAGTCGATTCATCAAGACAGGGGAATTGCAATAAAGAGAAATTCATGCGGAGCCGGTTGTGTGGGAGACTGGAGTTTTATTATTACTCAAATCAGTCTCCCAGAGCAATTGGGGAGCAGAGTTTTTAAGGATAACTTGGTGGGTGGGGGGAAGCCAGTGAGCCAGGAGAGCTGATTGACCAGAGATGAAATCATAGGGAGTCGTGTCTTTTTGCACTGATTCAGTTACTGGGTGGGGGGTCCGAAAGATCATATGAGCCAGTTTATTGATCTGGGTGGTGCCAGCTGATCCATCAAGTGCAGGATCTGCAAAATATCTCAAGCACTGATCTTAGGAGCAGTTTAGGGAGGGTCAGAATCTTGTAGCCTCCAGCTGCATGACTCCTAAACTAGAATTTCTAATCCTGTGGCTAATGTTAGTCCTACAAAGGCAATCTAGTCCTCAGGTAAGAAGGAGGTCTGCTTTGGGGAAAGGCTGTTACTGTTCTTTGTTTAAACTATAAACTAAGTTTCTCCTAAAGTTAGTTCAGCCTACACCCGAGAATGAACAAGGACAGCTTGGAGGTTAGAAGCATAGCAAAGGTGGTTTCAGTTTCATGAGGACTTTATTGTTATAAAACAGGGCCAGAAGGAGAAGTATTTAGCATTGAGCCTTAGTTAATCTTCATTTCAAATCTAGAAGGCAGTTTAGATTTTGGGGCCAGAGTTGCTTGGCTTCAAATTCTAGCTTTGATATCTGTGAGCTGTGTACCTTGGACAAGTTACTTTGCCTCTCTGTGCCTCAGATGCTGCAGCTCAGTGGGTGGGGATGGGGGCAATAATATATCTATCACATAGGAATTTTTGTGAGGACGAAGTGAACTCATAGGTGCAAAGCATTTAGAATACTGTCCAGGCATGGTGCAGTGTGCTCAGGCCTGTAATCCCAGCACTTCGGGAGGCTGAAGTGGGAGGATCCCTTGAGCCCAGGAGATTGAGACCAGCCTGGGCAACATAGGGAGACCCCATCTTTACAAGAAAATTTCAAAAAAATTAGCCAGGCATGGTGGTGCACGCCTGTAATCCCAGCTACTTGGGAGGCTTAGGTGGGAGGATCACTTGAGCCTGGGAAGTCGAGGCCTGGGAAGTGAGCCAGGATGGCGCTACTGCACTCAAACCTGGGCGACAGAAGGAGACTCAGTCTCAAAACAAACAAACAAGCAAACAAACAAAATTAAATAAATAAACACTGTCCAGCATGCAATAGGCACCACTGGTGTTCCTGTGTTTATGATTATTATCCACATTACACAATGAGGAACGGGCACAGCAGCCTTGCCTATCGTAACCACAGCCCACAGCAGGTGAGGGGTAGAGCCAGGACTTCCACCGGCCATAGCTCAGAAGCCCACCCTTGCTCTTCCTACTTCCACAACGGCCAATGCTGCTGCCCCTGATCCCAGCAGAGCTCCGTGGCCAACCACACTGGCATTGAGCCTTAGTTAAGGCTTAGTTAAGGAAGGGCGAAGTGAGTGGAAATCGGTGGAAAGGGGTTGGTCCTCACCACGTAGCCCCTTCCTGAGGGGAGAGGCCACAGTGGAGGGGAGGCTGAAGACAGGTCCCGGCAAAGCCCACACTGGGGGCAGCGGCAGACGAGGGAGACCCTTAGAGAGGTAGGAGATCCAGAGGGCAAAGCTCTGCATGCAGAGAAGCGCAGTTTTCTAGAAGCTGATGGAAAGCGCAAGAAGGTGCTGGGGCCGGAAGGGCCATGGGGTTGGTGACCAGGAAGTTAAGCAATTGGGCAGCAGCAGAGGGAAGAGCTAAATTGTTTCAGAGCAGAGGTGACCGTGTAGAGCAGAGGAGAGCAAACCCCCTTCAAGAAATCTGGCTCTGAGGGGAGCGGAGGTGTGGGGGTAAGCACGGCTGGGGGAGCTGGCCTGGGAGGGCCTCTGGCATGGAGGCCAAAGCCTTTCTTTTGGTTAAAGCTGGGATGGAGAAGGTTTTTCTTTCCAGGGTTCCGATCCCAGGTGGAAGAGTCAATCCAAGACCACACACAGGGAACCGTCCGATGTGTGCTGCTGGCGTGCGGGTGGCACCTCTGCGTCCTCAGCCCCAGCTGGGCGGCAGCGTCTCCCTGGAGCCCTGTCTCAGTGCCCCTCAGGGCTGGCCCAAGGGAATGAATGGAGGTAATTAGAGAAAAGGCCCATGACTAAAATCATGCACACCGTGGACCAGGCGCCTCAAAGGATCTTCAGATTCTGGCCCTCTGTGCGGTCCCCTCTGCTTCCTGCCCTCTGTGGTTGACATGTCCATTGTTGGGGTTCAGAAAACCATACCCCAAAATGAAGGCCTCAGAAGCAGCCTCCAAAACAAAAGTTTTTCTCTGACCTTCCCAGGCCCTCCTCTCTCTCAGCCCCATTCCCCCAGCCAGGGAAACTAGAATCCCTTTTCCTCAAGGTGGGTCATAGAAACCAGAACTCCTTCTCCCCAAAGCCCGCCATAAAACCTGAAAATATATGGCCAGGCGCGGTGGCTCCCGCCTGTAATCCCAGCACTCTGGGAGGCCGAGGTGGGTGGATCATGTGGTCAGGAGTTCGAGACTAGCCTGGCCAACATGGTGAAACCCCGTCTCTACTAAAAATACAAAAATTAGCCGGGCGTGATGGTGGGCGCCTGTAATCCCAGCTACTAGGGAGGCTGAGGCAGGCAAATCGCTTGAACCCGGGAGGCGGAGGTTGGAGGTTGCAGTGAGTGGAGATGGTGCCATTGCACTCTAGCCTGGGTGACAGAGTGAGACTCTGTCTCAAAAACAAACAAACTAACTAACTAACTAGCTAAAAATATTACTTGAAATTTATCCCACCATTCTGCATAAGAACTGGCCATAAAGAAACTATCCAACCCACCTTGTTGGACTATGGATCATAAGACCCCTATTCCAGAGAGGACCCTGCCCCACACCCAGGAGAAACGAAGCTGCCCAGAGAGGCCAAGAAGAACTGGACAGAAAGACCTTGTTGGTGTTCTGTTCAATCTCCTAACATTAGCTCAGGCTCTTCTTGTCCAGTCATATTTCTACACTGCTGTCCATAATTTGTTGTACCTAAACATAAAACAGTTTCCCCTCATCTGTGCATCTTATTCTGAAGGCTCCTGTGTACACATATTAAATAAATTTGTGTGCCTTTTCTCCTGTTACTCTGCCTTATGTGAATTCATTTTTCTTTTCTTTTTTTTTTGAGATGGAGTCTCACTCCGTTGCCCAGGCTGGAGTGCAGTGGCGTGATCTTGGCTCACTGCCACCTCCACCTCCCAGGTTCAAGAGATTCTCCTGCTCAGTCTCCCTTGTAGCTGGGATTACAGGTGAGACACACTCCACCATGCCCGGCAAAGTTTTGTATTTTTAGTAGAGACGGGGTTTCACCGCATTGGTCAGGCTGGTCTTGAACTCCTGACCTCAGGTGATATGCCAGCCAGCCTCAGCCTCCCAAAACGTTGGGATTACAGGTGTGAGCCACCGCGCCCGGCCATGAGTTCATTTTTCAGCAAAACTTCAGAGGGCAGAGGTTTCCCTTCCCCCTCTATGCCAGGCATGGAGATGGGCGATGGCACAGCAGGCCCCCAGCAGCCATGGACATCTCCTTTGCGGGGAGACCCTTTCCTCCACCGTCCTCCTGGCGGGAATGAATGAAGACGAGAACCAGCAAGGGAGACTGGGGATCCTGAGCCCTGGGGCCATGAGGGAGCCCACTGGGCCTGGGAGGGAGGTCAGTCTCAGGTGAGCTGCACCCTCAGAAGCTTCCAGCAGGCAGCACTGTGCACACTGTTGCCCAGTCGGAGAGGGACAGAACATTTTTATCTACTGACTTAAAAAAAATAGATAAATAAAGACATCAGATGATTCCATTTCTGTGAACAATAGAGTCTGCTTCGGCTCCCTAATGGGGCCAGCCGGGAGAGAGCGATGAGGAGAGGGCAGAGCAAAATGGGAGCAGTCTGCCAGGAGAGAGACGCCTCCCCTGAGGGTGAAGTCGCAGGGCCAGCGGAGAAGCCCTGGCCGGATGGTGGTGGTGGATGGACCCTGGGGTCTGGGCTCTGTCTGGGGTCTGGGCATGCTCCTCGCACCCAGCTTGCAGTGGCCCGTAGGCACCACAGTCACGCGTCACCTGCTACGGGCTTCACTTCAACCGTTAAGTAGCTCTTCAATAATTTAAACCGTTTCTTTCTACACCATAAACGACTGACTTTAAAATTTTTTCAGTTTATTTTTTAAATAAAGGTCAATGATCCGGAGGGTTCTGGATGTTTTGCAGAACAGAAGCTACTGAGGATGCCATGTGTCTGGATGGGGCAGCGGCTTTCTGAGCTCAGAGCACACCCCTGGGCCGCACTGTCCGAGTGCCTGGTGGGTGCCAAGGAGCTGGACTTGCTTGCGACTTGGGCAAGACACAAGTGCACCTGCCAGGCCCAGATAGGCCATGGCACCATGAAGCAGGCGCCAGTCCAGAGGCACTTGCTTCGTGCAAAGTGCAGGGATGGGAGGGGATGGGATTTCTTGGGAAATGGGAGACACTCCACTCAGCTGGATTTGAGGATGTGTCTAGCACATTGGGACCTGGACAGGGAGTGGGGCAGGCCTTTGAAGTGACTCAGGGCCCTGAATGCCTGGCATGGGAGCAACAAGGTGAGTGGGAAGAGCATGGGTTCTGGGGTCATCTGAGTAGGATTTCAGCCCGAGCTCCCCACCCTCCGTGGATCTGGGCAAGCCACTTACCTGCGGGAGGCCGGGGAGCCTCACAGGATGCCCAAGGGCCCGTGTTCCAGAACATGGCCTGTGGGACCGCCCTGGACCAGCACTGCGGAGATGGCCCCAGGGACGCATCAGCGGCCCTGCACCATTGCTGGTGCCCTGCACAGGTGTGCCCGCTGCATATGGTCTTGGGTCTGACCTGGGCTGAGGGCCAGGAGGAATCATCCTCAGTGTGGCCCTGACCCGCAGAAGCTGGGCTCCAGGCAGCCTGGAACCAACCTCCCCAGTAAAGCCCGGAGCCACGCCACGAACCCCCTGCACTCAGGGCCCCCTCCAAGCACTCCATGTGCTCTAAGCAGCTTCATCTGACCACAGCCCCTGGGCCGCAACGCCCCATTTACAGAAAAGGACATTGAGTCACAGCGAGGTGGAGTAACTAGTCCAAGTCTATGAAGCTCCTAAGGGAAGAAGCTGGGACAAGCTCCAGGAAGTCTGGCCCTGGAGCCCGGGCCTTGACCTCCACAGCTCTCCCTCTGTACAGCCTCAGCCTCCCTTCTCCCTGGCACTGGCACTGCTGCTCACCCTTCGAGCCCAGCACAGCCTCACGTCTTCCAGGAAGCCTGCCTGACCCCCCAGGTAGCGCTGAGGTTCCTACTCTGTGCTCACAGCCAGCCCTGCTCTGTTGACAAAGGATCTGTGTCCACCTATTAGTTGGACCAAGGACCCCGGAGGACAGTTTCATGCGCGTCTGTGTGAAGAGACCACCAAACAGGCTCCGTGTGAGCAACATGGCTGTTTATTTCACCTGGGTGCAGGTGGGCTGAGTCCGAAAAGAGAGTCAGCGAAGGGAGATAGGGGTGGGGCCGTTTTATAGGATTTGGGAAGGTAATGGAAAATTAGTCAAAGGGGGTTGTTCTCTGGTGGGCAGGGGTGGGGGGTCACAAGGTGCTCAGTGGGGGAGCTTCTGAGCCAGGAGAAGGAAATTCGCAGGGTTAATCACTCAGTTAAGGTGGGGCAGGAACAAATCACAATAGTGGAATGTCATCAGTTAAGGCGGGGCAGGGCCTTTTCACTTCTTTTGTGATTCTTCAGTTACTTCAGGCCATCTGGGCGTATACGTGCAAGTCACAGGGGATGCGATGGCTTGGCTTGGGCTCAGAGGCCTGACATTCCTGCCTTCTTATATTAATAAGAAAAATAAAACAAAATAGTGTTGAAGTGTTGAGGCGGCAAAAATTTTTGGGGGTGTTATGGAGAGAGAATGGGTGATGTTTCTCAGAGCTGCTTCAAGTGGGATTAGGGGCGGCGTGGGAACCTAGAGTGGGAGAGATTAAGCTGAAGGGAGGTCTTGTGGTAAGGGGTGATATTGTGGGGATGTAAGAAGAAACATTTGTCATATAGAATGATTGGTGATGGCCTGGATACGGTTTTGTATGAATTGAAAAACTAAATGGAATATGAGAAGGCGAAAAACAGGTATAAAAGGACTAAGAATTGGGAGGACCTAGGCCATCTAATTAGAGAGTGCCTAAGGAGATTCAGCATAGTCCTGCCGGCAAAGATTATTTATTTACTTCAAGAGTTTAGAGTGGCAGTTTGGGGATAGCACTAGGAGATATCACCTGTGATGTCTTGGAGAAAGAGTGTAAACCGGCAGTGTAAACAAGAGCAGGGCATGTGTGAGTAGTTGAGAACAGTGAATAGGAGTATGACTAACAGATGAGGATGAAATTTGGGCTTGACTGAAGTAATGGGGGCTGTCTGTGAAGCCTTGCAGCAGTACAGCCCAGGTAATTTGCTGAGCCTAATGGGTGTCAGGGTCAGTCTAAGTGAAGGCAAAGAGAGGCTGGGATGAAGGGTGCAAGGAATAGTAAAGAAAGCATGTTTGAGATCCAGAACAGAATAATGGGTAGTAGAGGGAGGTATTGAGGATAGGAGAGTCTATGGGTTTGGCACCACGGGGTGGATAGGCAAAACAATTTGGTTGATAAGGCGCAGATTCTGAACTAACTTGTAAGGCTTGTCTGGTTTTAGGACAGGTAAAATGGGGGAATGGTAAGGAGAGTTTATAAGCTTTAAAAGGCCACGCTGTAGCAGGCGAGTGATAACAGGTTTTAATCTTTTTAAAGCGTGCTGTGGGATGGGATATTGGCGTTGAGCGGGGTAAGGGTGATTAGGTTTTAATGGGATGGTAAGGGGCATGTGATCGGTTGCCAGGGAAGGAGTAGAGATGTCCCATACTTGCGGGTTAAGGTGGGGGGATATGAGAGGAAGACGCGAAGGAGGCTTTGGGTTGGGGAGAAGGGCGGCAATGAGATGTGGCTGTAGTCCAGGAATAGTCAGGGAAGCAGATAACTTAGTTAAAGTGTCTCAGCCTAATAAGGGAACTGGGCAGGTGGGGATAACGAAAAAGGAGTGCTTAAAAGAGTATTGTCTAAGTTGGCACCAGAGTTGGGGAGTTTTAAGAGGTTTAGAAGCCTGGCTGTTAATACCCACAACAGTTATGGAGGCAAGGGAAACAGGCCCTTGAAAAGAAGGTAATGTGGAGTGGGTAGCCTCCGTATTGATTAAGAAGGGGACGGGCTTACCTTCCACTGTGAGAGTTACCCGAAGCTCGGCGTCCATGATGGTCTAGGGGGCTTCCGAGGCGATCGGGCAGTGTCAGTCTTCAGCCGCTAAGCCAAGAAGATCTGGGAAGGAGTCAGAGAGCCTTGGGCCAGAGTTCCAGGGTCTCTGAGAGTGGCTGCCAGGTGAGTTGAACAGTCCGATTTTCAGTGGGGTCCCGCACAGATGGGACACGGCTTAGGAGGAATCCGGGGCTGCAGGCATTCCTTGGCCTAGTGGCCAGATTTCCGGCACATGTAGCAAGCTCCTGTGGGAGGAGGTTCTGGAGGAACGCCTGGCTGCTGTGGTTCAGGCATTTGGAAGTTCTTGTGTGCTGGAGATGTGGCTGGGGTTTGTCTCACAGCGGAGGCAAGGAATTGCAACTTTTTTTTTTTATTATTCTACACCTTGAAGGTGAGGTCAATTAAGTCCTGTTGTGGGGTTTGAGGGCCGGATTTAATTTTTGGAGTTTTATTTAATGTCCGGGGCAGATTGGGTAATAAAATGTATATTGAGCATAAGACGGCCTTTTGACCTTTTAGGGTCTAGAGCTGTAAAGCGTCTCAGGGTTGCTGCCGAATGAGCCATGAACTGGGCTGGGTTTTTATATTTGATGAAAAAGCCTAAACACTATCTGATTTGGGATAAAGAAAAAGGAGCATTAACCCTGACTATGCCTTTGGCTCCAGCCACCTTTTTAAGAGTAAATTGCTGGGCAGGAGGGGGAGGGCTAGTCACGGAACGAAACTGTAAGCCGGAGCAGGTGTGAGGAGGGGAGGTGATAAAAGGATTATAGGGTGGAGGAGCGGAGGCTGAGGAAGAATTGGGACCTAGCTCGGCCTGGCGAGGAGCAGCCTGGGGAGGAAGGGAGAGGTCAGATGGGTCTGTAGAAAAGGAAGATTAGAAAGACTCAGCGACGCTTGGGGTTGGTACTGAGGGGACAGGCGGGAGGGAAAGAAGGAAGATTTGGGACGAGTTGCACTGGCCACAGAGACTAGGAAGGGACTGATGTGTAAAAGAATGCCTGGACGTCAGGCACCTCAGACCATTTGCCCATTTTACGACAAGAATTATTTAGATCTTGTAGGATGGAAAAATTGAAAGTGCCGTTTTCTGGCTATTTGGAACTACTGTCGAGTTTGTATTGGGGTCAAGCGGCATTGCAGAAGAAAATGAGACGCTTAGATTTTAGGTCAGGTGAGAATTGAAGAGGTTTTAAGTTCTTAAGAATACAGGCTAAGGGAGAAGAAGGAGGAATGGAAGGTGGAAGCTTGCCCATAGTAAAGGAGGCAAGCCCAGAGAAAAGAGTAGAGACACGGAGAAGGGGTGGGGGGTTCTTGCCCTCCAGAAAAGCAGAGAAAGGGTTGGGGCATGGAAATAAGGGATTGGGGTACAGAAATAAGAGGTTGGGGTGTGGAAAAAAGGGATTGGGGCACAGACATAAGAGGTTGGGGCATGGAAATAAGTGATTGGGGCGCAGAGATCAGAGGTTGGGGCATGGAAATAAGCGATTGGGGGGTTCTTGCCCCCTAGGAGAGCGGGACTTGCCGCTAAGGGTGAAGGAGAAGGGGTTGAGGGGTACTTTCCCCTCTCCCAGAAAAGCAGAGAAGGGGTAGAGACAAGGAGAGAAGGGGTTGGGGTACTTGCCCTGTCCCTGGAAAAGCAGAGAAGGGGTAGAGACAAGGAGAGAAGGGGTTGGGGTACTTGCCCTCTCCCCGGAAAAGCAGAGAAGGGGTAGAGACAAGGAGAGAAGGGGTTGGGGTACTTGCCCTGTCCCTGGAAAAGCAGAGAAGGGGTAGAGACAAGGAGAGAAGGGGTTGGGGTACTTGCTCCTTCCCCAGAAAAGCGGGACTTGCCGCTAAGGGTGAAGGACCAAAGCAGGTGTCCCTGCGTGGTCTGACACCCTTGAAACGTGGGTGTATAATCAGAGAGGCGTCCCTGCAATGATTAAACACCAAGGGAAGGCTGCCTTCCCAGTCCGTGACTGGCGCCGGAGTTTTGGGTACACGGATAAAACATGTCTCCTTTGTCTCTACCAGAAAATGAAAGGAATTGAAATTAAGAGAAGGGAGAGATTGAAGTGTGGCGCCAAGATTGAAAGGAGAAAGAGGTTGAGGGATAGTGAGGGAGGTTGGAGAAGAGAGTAAAAAGAGGCCGCTTACCGGATTTGAAATTGGTGAGATGTTTCTTGGGCTGGTTGGTCTGAGGACCTGAGGTCGTAGGTGGGTCTTTCTCATGGAGTAAAGAGCAGGAGGACGGGGGATTGATCTCCCAGGGGAGGTCCCCTGATCCGAGTCACGGCACCAAATTTCTTGCGCATCTGTGTGAAGAGACCACCAAACAGGCTTTGTGTGAGCAACATGGCTGTTTATTTCACCTGGGTGCAGGCGGGCTGAGTCCAAAAAGAGAGTCAGCAAAGGGAGATAGGGGTGGGGCCGTTTTATAGGATTTGGGAAGGTAATGGAAAATTACAGTCAAAGGGGGTTGTTCTCTGGTGGGCAGGGGTGGGGGTCACAGGGTGCTCAGTGGGGGAGCTTCTGAGCCAGGAGAAGGAAATTTGCAGGGTTAATCACTCAGTTAAGGTGGGGCAGGAACAAATCACAATGGTGGAATGTCATCAGTTAAGGCGGGGCAGGGCCTTTTCACTTCTTTTGTGATTCTTCAGTTACTTCAGGCCATCTGGGCGTATACGTGCAAGTCACAGGGGATGCGATGGGTTGGCTTGGGCTCAGAGGCCTGACAGACAGGGTTATTTTTTCTGGCACCTTCCACGGTGACTCTCACAGGCACATGCTCAGGCGTGCCTGCCACTCATAGACTTGGGGGCCAACACGTTGGGCGGTCTGACCCCCACTCCTACTTCCATCTGGGCAGCTAGGCCTGTGTCTGCTTTGCCCTCTTGTGAGATTTCATTGACAAAATGATCCACAGCTAAAAACTAGTGGCAGACCATGGACGGGGGTCTCACAGGGTCTTAGACTTGGTCCCCTGTGGGGTCCCTTTGGCATCCTGGACCCTCTGATGGAGGTGCCCAGGGATGGTGATGGGTAATGGCACAGTGGGCTCCAGGAACTGCCCCAGCACTTTCTCTGGGGGAGAGGCCCCTTCCTCCACCCTCCTGACAGCCAGTCCTGAGGGGTCCCCCTGCTTGCAAAACCCTCCATGGCGGTCCTAGGAACTGGGCACCAGAGAACCCCTGACCAGGGATATCGTGAGTGACCCAGTGCTCTGAGAAGCTGGCTTTCCCACCCGGCCCTGGCCCACCCTGGACACAGACGCCTCTCTAGCAACAGTGCAGGGGATGCTGGGTCTGCTGCCTCTCATTCAGGCACTCTCAGGCAAGGGAGGTGGATGGGGTAGGGGAGAATGTTAAACACAGAGGAAACTGAGGGGCAGGGGCAGCAAGTAGTTGCCTTGCTATAGTCAGGCAGAAATGTGTGTGTGTGTGATGGTGTGGTGAGTGTGCATGTGTGGTGAGGGTGTGTGTGTGTCTCTGTGGCATGTGTGGTGTGTGTGTGTGTGATGGTGTGGTGAGTGTGCATGTGTGGTGAGGGTGTGTGTGTGTCTCTATGTGGTGTGTGGTGTGTGTGTGTGATGGTGTGAGTGTGCATGTGTGGTGAGGGTGTGTGATGGTGTGGTGAGTGTGCATGTGTGGCGAGGTAAGTGTGTGTCTCTGTGGTGTGTGTGGTGTGTGTGTGTGATGGCGTGGTGAGTGTGCATGTGTGGTGAGGTGTGTGTGTCTCTATGTGGTGTGTGTGGTAAGGGTGTGTGTAGGGTGTGTGTGTGGTGAGTGTGTGTGTGCTGTGCGTGTGATATGGTTTCACTGTGTCCCCACCCAAACCTCACCTTGACTTGTAGTTCCCATAATCCCCATGTGTTGAGGGTGGGACCTGGTAGGAAGTGACTGCATCACGGGGGTGGTTTTCTCCTTCCCCCATCATGCTGTTCTCATGATAGTGAGTGAGCTCTCAAGAGATCTGGTGGTTTTATAAGGGACTCTTCCCCTTCGCTTGGAACTTCTCCTTCCTGCCACCCTGTGAAGAAGGTGCCTTGCTTTCCCATCCCCTTCTGCCATGATTGTAAGTTCCCTGAGGCCTCCCAGCCATGCCGAACTGTAAGTAAATTAAACCTCTTTCCTTTATAAATTACCCCATCTTGGCCAATACTTTTTTTTTTTTTTTTTGAGACGGAGTCTCTCTCTGTCGCCCAGGCTGGAGTGCAGTGGCGCGATCTCGGCTCACTGCAAGCTCCGCCTCCCAGGTTAACGCCATTCTCCTGCCTCAGCCTCCCGAGTAGCTGGGACTACAGGCGCCTGCCACCATGCCCGGTGAATCTTTTTGTATCTTTAGTAGAGACAGGATTTCACCGTGGTCGCCAGGATAGTCTCGATCTCCTGACCTCATGATCTGCCTGCCTTGGCCTCCCAAAGTGCTGGGATTACAGGTGTGAGCCACCATGCCCGGCCAGCCAACACTTTATAGCAGTATGCAAAGGGACTAATGCAGTAAATTGGTACCACAGAGAGTGGTGTGCTGCTATAAAGATACCTGAAAATGTGGAAGTGACTTTAGAACTGGGTAACAGGCAGAGGTTGGAACAATTTGGAAGATTCAGAAGAAGGAAGGAAAATGTGGGAAAGTTTGAAACTTGCTAGAGATTTGTTGAATGGCTTTGACCAAAATGCTGATAGTGATATGGACAATGAAATCCAGGCTGAGGTGGTCTCAGATGGAGATGAGGAACTTTTTGGGAACTGGAATAAAGATGATTCTTGTTCTGCTTTAGCAAAGAGACTGGTGGCATTTTGCCCCTGCTCTAGAATTATGTGGAACTTTGAGCTTGAGAGAGATGATTTAGGGTATCTGGTGGAAGAAATTTCTAAGCAGTAAAGCATTCAAGAGATGACTTGGGTGCTCTTAAAGGCATTCGGTTGTATACATTCACAAAGAGATGGTTGGGAATTGGAACTAATGTTTAAAAGGGAAGCAGAGCATAAAAATTTGGAAAATTGGCAGCCTGACGATGTGATAGAAAAGAAAAACACATTTTCTGAGGTGAATTCAAGCTGGCTGCAGAAACTTGCATAAGTAATGAAAAGCCAAATGTTAATCGCCAAGACAATGGGGAACATGTCTCCAGGGCATGTAAGAGGTCTTCACAGCAGCCCCTCCCATCACAGGCCTGGAGGTCTAGGAGATAAAAATGGTTTTGTGGGCTGGGCTTGCTGCTTTGTGCAGTCTCAGGACTTGGTGCCCTGCATCCCAGCTGTGGCTAAAAGGGGCTGATGTACAGCTCAGGCCATTGCTTCAAAGGGTGCAAGCCCCAAGACTTGGCAGCTTACACGTGGTATTGGGCCTGAAGTTGCACAGAAATCAAGAATTGAGGTTTGGGAACCTCCACCTAGATTTCAGAGGATGTATGGAAATGCCTGGATGTCCAGGCAGAAGTTTGCTGCAGGGGTAGAGCCTTCATGGAGAACCTCTGCTAGGTTAGTGCAGAAGTGAAATGTGGGGTCAGAGCCCCCACACAGAGTCCCCACTGGGCATTGCCTAGAGGAGCTGTGAGTAGAGGGCTGCCATCCTCCAGACCCCAGAATGGTAGATCTACCGACAGCTTGCACCATGCACCTGGAAAAGCTGCAGACACTCAATACCAGCCCATGAAAGCAGCCAGAGGGGCATGTACCCTGCAGAACCACAGGGGTGGAGCTGCCCAAAGCTGTGGAAGCCCACCCATTGCATCAGAGTGACCTGGATGTGAGACATGGAGTCAAAGGAGATCATTTCAGAGCTTTAAGATTTACTGCCCTGCTGGATTTCAGACTCATATGGGGCCTGTAGCCCCTTCATTCTGGGCAATTTCTCCAATTTGGAATGGATGTATTTATCCCATGTCTGTACCCCCATTGTATCTAGGAAGTAACTAACTTGTTTTTGATTTTATAGGCTCACAGGCAGAAGGGACTTGCCTTGTCTCAGATGAGACTTTGGAGTTGGACTTTTGAGTTAATGCTGGAATGAGTTAAGACTTTAAGGGACTGTTGGGAAGGCCTGTTTGTTTTGAAATGTGAGAACATGAGATTTGGGAGAGGCCAGGGGTGGAATGATATGGTTTGGCTCTGTGTCCCCACCCAAATCTCATCTTGAATTGTAATCCCCATAATCCCCAGGTTTTGAGGGAGGGACCTGGTGGGAAGTGACTGGATCATGGGGGTGGTTTCCCCCATGCTGCTCTCATGAAAGTGAGTGAGTTCTCACAAGATCTGATGGTTTTATAAGTGTTTGACAGTTCCTTCTATGTATGCATTCTCTCTCTCTCCTGTCGCCATGTCAAACATGCCTCTTCCCTTTCCACCATGATTTTAAGTTTTCTGAGGCCTCTGAAGCCATGTGGAACTGTGAGTCAATTAAGCCTCTTTCCTTTATAAATTATCCAGTCTTGGGTATTTCCTTACAGCAATATGAGAACGAACTAATACAGTGTGTGTGTGGTGAGTGTGTATGTGTTGTGTGTGTATGTGGTGAGGGTGTGTGGTGGGTGTGGTGATAGGGAGTGTGCATGGTGAGTGTATTTGTGTGTGGTGATGGTGTGTGCGTGTGTCGTATGTATGTGGTGAGGGTGTGTGTGTGTGGTATGTATGTGGTGAGGGTGTGTCTGTGTAGTGATGGTATGTGTGTGTGCTGTGTGTTGGTGTGTGTGGTGAGGGTGTGTATGTGTGTTGTGATAGCATATGTGTGTGGTGTATGTGTGTTTGTATGGTGTGTGTGTGTGTTTGTATGGTGTGTGTGTGGTGATGGTATGTGTTGGTAAGTGTGTGGTGAGATGGTGTGTGATTGTGTGGTGTGCATGTGTGTTGTGCATATTTGTGTGGGGTCTGTGTGTGTGTGGTGTATGTGTGTGGTGAGGAGGTGTGTGTAGTGATGTGTGTGTGTGTTGTGAGGGCGTGTGTGTTGTGTGGTGAGAGTGTGTGTGTGTATGTGATGGTGTGTGTGGTGTGTATCTGATATGTGTGTATGTGGTGTGTGTGTATGTGGTGTGTGTGGTGGTGTGTGTGTGTGTGGTGTGAGTGTGTATGGTGAGGGTGTAAAGTAAGCAGTGCTCCCCCTGGAGGGCCCTCTCGGGGATGCTCCTGCCCTGCCTGCATTCCACCTGTCCCTGCCCAGGATCCCTGGGAAGGTGTGGGGGTGGTGACAGACTCAGGGTTGGGTCATGGCCCTGGCTCTCACAAGTGACTGTGGGCAGAAGTAGAAAGGATCCTTGTCTTTTTGTGGGGCTGGGGGACTATGAAATGGCAGGGCAAAACCACCAATATGGGGTGGTTTTTACTGTGAGGCAGAACCCTTTCACTTGCCTTGGCACTGGACTTGGCCTGTTTTCAGGGGGCCACCATTTTGGGCACCCTCACTGCCAGGGTCTTGAACTTGATGACCAGCGAGGCCTGATGCCGCCAGGGACCAGGCAGGGCCCAGGAGGGAGAACTGGTGAGGCGTGCCCTTGGGGTTCAGTCCAGTTCTAGCCTTTAAGGCTGCCAGAAAAAGGGGGACAACATTGGGCACCATCAGGCATGGACCCAGGGACCCTGTGCTGTCTCCTCTGCCCACTTCCTTCCTCCTCGAGTTTCCTTTTCTGGAGCAGGGCAAAGCATGGGATGCTGGCAGGGCTGTGTTTGCAGGTTGCCATGCTCCGTGTCATTTCCTGTGCGGTTACAAATACTCACGCCCGAGAGTCAGGCTGCATCATCTTCAAACGGCGAGCAGTGAGCTCTGGGGTGGGGACAGGGCAGCTACTAGGCTCTGTCCTGCAGGAAGTGTGAGGAGGTGCCAGGGAGCCCTGCTCGCCACTTCCCTCCCTGGTGGGTGGGGGCTGCAGGGAGAGCAACCCCCTTCCCGTCCTGGGGCCTCTTCATGTGGCTGAGCTTTGTGGCTGGGGTTCCCGCAGCTCGGGGACTTTCCCAGGAGATGGTGAAAGACGTCTGGGTGGTAGCCTTGATATCACCATGGGCTCTTTCTTCTAGCTTTTTCTGTCCACACACATACACATGCACACACACATGCACAAACACACATGCACACACACGCACATGCACACATGCACACATGCCTGCACACACGCACATGCACACACATGCGTGCACATGCACACACCCACAGCACGTGCACACATATGCAAACACACACATACACATACGTGCACACTCACATGCATACACTCACACATGCACACACACGTTATGTACACACATCCACACACGCACACCCCCACATGCACACGTGCACACATACGCAAACACACATACACATACGTGCACACTCACATGCATACACTCACACATGTGCGCGCACATTACGTACTCACATCCACACGCACACACCCACCCACATGTGCGTGCACACACACATACACAAAGGCACACATACACGTGTGCACACTCACATGCATATACTCACACACGTGCACACACCCCACACATATGCACACGCACACACACACAGAAATGCACACATACACGCACTTGCAGGCACACACGCACATGCACACACACATGCACACATGCGTACACAGATGCGTGTGTGTGTGCACACACATGCAGCGTCTTGGCACGGGAAGTGGGGAGGGGCGGCTGGGGACCAAGGTCTGGGTTCACTGTAAAGATGGGGAAACCAAGGCGCAGAGGCCAGTGGTCATCTCCGTCTCGGCAGAGCCAGCCTGAGGGGGTCTCCCACGCTGGGCTCCTCCCGGCTTCGCTGCTTCTCCAGGGAGTTGCTAAGTGTGATTAACTGGAGCACTAATTG
The DNA here is from genome assembly GCF_000001405.40 of Homo sapiens. Lineage (NCBI taxonomy): Eukaryota > Metazoa > Chordata > Mammalia > Primates > Hominidae > Homo > Homo sapiens. Next base: position 182,808,259 of record NC_000004.12, on the reverse strand, counting down.
GCAGAGGCCGCAGAAAGAGCCTGAGTGGTGGCGAGGCGAGTCCTGTTGCCCTTTGATTTACAAGAGCCCGGGAGCCTGCCGTCCGCCGTGTAACAGGCGCGAGAGGAACCGGCAGGCAGCCGCCTCGGAAAAGGCCAGAGCCTGGCTCCGGCGCCTCTCGCAGGCAGCGCCATGGGGTGGCGGAGTGGGAGCCAGGGCGAGGGACTCAGGTCGGGAGCAGATGCATGGGGCCTCCCGATCTGGGACTGCCAGCCTGTGCTTACGACCCAAGAACTTGTGTTTAGGACCGGGTTCCCGAGCAGCCCCAGAGCCAGACAGAGTTGTCACAGCAGGCGAGGCGCTCGCTGCTGCCGGTGGAGAGCCCCTGCCTCTGGCTTCGGCAGAGGCCCAGGGCGGGAAGCAACCTGGCTGAAGGCCACAGGCGGTGGGGGCAGCATCCGCAAACCCGGGGCTCCAGACCTGGTGCAATATTTCTCCTAGTGCCACAGCCCACAGCCTCCTTGGTGATATATGTGTGTGTGTGTGTGTGTGTGTGTGTGTGTCTGTGTGTGTGTGTGTGTGTGACAGAGAGAGAGAGAGAGACAGATATCTCACTCCGGGCCTCCTGGTCATCCCGGCTCCCAGTGGGCAGGGGAGCGCTTTGCCCTCCTGGTGAGTGGGGAGGAACGAACTGGGCATGGGCACGCTGGGCTCCAGCTCAGGGAGCAGGGCCTCTCCCGTCATCCTGCCACTGCTGCCAGCGCCTGGCTGATCTATCTTGGTGTCCCGTTAGTGGCCCTTTGGGATTTCCCATGCAGCTGTGCCTGCTGCTTCCCAACCCGGCCTTTATCTAGGTGATATTTTGGCTTTCCTGAGCCATCTCCGGCCTTACTCATTTCAGCGAGAACCCGGGTAGGAAAAAGGGCCTATATATTGGCCTCCCAAAATGCCAGCGGGCTCACTCACGGCCGGTTTCTGAAGGCAGGACACCAGCAAACAGGCTGCTATATGAGATTAGCATCCATTGGCTTCTCTGGGCGACAACCCAGGGGCAAAAGGTTGAATCCCTCCCCACTTCTGCGCCGCGGTGGCTTTCGTGGCTGCCGCAGGCTTGGGTAGAGGAGGGAGACTGGATGTCACCGCTGCAGGGAGGCCAGGCCGAGGCGGCTGGGGAGCTGCGGGGAAGCGGGAGGGGGGGCGGCTTTCGCTCTTCCAGGCTGTCACTCCAGCACGTTCCGTGAGAGCCCAGCTCCCTCAGAAATAAAAATGCCACTCTGAATTTAAGTGATCCGTTCTTCCGGGACATTCTTTCCAGCGACAGGACTGTTAACATGAAAAGTAAAAGGGAAACAATATGATAGTTCAGAAATCACTGTTTTCAGGCGCTGCGGAACTCAGCCCGCGGACGATTCCCGGGAGGAAGGGCCTTATTTCGATCTGTGAGTGAGAGCAACGCGGCATGACAGTGTCTGCTCGACGTGCAGGGAAATCTTACCCGAGCCACTTTGGCAGGGCCCAGGCCTCGGTGCGGCGGTGCTGAAGCAGAAGTCTCCGCTTTAAGTGTGAAACTCGGAGGGCAGAGCAGAGGTGGGGAAGAGAGGGTCAGAGAGCCGGCCCCGCCGCGGTTGGGGTGGAGAGTGGCGAGCGGCGAGCGGCGGCGCCTTCTCTTCGGTTTCACCTCGGTTTCTGGCCCGGGAACTGCCCTTTTGGCGTGCAGGACTTTCCCTACCACAGCCGCGCGTCACTAGGGGGCGCCGGAGCCCTTCCTGAAATCGCCGCCATCCCCTGCAGGGCCCGCCCGGGGATGCAGGAGGGGGCGTCCCAGGACCCCTGCCCACGGGGCCGCCGGATGTTGGGACGGCTTTTCCATGTCCGCAGAAGCCGAGTCCCAGGAACCCCAGGGGAAGGCCAGAGGGAAGCCCCAGATGAGGGAGGACTCAGGGAAGGGTGTCGTCTTCCTCTCGCTACCTCCCGTTCTCTGCCTTGGGTCACCTCTGTGTTCTGCAGTGACCTGTCACCTGTCAATGCTCCAGACTGAAGTTAAACGCCAGGCTTGATTTTTTTTTTTTTTTTTTTTTTTTGAGCTTGGAAATCATGTCATAGCTGAATAAAGATATTTTACAATCTGCTTGTTCGTTACCTTTTGTCAATAAATTAAGAAACTGGGGATGACAGACTGGCTCTAGGTCCTTTTGAGATCCTGAGTCATCAACGTCGCCCTGGCCCACCGAGGGAGCCCTATGGCATTCCTTCCAAGCCTTAAAGGACAGAGAGGGTTAGATTCAACCTGACCCATTGCAACGAGAGAGAGCGAGAGAGAGAGAGAGAGAGAGCGAGCATCGTGGATGCAAAGATAGTTCTGGGGACGATTTTTGCAGAATTTTCTCTGGAACAGGCAGACTAGACTTTCCCTAGTGTTCGTGTGGGAGGAAGGTGTGGGATGGGGCAGTCTCCAGCCTACGGTCATTAACCACGGTGCAGAAGAACTCCAGGTTGAAGAGAGCCTGGTGAGCCTCCTCACCGACCTCCACTGAGCGCCCCATTTTCAGCCTTTCAGTCACGCCCGAGAATTTGTCATTTTAAGTCCTTGGGCATTTATGCTCCCCGCACTCTCCCCTGATAGAGTTCACTTGTGAACATTTTTAAAAATTCATTTTGACCCAGCGGACCGCTTGTAAATCCTGACAGTTGTGTGCAGCGAGCTATGCCATAGAGAAATGGCCGCTGTGGCTGGAATTCAGGAAATCTCTGCACACAGGTGGAAGAACGAGATTTCCCTGCATAATACAGGATGAATGCCTGTGGCCAGGGCTAAGCGTAGCTCACAATTCACCCTGTAAGCAGGGGGACTGTTACCAAGCCAGTCTCTTGCCCTAAAAGTGACAATTTATGCTTCTAATTTTAATTTTCCTGAGCTTAGATCCCAGAAGGATTTATTAAATTTGCTTTGAGGAACCCATTAACTCTAAACTGAATAATGATGTTACTCTAGGCTTAGAATCGGTTGATAGTAAATTCTCTATCCACGGGACTCTAGGAATCCCGTATTCCTCCACGACAGGATTCTAAGTCGGTTCATAAATGAAAAGGTTTACTCAATTTACCTAAAAGTTATTAGTAATTAACTAACATCAAGAGACCATTGCTTGCAGGGGTGGTGAACAGCAAATGAGAAGTCTGGCAAACAGAGGACATTCATTATGTGGCTTAAATGAGAAGGTAGAAAATTCAAATGGCTTATCAGTACCTGTTTGGTACTCTGGCTTAACTCTGTGGTTAAAATGGGTGATAATGAGTTATAACTCATTTTTATTTTATTTTTTCATGGGTCTAGTAGGATGTTCAAAGCCAGATGAATAACTTATGGAAAATCTAGGTAAACAGCCCAATGGTCTTTCTTTTGGAAATGATGGAGAGTCAAACTTGGCTTACCTACACAGAAGGGCGTGAGGAGCTAGAAATACTGGCAGGCAGAGGGGGCACTCAAGGCATCTGTTTTGTTTAGTGTCGGCGGATCGTTATAGAATGAAAAATGCTAGTCCTGGCTGTAAATGATGGCAGCTTTGGAAAGATCAAGTGCCCATGGGAAGGGGGGCGGTAAGGAGTATTTGCGGTATCTTCCCGGGGAGCGTTATGAGGAGGCTGTGATGTAGTGGAGGGTACTAGCAAAGGGAATCTCTGCTCACCTTAACTTAAGCCACTTCTGTGAACTTGGACAACTCATTTCTGTAATTCCATTCCACCTCCAGCTTCTGGAATGGGGATGCATTTTGTGGACTGGGATGCTGGAATCAGATCACTCCTTGAAGGAAAGTGGGAGGAAATTTGGGTATCTATGGAAGGGTGAGATCTTAATATGTTGCCCTTCGAGGCTTCCCAGGGGCAGACTCACCCCACTCTGCTGGAGATCAAATGATACCCACCCCGCCCCGGCCAGATGGGTGGTGGCAGTTCTTGGTCCAGGTGGACCTTGTCCTCCTCTGTACAACAGCAAGCGAGCGGCTGTGAGCACTGCCCGGGTGGTTTTACCCAGACAGAACATGATGTGGATCAGTGCCTTCTGGCTTCCTCTCTTGAATCCCTCCTTTCCAAAAGCACCTCGGACAGCTGATTTGCTGTCAGCAGGCGAGAGAAACAACTGCATTCAGGAGTAGCCCAGGGCAAAAGGAGAAAGAAAAGATGGTGAACGGAGTGAAGAGTGGGCACGGATAGGGAAAGCATCAACGGCATTCTTTCATTAAAAAACTTTTTTTTTTTTTTTTTTTAAGAGACTGGGTCTTGTGTCGCTCAGGCCGGAGAGCAGTGCTGCGATCATAGCTCGTTGTAACCTCCAGCTCCTCTCCTCATCTTTTCAAGCGCTTGAGGACTGGTCCTGATTTTGAAGTACTTACAGTCAGGTGCTGCCCTTCTGTTGCGGTCTGGCAGTTAGAACCCCATGCAACTGTTAGGATATGTGTGGTGAATGTAAAGACAAATTTCACGGGATGTGGCAGCAGCATATCCCATATTCAGATTATTTTTTCTAAGGTATAATTTTTACCGGCACCATTTTTATTTGCATTTGTTCAGACATTACTTTTAAGGAAAAGACTGTAGAGAAGGAAAGCAGTACTTCGCCTGTTTTTCTGGAATTCCGTTTTGATCATGTTAAAGTCTAATTCGAGGAGAAGAAAACAGACCAGTTTGCCAAGTGGAATGACCTGATTCTTGCTGGATCAACACGTTATGCAGTTGAGGTTGTCACTAGAAAGCAAGTGTGATGAAGTCTGCCTCTTCCGACTAAAATCAAAGCCCTGGCCTGCCGGCCAGAATTGCTGAACTAAGCATCTTCTAATCAGCCGGTCTATATGTAGATTTAGACATCTCCAGGAGGCTGCAAGCCTACCAGGCCCAAACTGATTATTCTAATCAAGTGTTTTAATTAAGCACACTTATTGCCAGGATCACAGGAATGAGGCCTGCTCTCAAGTAGTAATGGGTGGTATTTTTGTAAACTCTTCTTTACAGTTAGCGTGTTTGGCTTTGTGGGGGTGTGTTTACTGTTTTTCTAAAGTAGGCCATGGGAGAGTCCCCTGTGAAGTTCACTCTGCTGAGCCAGCAGTCTGGCCAATGGACAAAAAAAAAAAAAAAAAAGATACTACCAACTGGGTTGCAGATGAATCAATTCCCCAACAACTGCATCTATTTGCGTCCTCCACGTTAAACACAAAAGCAATGCTGGCTAGCCCAAGACTTGAAAAAATATAAAAACACACACACATTGGGTTGGCTTTTATTGGAATGCCTAGGTGCAATCTATAGTCATCAAGTTATGGAAAATTCAGGTCACATATAAAGTTAAGAAGGCAAATGAAAAGAACAATACAAATCAGACAAAATTTACATCTCAAAATATCATGAAAGCATTTTGACTGGCTTTGCCTAAAATACTTTGAATATCAATTTCTTTTTTGTAAGCTAATTCTTTTCATTATACAGTCCCCCACCCCCTCCCAACTCTTAGAAAAAGGTCTTTTGTTTACATATTCCCCAAGGTCACTATTTCTTGTAAAAGCATGTCCAGATCACAAGTCTTTTTAGAAAGAAATAGGCTCATTATACCTACTAACAGGACACTAATTGGGTTGATTTGACTTCATCATCTAAAATAAGCACCAGGAGATACTCCAAATCTGTTATTTATCGGTGCCCGAGTGAAGACCAGTCCACGTCAAGAAGAGGTTAAGACTATGATCTCACTTCTGTCATGTGGCACAAGCTTTTCATGGTAATACATCAGAAACATGTCTGAGAATTTAGACTCAGAGCCTATTTCACCCAAAAGTACTTACAGCATGCTAAATACAGGCCTGCAGAAGTTCCACGGAACAGAACTGCAAATACCTAACAGTTAAAAAATAAAATGGAAAACAGAATCATGTTTATGTGGTTTGAAATCTCATAGTTTTCTAAATTTGGGCTTCATAATACTTGCCAAAGGATTTCCAGAATAAAAAATATTAATGCTAATCTGTGCTTTCATTCTAATAAAATATCATCAGCATTCATTAGAAGATTAATTACTTCGGTATGCTCTACCAAATACACAAAGACAGTAATAGCACTGATACTGTAAATTCAGTAGCTATTTTGAAACTTTCCCAGCCAATCATCTGTTTAATAAACACGCCTACTGTGCAATTTAGAGTATGTGATACATACAAAGCAGTTAGAAAATTATTTTCAATACATCACTTGAACCTTTATATTTACGACATGTTCACTTGCTATATTTTATCACCATTATACATAGAGGAAAACAGTGTGTACTATAGCTCGATGAACTGAGAAATATCTTCTAAAAATATTTTCGTGGCTGAATTTAGTGCTCAGGAAAGAGATTTGTCAGAGCTGAGCCGACACGGAAGTGCAGATGGCGGCTGGGCTCGTTCCCACACGCGTGCATGCATGTGTGCAGGAGGGCGCGGCTGTCAGTTCACTTCCAGCTGGATCTGCCACCCCCGGCTTCCCCGAGACAGAGCAGAGGCTGTCATTCAAACCAGCCCCCCAAGATGGTTTGGTCATGTGGGCTTAGAGTAACCCTGACCGGCTCCATCTGGCTCACCCACCACTGCTCGGTTTCTGCTGTCTTTCCTAGATCTTAAGACACGTGTTTAGGATCACGACTACATCAGAACCTTTCCTCCTCCTATTTCCCCAGCATCTGATGTGGTCTCTCCTCCATCAAGAGACAGAGCTTTGGAACAGTAACAGTAAAAACCTCGGGGTTAATTATATCAACAACTCCCCATTGACTTGCAAGGTTGAGAGAGGGCCAGAGAACCCTTCCTCCCGTTTTTTCAATCTTCTTCCCTTACATTCCACCAGCCCTAGTTGTCTACTGTGCCTCTCAGTTGACAATGCTGAGGACACTGGCCTGATGCGTGAGAGAGGGAAGAGAAAGGAGCTCTCTGATTCGCCACCCACCTAGAATTGCACGGTCCTATCCATCTAGTGATAGAAGCTTGCACATTTTTTCAACCTAATACAAAAATATTAACACTTCTGGACATTATAGGCATAAGTTGTTATATCTCTACAATATAATAATTCATACTGTACAGCTATAACAGATAACAAAAGGTGCAATCCTTTTAAAAAAATCACACAGTTCACGTTTTTATCATTTTATTTTTAAGTATAAATTTTTAAACACTTTACATAAATTAACTCCTCTGAGACTAAGATTTGATGTACAGTAAATTGTAATTCATATAAAAATCCATAAACAACTTGTCTCACATAATTTACAAAAAAATCAGGATTTCCTTTGCTTATCAGTGACAAGGATTCTAGTTGCCAGTTTTTTCCCCGAAGGGAAACCACGTTAGCATTGTAAAATCCATTAATAAATCCCCGCCGCAGAAGTCACTGTGCCAATGTCCTTCTACAAAGCTGCACAGGGAAAGCAGTTGGGTTGTCTAGAAACAGTAACTTTGCCCCACATTGTAAAATGAACAGAGATAGCTATCACATCCTATGCAGACAGACTACTTCTTGTAAGCAAAGGTCGACAATTCGGGACTATTTGGAAACACTGTACACATTTTTTTTTCTTTTTTAAAGTTAGTTAAATACAGTGCCTAGAAGGAACAGACGGCCCAGCGCAACAGGTCGAGGCCTTTGTCCTTGATGATTTTTTTTTCCTCTGGCTACGTTCAGTCCGACTGAGTGCAGCGCTATGCATATGTAAACATATTCGTTAAAGCCGATCACCTTTAAGGTCATTCGGAAAAAAGCGGTCCTTGTTTTCGCGGTGTGGGTGTGGGTCGTAACAGCAGTCTCATTCCCCCGGGAGGAAGGCTCTTGGGCGTTGGAGAGTCCCACTCGGGTTGTGCCACAGGACAATGTGGGCAGGGCGTGAGCGGCTCGGCGGGCGCGGCCCGGGCGTTACCTCCTGCCGATCTCGCTCTGCCGCAGGAACTGGATGTTGTTGGCGCTGTCGGCCAGCTCGGGGTACTGCTCCACCGAGAGTACGTAGTACCCGTCGTAGCCCTGCACCTTGCCGGCGCTCAGCAGCTGCCGCTTCTCGCCCTCCGTCCAGAGGCGCGCGCCCTCCTCGCCGTCGCGCACGCGCTGCTGCTCGCGCGCCCAGGCCCGGGCGAGCGCGCGCTGCCGCGCCTGCTCCAGGATGCGCGCCTTCTCCTCGTCCAGGGTCATGCCGTAGCGCACGTGCAGCGCCAGCGCGCCGAACTGCATCTCCACGTCCGCGAACCTGCGCGTCCTGCCGTTCACCACCGTGGTGGACTGCGACACCGTCACGTTGATGCCGTTCTCCAGCGCCTTGCGGCCGCTGGTCAACCGCAGCGTGCCCAGGTCGCTCTCGGGCGTGGTGGTCTTGATGAAGTAGTGCGTGTCCTTGCCCTCGATGGTGAAGTGCAGGTTCTCCAGGTAGAAGGCGTTGTTGAGCACGGCCGCCACCTTGATGCAGTCCTCGTTGGCGATGTTGAGCACGTTGGTCTGCACGCGGCCCTGGCTGACGGCCAGCATGACGCCCTTGCCGATCAGCGACTTGACCGTGGCGAACCACAGCCAGGACTGCGCGCCGCCGGCCCGGCGCCGGCTCACCTGCACCTCGGCCATCTTCCCCAGCGACAGGAAGGCCTTGGCCTGCCGCGCCACTTGCTGCTGGACTCCGAAGATGGGCTGCGGGCGAAACAAAAGAGGGGGCGCGTCAGAGGCGGCCGGGAGCCTCCCCACTCCTGACCCACACACGGGACTCTGGGGGCAGCGCCGGGGCATGCATGGAAGCCCCGGGGTCCTTCCCTGACCAGAAGGCTGACAGCCCGGGTGGAGGGAGCACTCGAGATCCCTCCCCCTCAAGGTGATCCCGATGCTCTGGAACCCCCAAATGGCTCACTCATCGTGGATCACTTTAAAGCTTTCTTCGTTTCTAACATGGGAAAAATAGTCCTGTTTCTTGCTTTTCTCTTACAGTTTCTAGATGCTCTTTTCCCACTCCCACCCCACGTGGGGAACCCAGCTCATCCGGATCTGCATGCTCGTAGCTTTCTCCACAGGAGGCTGAGAAGCCACCAAACACAGAGAGGGATCTGAACGGCTGGGGATACTTAGTGCCGATCACAGGGCCCCGCTTCGTATGCTTTGAAATGCTTGTATTTAAGTCAACTCTGTCCCCTCTCCTGGCAGAGTTTTCAGCTGAAGATGGTGAGTGTAACCGCAGAACTGAAATGTACAGGGATGAGTGGAAGGTGGGGCAGCTGGAGACGATATTTGTTACTTTAGGAAAACAATTATTTTTCTCAGACTTAGGGACAGTGGACCGTCTAGACTGGCAAATGTTTTAAATTGGGGGCATCTTAACTCAGCCATTTCTTATACCACCAGATGTTTGTCTGGCCATTGTTTCCCAAATGAAAACATCTGTTTCATTTGCGGCAATGAAAGAAACAGTTGTTTTTCTGTACTTGGGGCAGCCTCAGTGTCTTTGCCCACGATTTCCTATGCTGTCCTTATGGTGCACTTCTTTTGACAGAGAACTTGAACCATATTTAAAAGGCTGCTTAGGAAAAGAGCTGGCAAGTCCATTTGTACAGTTAGATGTAGGTGTTTTCAGGCATGTTGGAAAGTCATACACAATTAGGAAGTGCATGTTCAAATGCATTAGGAAACTTCGGTATGTCTTCATGCCACTGTATCAGTGTAGACAGTCATGCACTGCTTAACCGCAGGGAGGCATTCTGAGAAATGTGGCATTAGGCCATTTCGTCCTTGTGTGAACATCATAGCGGGCACTTACACAAACCTAGATGGTGTAGCCTACTGCACACGTAGGCTGTATGGGATGGCCTATGGCTTCTAGGCTGCAAACCTGTATACGGTGTGACTGTACTGAATATTGCAGGCAACTGTAACACCATGGTAAGTACTTGTGTATCTAAACATAGAAGAGGTACAGTAAAAACACAGTGTTGGCAGAGCCCGGTGGCTCATGCCTGTAATCCTAGCCCTTCAGTAGGTGGAGGCAGGAGGAACGCTTGAGACCAGGAGTTCAAGACCAGCCTGTGCTACGCAGGGAGACTCTTATCTCTACAAAAAATAAAAAATTAGCTGGGTGTGGTGGCACGTGCCTGTAGTCCCAGATACTTGGGAGCCTGAGGTGGGAGGATCGCTTGAGCCCAGGAGGTCAAGGCTGCACTCCAGCCTGGGTGACACAGTGAGACCCCATTTCAATTAAAAAAAAATATATATGATATTGTAATCTTATGTGATCACCACCTTATACAAGGTCTGTCATTGACCAAAATGTTGCACACACACGACTATATTTGTAACTTATGAAAAAGGAATTGCTTTTATATTAGGTATGAAACAACAAAAAACAGGTACTGGTACTGTAGATAGCCTGTGTGTGTGTTAACCATGGCTGCCTCTTCTCTTTGTTTTCATTGAAATGATAGGAAATTGCTCAAGGGGTGGTTGGGAATTAATTGTCCTAAGAAAGTCTGCACTGTCTTCTCCTTATGATCATGGAGTCACCCAGTTTCTCCATCTCTAATTATTCTTACTGTAAGCTGGAAATTCTGGTGTTTTGCTGTGCATTCCTTTCTGGTCTCTGGTGGGGATTAGAAGTACCACTTTCTGAAGCGGCAGCTTTGACTTTGCAATTTTCTATTATATTTCTTTATTTCTTATAATGGTTACAGGCCTCTTGATCTGCTATTCTCAGGAAAATTCCATAAACCTTCCTGGTTGTAGGTGGAGCCTTACCAGAGGACATTTATTTTTATTTTTAATCTTTTCCTATGAAACACTATTAATTAATTAATTATTTTTTTTTTGAGACGGAGTTTCGCTCTTGTTGCTCAGGCTGGAGTACAATGGCGTGATCTCGGGTCACTGCAACCTCCGCCTCCCAGGTTCAAGTGATTCTCCTGCCTCAGCCTCCTGAGTAGCTGGGATAACAGGCATGCCCCACCATGCCGGGCTAATTTTGTATTTTTAGTAGAGATGGGGTTTCTCCATGTTGGTCAGGCTGGTCTCGAACTCCCGACCTCAGGTGATCCGACCTCCTCGGCCTCCCAAAGTGCTGGGATTACAGGCGTGAGCCCCCTCACTCGGCCAAAACACTGTTAATTTTTAAAGAAGTTGAACCTTGTGGCATTGTTTGTGGTTTGCTAATTTGTAATATGAGTTCCCTGCCCTTTTGTTTATTGTATTTTTGCCTTCAGGTCCACGCTTTCTTGGGGTTCTTTTTAGAAACCCAGCACTCGAAAGTGAGCTTCTGCATTTCTATGTTTTCATTAGCATTGCTGAAAACATATTTAAGCCTGTTTAAGAGGCCTCTGGTTTGTTGAACACAAATGCAGAGGAAGTGTTGTTTTTTTTCCCTAAAACAGTCAAAAAGTTAAAAACTGTCTTTGGTACAGTTTTCACAAGGGTAGTTTGATTAGATATGGGTAGATAAGACACAAGCTACTTATCACCTTTCCGTAGGTCTTTTTGTTTCTTACCGGTATATCATCCCACTGCTGACTCTTCACAAGTTCGTAAGAAGGTTCTGTTAAATCAAATTTGGGAACAGGGAATCCAGGAATAGCATTGTGCAGATGGAAACCAAATGTCACCAGCCAGCTGTTAACATCTAGGAGAAGAATGTTCAGAATGAAAGGTGTTGGAGTTTGTTTTGTCCTTTCATAAATTTAAATTCTTACCTTAAAAAGAAAATCCAATTTCACAATTAATAATCTGAAAAAGAGCACCTGTTTGCTTTCGTCCTACAAATCTAAACCTACTGTTTTTAGACATGAAGACGGTAACCTTCACAGCAGAACTATGGCAAATGCTACGAAAAATGCGAGTAATAGATGCTCAGACAGACTGGGTAAGCCATCAGTCCTGCTAAGTTGCAGCCTGTGCTAGTAACAGTGCTAGCAAAGGTAAGAACAATGCACAGCAGCAGGAGAGAGACATACTTGTAGAAAAGAAACGAAATTTATTTTGTAGTTGGTCAAGGCTGGTCTCAAATAGAAGTTGTGTGTTATTAGCTCTCCAAAGCGATTGCCCAAGGATATGCGGACTTCCACAACCCATTTTCTATTAATAAAACCCCTAAATTGAGAGTATTAAAATCAACAGTTGATTCTTAATCAAAGATGAATGCTGCAAGCTGGCAAAACTGGCCAAGGGCCCAGAAGTCCTGATTACCATCAGTTGTGACTTCAAAGGCTCACTGTGCACAGGTGGAGACAAACTTTTTGGGGAGAGAACCCGGAAACCTTTAAGGTGGTATTTTAAAATATTGCCATGTGACTCCAAAAGCCATTCAGCTCAGAATAAGGCTTTTATTCTATTCTGGAGGTTATAATGTTACAGAACTACTCAGCAGGCTTGCAGCTTTATGAGAACGGTTGGGTGTAGATTATTTTATATATTAAGCACATTGCTGGAAAATTTGAAATTGCATTTCACCTAATATATTTTATGCTGTTCCATCTCTCTTTTGATGTTTTTCAGAAAATGCTGCTATGGCATTCCCTGCAGTCCACGTTGCTAGGAGAGGATGAATTCAGGAGCTGTGGGCTTTCCAGACTTTCAGTCAGCCCCTGTCAACACCCCTTAAATAACCAGTGGTAAACTGCCTGTCAGAATGATGGAGAGCCACTTGATTCCCATTTCCTTCTCTAGGGCACAGACTCTCACCTCATTGCCAGGCTGGCAGGTCATTCGTCCAGGCATCATATGGCTATAAAACCAGTGGTATTCTTTTTATTTGAAATGGGGTGGTAGTAGTGGTGGTGGGGAGACATAAATCCTAAGTGGTTCACACAGGATGCAAAGTGACACAATTTGTGTGTATGTAAGAGTGTATATGAGTTTGGGGGTGGGAGGGCCTTATTTTGGGAGAAAATTCTCCCAAATGTTGGAGTATTGGGGGCAAAAATTCTGTTACTCTGAACAATGTCTGCATAACAGTGAAAATCAGAGGACCGTAAGTATTGAAAAGTACTGCCAAAATAATGGGGTTTGAAGGCAGATGTGTATTGAAAAACCCTGAATGAGAATAAGGGTGCTGCTGAATCAGGAGGCAGAAAGGAGGGACTTTCAGCTGGTTCACATGGAAGAGATATGAAATGCTTTAGACAGTCTGGAAAGGTAGGAAGCAGATGTGAAATGAACAGGGGGCAACCTGTTGAGAGCTGTTTTGAGAACTGAGAGAACAGACATCTCAGTATGCCTCAAATATTGAGCTAGAAAAGAGGCAGCCTAAAGGAGCATCTAACACAAGCCAAAACAAAACCAAAATACCTTAAATCAAGCCCAAAAAAAAAAGACAACAGGAAAGAACCTTCCTCCTGGAAATATAAATGTGGTAGAGGGGTTAATGATGGTGCTGTATATCAGGAATGGAAGGTAGGAGCAGCAGGATTCAGAATTCTTGGAGTAGAGGTTGAGTGAAGAAGTCAGCTCACTAAAGGGAACTAGAGTAATGCTTGCAAGGACCTTGTCTGTTTCACATGCTGGTTGTTCCATGGTGGCAGAAGTGGGATCTGATGTTCTACATCTTGCATAACTAAAAAGGTAGCATGCACTAAACTTGGAAAGATCTTAAATCTGTACCCTGAAAATTATCCCACATTCGTGGAAAAATTAGTATGCCTATTAGTATTGTCACCATGCAAGAACTGCACTGGCAATGAAGACAGTGATGTAAGAAGACAGAAGTGAGTCCAGACACAGGATCCATTGTCTAAGCAACTGATGGGAGAAATGGCTTCGTGACTGTCCTGAGGCAATGGTGGTGAGGCAGGAATTAAACACCTCCCAGGGATGAAATGGTGTCACCTTGTATTGTGTTTCACCTTAATTATCTCCATGAGAACTTCACACATGTATTAAAAAAACCCAACATGACACATTCGTAAGGTAGTTACTATCTGTTGCAGAATTTCATGTATTATATTTGTGCCCTAAGTTAGCCATTATTATCCCAATTTTATAGTTAAGGGAATGGAAACTCAAAAAACATATGGCTTGCTTACAGAGCTACACAACTTGTGGGAGAGGAGCTGGGATTGGGACTCCAATTTTGGGACTCTGTGTTCATCATGTTTTTTGGTCCCCCATGTTCCCCTTCTTTAAATGACTGAGTACATGTCATTTCAAAAACTTGTGGCCTTGGGCAATGGCAGGCAGAATAGGAAGTAAATATGTCTCATTTTCCCTTTGTGATTTCTCTATGGTTCCATAAAGAAATAAACACATTTAAAAGGTTAGCCATTTGCCTTTGCCTGAGTAAAGTATAAAGTTTTTTAAAAAAGCATTTCCAGTTATTTTGTGTATTAATCTAATGATGGTAGTCCTCCAGCTCTTGGGAAGGAATCAAAATGCTTACCTGTGATGTAATCTTTCACGTCATGGATTTTGCTTGCAGGGTTGTTATTCCTAAACATGTACAAGTTAAAAGGAGCTGGGTCCTTCCCAATTCTTTTCCAGATTTCTATGTCAGGTGTTGTCCACCGTCCTGCCAAAATGTCATAATCTCTTTCTCCAAAGTGGATTAATTTGGTGAGTGGGTCATACAGGCCACCATGAAATCCAATTACCAGTTGAAAGTCAATATTAGAGTCAAAATAGATTTCCCCATATGCAGTGTACTGAATCTGTTTCAGCATAAGCCCATTGCTACTGAACACAGCCAGTGGTGTCCCTGTGTTATCCGATGCAATATAGAATTCATCCCCACTGCTGATTTCCATGGCAAAAAGATGTCCTTGGAGATCATAATACAGGGAGGTAATTTCTGAACTCGAATGGTTGTAGACATGAGTAATCCTAGTGGGATAAGTTAAGTCAGCATAAAAAAACTGCAGGTGCTGTCCTAGACTGGTTTTGCTAGAAACACGCCTTCCCAGGCCGTCATAACGGTAGATCACTGTCCAGCCACTGCCTTTACTGTAAACTCGAGTTAGAAGCCCCTTGGAGCTATATTCAAAGATTTCCGTGCCCCTTTGACGTAGGAAACCATCTTCATCCAACCGATATTGAACATCACCCAGTCGAGTGATTCTGTCTCGCAGGTCATAGCGAAGGGGTGTCAGACGCGCACTGTTACTTGGGTTCAGTAAATGGAGGTTTCCATTCAGATCGTAGTTGTACCGCCACATTATCTTTTCATTGAGGTAAACTGTTTGGAGCTGTCCATCAACATCATATTCATAAGCATATTTGGTGGTGTTGGCAAAGGGCCCTATTTTAATCTCTCTCTTGGTTACCCGACCCATGTTATCATACTGAATTGTAATCCAGTACATGAGCGACCTGAATATCTCATATTGAATCTCCTTGATACGGCCATGAGCATCAAAGTGCTTCGTATAGGTCATTACAGCTGTAGAAATGATCTGGTTAATATCATAATATATAACTCCAAACTTTCCAAACTGCTCAACTTTGCCAGAAATGTCATCAAACTGATACAGATCAATAGGCAGTGGCGTTTCATTGATCACACCCTGCATGCTGGTCACTCGAAAGCTGTTGTCATAGCTATAGTCAAATCTTGCATTTACCATCCCATCTTCACTAAAGCGGAAAATCTGCCTGTCAATCAGGGGACCAATTTGCCTGTATCTAATGGTGCAAATAAAACCATCACTCTGGAGGTTTACTGTCTTTAGGACTCCTGCTGTTTCATCATAGGTAAAACTGACTCTTGTGCTATCATATAAAATTTCTGAGAGCCTAGTCTGCCTTCTGTATTTGAATAAGACCCTCCGACTTGTACCCAAGAAAGCTGTTTGTAGAAGCAGCCCTTCCTCGTTGTAGTCCGTGATGATGGAGGCGTTGCTTTCCGGGGGGTTGTATATGTTGCGGTAGTAGCCAATGGATCGGATGGTCTGCATGGTGTGGCGAGCCACACTGGGCATGGTGATGGCAGACAGGCGGTCCCACATATCGTATTCGAAGATGTACTGCCGCTGGCTATGAAGCAGAAGAACCATGGACTGTAAAGAGAGAACATACTGTTACTCAGTGTTTGTGAACGGGAGATGCAAAAGCAGATTTAGTGACCACAGATGCACAGAAACATTCCACTAGAGAAAATGATTTTCATTTTAATTGAGTTATCCTTGACCTTGCGTGTTGTTAACGTTTCTCTGCCTAATTTGCTTGGATGCTTAATTGTGAGGGGTTCTGCAATTAGTGGCTCGAGATTCACAATGTGCTGCCTGTCACGACAGTACCATTATTTTCCCAGACATTCATAGCCAACCAGCAGATTTGTCAATGGATCTGGATTAGTCATAATACAGGCATGATCAAAGCTGCTTTACAGACAATATTTTGAGGAGAAAAGAGCATATGGGGAATGCAGTTCTATCCATAATTAGCAATTATTTAGTAAGGTGGCTTTCCCCCCCTCATCTGAGTGAAGAACCACTCAAATCATGTTTAATTTCTAGTGTACTTGGGGGAGGGGCAAAGCAGTCACAATATTATTGTATAAAGACATAAAATTAGCCAAAAATGGATAAAGTGTATACAAAGCATCGACACCAAAAAATATTGTGAAATTAATCACATGGTGAATGAGAGCTATAAATGCCCTTAATAGAAATATTATATATACACATACAGGCAAATTGTTACAAGGCATCCGTACTGACAATAAAATCTCCTTTTCTTTCTGTGGATACCAAATCCGATTTGTATCTCAGGAGCAATAAGGATGGTTTCTGGACTACATACTGCTTTGGTGCTAAATTATGAAATGAGTAAATGTATTAAAAGTGAACTCTATTTCATGAGCCACTGCCGAAAGACAAATGACAGTTACTAGGCCAACAAATGTGAGAGAAGGTCATCCCAGGCTGGTTAAGTCAAGCTCAGCAGTAACACAGGGCTGTGGGTGACTCTTCCCTCTGAGGAAGCTTCCTCTAACCCGCTGGGCCAAATGGAACATCATTGGCACAGGGAGGATGTGGAGCTTGGGAGCCCTGCTGGGACTTCTCCTTTGCCTGACTTCAGCTTCTGTAGAATCTCCTCTTTGGGCAGACCCAGGGGCAATTTTTGCATGCAGGTTGTGTAGTAAATGTCCTGAGAATTGTTCCTAATAGTTTGCATTGTTCCAAGGAAAGCTTGGACTTTGCCGAATTCACATGAATACCTACTTTTGGAATCATCTGAAGTCATATTTGATGGTGGTCTGTAAAATATTACTTGTTTTGCTATGAGTAAGTTTTGGCTTAGTGCACCTATCCCAGTAAGAACATCGAAATAGTCTGGGTGGATTTGATGGGTTTTGGGAGAGACGATGAGAAAGATCTGTCTGTTGTCTTTTCTGATCCTCCTGGATGCATGCAGGTGATCCTGGTCACTGCCTTTGTCATTCTGTGACAGCGGCTCTTCTCAATGATATGCTCCTGGGCTCCCTCTAAACATTTCCCAGTGCCATTATGATCACTACTATACATTTTAAGGGTTGTGCTTGTATGTTTCTGTTATTCTTCTCTGTAATGCACTGAATTTAAATTGGGAAAACTGCTCCAGAACGAAGCCATGATCCTCTCCCACTTAGAAACATTGCGTTAGGGGCTTGTCATCTAACAGGTGTGGTTCATTGTCTCAAGGGTGAGTCTCTTCTGATGAGAGCGGACAGGTGAGTTTGCAAGAGGACGGATTGGCCATGAGGGTCCTAGCTGGACGCATCCCAGAGGTGGGGGGCTGCCGTAAGAGAGGTAGCATCCTACAGTGAGCTTTGGAACTGAAACTGGTTCTCAGGAAGAGTAGCCTGTGCAGGCGCCGGCTGGAATTAGTTGGGATGGCTCAGGGTTCAGGGGGTTAGGTTTAGACTGAGCCATTCCCCAGGGCACCTCTGGTAAAGAACAAGATTGTGTGAGGGGAGCACAGTGACAACATGGATGTGATGTGATTTCTTTGGGTGACAAGAGTTCCTCTGTGCAACGTTTCAGTCAGGAGGGGTGGAACAGTAACTGCCGAGTAGTGTGTAGCACGCGCTGCTGGGTAACTGGTGGTGCCATGCTCTGGGGTCTGAGAGCTACCGGAACTCAAAACAGAATCATTTTCTAGGGCGAACTTTTGTCTCAAAGGCAAATGAAACATTCCATGAATATGCTTTTCGGTGGATATTTCTTAAGAAAGGAATTACATGGAGATTGTTCTTTCCTTTTTCTTCCCTTTCTTTTACTTTCATTTCCTCTGACCCCAGTCAATACCCCAAGCCGCACAGCATACAACTTAGCATTTTGCACACGTGTAATTCTAAGTCTCCATTTTTGATACTATGCATAGTTCTCAAGAATGGAAAACAGCCTAATCTAGGAGGCTTACCTTTTATATGTAGAAGAAAGGAAAGATGCCACAGAGTACCCGAAAGTGTGGCTTTCTAAGAAAATCGCCTCTTTTGGTTAATAATGCGTAACTAGGATCTACATGCTTTTTATGATTATGTTGAAGCTCTGCCAGGAATAACACAAAGCTGACAGCTTTAACTGTGCTAATGTAAGGCTCTCTCTTAAATGGAAGAGCTAGCACGAAAATTATTTACAAGCGACTTACACGCTCAAGGTCTAATTTGTGAATGTTGTCAATGTGTAAGCTTGGCAGGTGGACAACGTTAATGCTTATTTGTTTACATCATAAATCACTTAAAAGGGTCTCAGACAGTAGAACTTAACTAAGGAGAAACTACTTTGCTAATGCAGAAATTCATCACTGCTGTGCCAATGTGACTTCCGTATTGATACTTCGAATAACAAATGGAACTCAGTCATGTGCCACTGTTTTTTTTCCCCTTAGTGCTCTGGATGATTGCTGAAAAATGTGAATTATCCTTTCCCTATTGTTGAGCTTAGTTTGCAGGCATACCTTTTCTAAATATGTGTAACTCCATGTTTTACCATCAGCAAAGACCCGAGACACGATCCTCCCCTGTCCGTCATAATCTACTTTCTCGCTAGTGGTGCCTCGCTGGATGCTGGCAATTTGACCTGTGGATGAATAGGTGACATTGACGGCCATCAGCTTGCTGCTTGGCAGCCAGAGAGTCGGGTGCCCAGACGTGTCGTAGGCGATCCTCAGTAGAAATTTACGGTGGTCGTCATAGATCTTTTCTGTCTTTGTTGTTCGATCAAAGTCAACTGAAAGGAGGTTTCTGCCATTAACCTGTTACAACACCAACAAGATGATAAAATAAATCATGTTATTCCAACACCGGAGTCCCCAGTATTGTTTAAACACCATTTACGATGATTGATTCTCTTTGTCAGTAAATTAACTTAGCAACTTCTTGGGTACAAGTGCAAGGCAGTAGATTAACTGCTCTTTTAAAATGTTTTATTAAGCAGAAAGACAGCCTGGCATTTGTTCAAAACCATTTCAATTAAATTTTGTAAACTAAAGCAACTGATAAGAAAAATACCAAAATGTATGTGTCTTAAAGTTTGTTCAGGAGCTCTAAAGGTGATAAACATGACACCTGTTCATATGACTCCAAGCTCCTCCCCCAAAAGACACTGGAAAATAATTGCTTAGTAAATTAATCATGGCTACATTAAATAAAACACAGCGGTTAATGTGACTCTGGCCCTTTGAAGAGCAGTTAAGTAGAAGTTGGAACCCACATTACTGTAAATTATTAATGAGTTTCAATAGCAGCAGGTTATAAACAAGATCATTGCTTTTGGCCCAGTGCTGCAACGTCACAGTTTTTTGAGAAGGCGTCTTTCTTTGGAGAAGATCTGGTTAACTGGCAGGGACTTCAGAGTCCTTTACTAACACATACACATGATCCGAATATTGTACTTATCTGACAAATTCAGCACCATGTGTTGTCATAGAGTCTCTGTGGCTAGGTGCCACGTCCAGAGCCTTGGACTAAATCTGGCTGTTACCGTCTGCCATCCGAGGCATACACAACCCAGCCTTCATTATTGCAATAGAAATGTGGTCCCGATTAAATTCTGCTTTACCAATAGTCTCCAGTGTTTGCAGGCTGTGAACCTCTGAAGGGCAGAGACCATGGCCTATTCATTCTCTGGTCTTCTACAGCACCTTTGTGGGAGGGGTGGCTTGTACATTCCAAAATGCTCATTAACTGTTTTGATTGTTAAAAATTAAATGGGAACATCTTAATTTTACATAACCATATTCTAGCTAGAACCTTCAAAGTGGACAGATCCAGCTGACCAATTTTACACACACACACAACCACTCACGTTTATATATAAATATATGTGTATATACATACATCATATATATTTGTAAAATTTGGAATAAAACTGCCTTTTGCATTCTATCATTCACATTAAACATGTCCCATGCAAAAATAATCCTTAAGCTTAAACTTTTCCTATTGGCTGTTCAAGGGGAGTATGGTGAAGTCCGTGGAATGGCAGCTCGATAAGCTAAAAAGCAATGATGTTGAGGGTGGGAAGCACCCAGAGAGCTGATTTACAAAATATAAGGAGGCAGAGCCCTGGAGAGAAATCACATCTTTTTTTTTTTTTTTTTTTTTTTTTTTGAGGTGGAGTTTTGCCCTTGTCGCCCAGGCTGGAGTACAGTGGTGCGATCTCGGCTCACTGCAGCCTCCGCCTCCCGGGGTTCAAGCCATTCTCCTGCCTCAGCCTCCCGAGTAGCTGGGATTACAGGCGCCTGCCACCATACCCAGCTAATTTTTGTATTTTTGGTAGAGATGGGGTTTCACCATGTTGGCCAGGCTGGTCTCGAACTCCTGACCTCAGGTGATCCACCCACCTTGGCCTCCCAAAGTGCTGGGATTACAGGCACGAGCCACCGAGCCTGGCCTAGAAATTACATCTTAACTTTTCAGTTCTATCAGCTGATGTGGGCAAAAACCCCACAACACCGTGTCACAGCAGATAGTCCGGAGTGGTGGTTGGGGGAGGAACCCAAGAGTCCGAAGCCTGATCTCCAGACCTGAAGCAGCCTGACCTTGGCTTTCAACCCCTCTGAGTCTGTTTTGTCCATCTGTAAATAAAGAGGTTGGCCTAGATCCCTTAGGCTCTGTCTTTCAGTGAGTTTTATTCGATTCTGACCAGCCAGCTGGAGGCTTTCTGAGCTTCCATGCGGAACTGTCTGCATATCAGTTGCTCCCTGCCTTATGTGAATTTTGTGAAACTTTATGAGTTGAGCTTTGTAGAATACTTTGTGTACCTTGGAAAGAAGCTACCGGCTAGTTACATATATATATTTTAAAGTCTGTAGAAATATTTGTATCAAAGTGATAAATGGCAGAATCAAGTTCTTCAGCTTATACCTGCACTCTAATTTTGGATGCCTCAAGAAGAGGTTTTGCACAATTTAAATGGTTTTCTTAGGGCTCTTGAGCGCCTGTGATTGTGTTTTGAAAGGAAAAAATACCCTGAATGTTTAAGGTTGCCCTTTTTTTCTTCCTTAGATTATCCCGGGCTTTGGAGGAACTACAGAAGACTGACTGTAGCTTCCAGGGACAGTGCTGCCATGTTATTATTGCCCATGTGTTTGCATTTTCCTTGGCATTCATTTTAATTTGTATTAATTCTTTACTGCTTCCTGGACCCTCCTTCATCTCTGCGGTATTTCCCCTGGTTGGAGTATGGGAAATCTGGACCACAGAGTGGATATGACGTGCTGCTGTAGGGAGACAGGCATGGAACCCCATGCTGCTCGGGCATCTGATTTCTTTTTTTTTTTTTTTTTTAAGACGGGGTCTCACTCTGTCACCCAGGCTGGAGTGCAGTGGTGCAATCTTGGCTCACTGCAACCTCCTCCTCCAGGTTCAAGCAATTCTCCTGCCTCAGCCTCCTGAGTAGCTGGGATTACAATCATGTGCCACCACACCTTGCTAATTTTTGTATTTTTAGTAGAGACGGGGGTCTCACCATGTTGGCCAGGCTGGTCTTGAACTCCTGACCTCAGGTGATCCACCCGCCTCCGCTTCCCAAAGTGCTGGGATTGCAGGCGTGAGCCACCGTGCCCAGCCCTGGCTTCCGATTTGCACCTTTGGTTTGTGAGTGTGGCTAGGCGACACCGAAACACCCAGATGCAAGTCAGATGATGCCATCACTGTGCGTGCCTTGGACAAGCACCTGGAAGCAGTGAGACCCAGCATCTGGACAGAAGGTATGATTTTTCTTTTATCCAGACAAATACTGGATGCCGTGCCTTTCTTGTATCCTCAAACCAAAGTAATGAGGAATGAGTTAGAATGTGGCTATGTTTTTTCCCAAATTCCCAACACAAGCCAAGGCTTTAACCATTCTTACTGTTTCCAGACACCGCTCTCTGTTATTCAGTACGGAACATTTCAAAAGATACTAAGAGCTCTCATGTTTTTCACCCCCTTACCATGCCTGGACCTTCTCCTTTGGGTGTTGTGAACAAAAGAACAGACAAGGGGCACCTGCGTTCCAGGACATGGTCTTGCTTCACCACATCTTTATGATGTCAGGGCAACTTTTCAAGTCTTTTTTTTTTTTTTGTTACAGTCATAAAGTACCAGCATTATTCCAGGCTTCAGTGGCTTTTTTTTTTTTTTTTTTTTTATCTTGAGACAGGGTCTGGCTGGGACACCTAGGCTGGAGAGCAATAGTGTGATCTTGGCTCACTGCAGCCTCGACTGTCTGGGCTCAAGTGATCCTCCCACCTCAGCCCCGTGAGTAGCTGAGACGAGAGGCGTGCGCCACCACGCCTGGCTAATTTTTGTATTTTTAGTAGAGACAGGGTCTCCCCATGTTGCCCTGGCTGGTCTCAAACTCCTGGGCTTAGGTGATCCACCCGCCTCAGCCTCCCAAAGTGCTGGGACTACAGGTGTAAACCACTGCGTCTGGTCTTCTGGTAGCCTTTTAATAAATATTTTTAATTATTATTAAAAATATCAGGTTAAGACCGGGAGGGGTGGCTCATGTCTGTAATTCCAAGATTTTGGGAGGCTGAGGCAGGCAGATCACTTAAGGTCAGCAGTTTGAGACCAGCCTGGGCAACATGGTGAAATCCTGTCTGTAGAAAAATACAAAAATTAGCCAGGTGTGGAGGTGCCTGTAGTCCCAGCTACTTGGGAGCCTGGGGTGGGAGGATCACTTGAGCCTGTGAAGTCAAGGCTGCAGTGAGCCAAGATCACACTACTGCACTCCAGCCTGGGCGTCCCAGCAAGACCCTGTCTCAAGAAAAAAAATATGGGGGAGGAGCCAAGATGGCCGAATAGGAACAGCTCCGGTCTACAGCTCCCAGCATGAGAGACGCCGAAGACGGTGATTTCTGCATTTCCATCTGAGGTACCGGGTTCATCCCACTAGGGAGTGCCAGACAGTGGGCGCAGGTCAGTGGGTGCGCGCACCGTGCGCGAGCCGAAGCAGGGCGAGGCATTGCCTCACTTGGGAAGTGCAAGGGGTCAGGGAGTTCCCTTTCCCAGTCAAAGAAAGGGGTGACGGACAGCACCTGGAAAATCGGGTCACTCCCACCCGAATACTGCGCTTTTCCGACGGGCTTAAAAAACGGCACACCAGGAGATTATATCCCGCACCTGGCTGGGAGGGTCCTACGCCCACGGAGTCTCGCTGATTGCTAGCACAGCAGTCTGAGATCAAACTGCAAGGCGGCAGCGAGGCTTGGGGAGGGGCGCCCGCCATTGCCCAGGCTTGCTTAGGTAAACAAAGCAGCCGGGGAGCTCGAACTGGGTGGAGCCCACCACAGCTCAAGGAGGCCTGCCTGCCTCTGTAGGCTCCACCTCTGGGGGCAGGGCACAGACAAACAAAAAGACAGCAGTAACCTCTGCAGACTTAAATGTCCATGTCTGACAGCTTTGAAGAGAGCAGTGGTTCTCCCAGCACGCAGCTGGAGATCTGAAAACTGGCAGAGTGCCTCCTCAAGTGGGTCCCTGACCCCTGACCCCTGAGCAGCCTAACTGGGAGGCACCCCCCAGCAGGGGCACACTGACACCTCACACGGCAGGGTATTCCAACAGACCTGCAGCTGAGGGTCCTCTCTGTTAGAAGGAAAACTAACAAACAGAAAGGACATCCACACCAAAAACCCATCTGTACATCACCGTCATCAAAGACCAAAAGTAGATAAAACCACAAAGATGGGGAA
Source organism: Homo sapiens (assembly GCF_000001405.40). Taxonomy (NCBI): domain Eukaryota; kingdom Metazoa; phylum Chordata; class Mammalia; order Primates; family Hominidae; genus Homo; species Homo sapiens. The sequence goes on along the minus strand of NC_000004.12, from coordinate 182,784,166 downwards.
AAAACAGAACAGAAAAACTGGAAACTCTAAAAAGCAGAGCGCCTCTCCTCCTCCAAAGGAATGCAGTTCCTCACCAGCAACAGAACAAAGCTGGATGGAGAATGACTGACGAGCTGAGAGTAGAAGGCGTCAGACGATCAAATTACTCTGAGCTACGGGAGGACATTCAAACCAAAGGCAAAGAAGTTGAAAGCTTTGAAAAAAATTTAGAAGAATGTATAACTAGAATAACCAATACAGAGAAGTGCTGAAAGGAGCTGATGGAGCTGAAAACCAAGGCTCGAGAACTACGTGAAGAATGCAGAAGCCTCAGGAGCCGATGCGATCAACTGGAAGAAAGGGTATCAGCGATGGAAGATGAAATGAATGAAATGAAGCGAGAAGGGAAGTTTAGAGAAAAACGAATACAAAGAAATGAGCAAAGCCCCCAAGAAACATGGGACTATGTGAAAAGACCGTATCTACGTCTGATTGGTGTACCTGAAAGTGATGGGGAGAATGGAACCAAGTTGGAAAACACTCTGCAGGATATTATCCAGGAGAACTTCCCCAATCTAGCAAGGCAGGCCAACGTTCAGATTCAGGAAATACAGAGAACGCCACAAAGATACTCCTCGAGAAGAGCAACTCCAAGACACATAATTGTCAGATTCACCAAAGTTGAAATGAAGGAAAAAATGTTAAGGGCAGCCAGAGAGAAAGGTCGAGTTACCCTCAAAGGGAAGCCCATCAGACTAATAGCGGATCTCTCAGCAGAAACCCTACAAGCCAGAAGAGAGTGGGGGCCAATATTCAACATTCTTAAAGAAAAGAATTTTCAACCCAGAATTTCATATCCAGCCAAACTAAGCTTCATAAGCGAAGGAGAAATAAAATACTTTGCAGACAAGCAAATGCTGAGAGATTTTGTCACCACCAGGCCTGCCCTAAAAGAGCTCCTGAAGGAAGCACTAAACATGGAAAGGAACAACCAGTACCAGCTGCTGCAAAGTCATGCCAAAATGTAAAGACCATCAAGACTAGGAAGAAACTGCATCAACTAACGAGCAAAATAACCAGCTAACATCATAATGACAGGATCAAATTCACACATAACAATATTAACTTTAAATGTAAATGGACTAAATGCTCCAATTAAAAGACACAGACTGGCAAATTGGATAAAGAGTCAAGACCCATCAGTGTGCTGTATTCAGGAAATCCATCTCACGTGCAGAGACACACATAGGCTCAAAATAAAAGGATGGAGGAAGATCTACCAAGCCAATGGAAAACAAAAAAAGGCCGGGGTTGCAATCCTAGTCTCTGATAAAACAGACTTTAAACCAACAAAGATCAAAAGAGACAAAGAAGGCCATTACATAATGGTAAAGGGATCAATTCAACAAGAAGAGCTAACTATCCTAAATATATATGCACCCAATACAGGAGCACCAAGATTCATAAAGCAAGTCCTGAGTGACCTACAAAGAGACTTAGACTCCCACACATTAATAATGGGAGACTTTAACACCCCACTGTCAACATTAGACAGATCAACGAGACAGAAAGTCAACAAGGATACCCAGGAATTGAACTCAGCTCTGCACCAAGTGGACCTAATAGACATCTACAGAACTCTCCACCCCAAATCAACAGAATATACATTTTTTTCAGCACCACACCACACCTATTCCAAAATTGACCACATACTTGGAAGTAAAGCTCTCCTCTGCAAATGTAAAAGAACAGAAATTATAACAAACTATCTCTCAGACCACAGTGCAATCAAACTAGAACTCAGGATTAAGAATCTCACTCAAAACCGCTCAACTACATGGAAACTGAACAACCTGTTCCTGAATGACTACTGGGTACATAACGAAATGAAGGCAGAAATAAAGATGTTCTTTGAAACCAACGAGAACAAAGACACAACATACCAGAATCTCTGGGACGCATTCAAAGCAGTGTGTAGAGGGAAATTTATAGCACTAAATGCCCACAAGAGAAAGCAGGAAAGATCCAAAATTGACACCCTAACATCACAATTAAAAGAACTAGAAAAGCAAGAGCAAACACATTCAAAAGCTAGCAGAAGGCAAGAAATAACTAAAATCAGAGCAGAACTGAAGGAAATAGAGACACAAAAAACCCTTCAAAAAATTAATGAATCCAGGAGCTGGTTTTTTGAAAGGATCAACAAAATTGATAGACCGCTAGCAAGACTAATAAAGAAAAAAAGAGAGAAGAATCTAATAGATGCAATAAAAAATGATAAAGGGGATATCACCACCGATCCCACAGAAATACAAAGTACCATCAGAGAATACTACAAACACCTCTACACAAATAAACTAGAAAATCTAGAAGAAATGGATAAATTCCTCGACACATACACTCTCCCAAGACTAAACCAGGAAGAAGTTGAATCTCTGAATAGACCAATAACAGGATCTGAAATTGTGGCAATAATCAATAGCTTACCAACCAAAAAGAGTCCAGGACCAGATGGATTCACAGCTGAATTCTACCAGAGGTACAAGGAGGAACTGGTACCATTCCTTCTGAAACTATTCCAATCAACAGAAAAAGAGGGAATCCTCCCTAACTCATTTTATGAGGCCAGCATCATTCTGATACCAAAGCCAGGCAGAGACACAACAAAAAAGAATTTTAGACCAATATCCTTGATGAACATTGATGCAAAAATCCTCAATAAAATACTGGCAAACCGAATCCAGCAGCACATCAAAAAGCTTATCCACCATGATCAAGTGGGCTTCATCCCTGGGATGCAAGGCTGGTTCAATATATGCAAATCAATAAATGTAATCCAGCATATAAACAGAGCCAAAGACAAAAACCACATGATTATCTCAATAGATGCAGAAAAAGCCTTTGACAAAATTCAACAACCCTTCATGCTAAAAACTCTCAATAAATTAGGTATTGATGGGACGTATCTCAAAATAATAAGAGCTATCTATGACAAACCCACAGCCAATATCATACTGAATGGGCAAAAACTGGAAGCATTCCCTTTGACAACTGGCACAAGACAGGGACGCCCTCTCTCACCACTCCTATTCAACATAGTGTTGGAAGTTCTGGCCAGGGCAATTAGGCAGGAGAAGGAAATAAAGGGTATTCAATTAGGAAAAGAGGAAGTCAAATTGTCCCTGTTTGCAGACGACATGATTGTATATCTAGAAAACCCCATTGTCTCAGCCCAAAATCTCCTTAAGCTCATAAGCAACTTCAGCAAAGTCTCAGGATACAAAATCAATCTACAAAAATCACAAGCATTCTTATACACCAACAACAGACAAACAGAGAGCCAAATCAGGAGTGAACTCCCATTCACAATTGCTTCAAACAGAATAAAATACCTAGGAATCCAACTTACAAGGGATGTGAAGGACTTCTTCAAGGAGAACTACAAACCACTGGTCAAGGAAATAAAAGAGGATACAAACAAATGGAAGAACATTCCATGCTCATGGGTAGGAAGAATCAATATCGTGAAAATGGCCATACTGCCCAAGGTAATTTACAGATTCAATGCCATCCCCATCAAGCTACCAATGCCTTTCTTCACAGAATTGGAAAAAACTACTTTAAAGTTCATATGGAACCAAAAAAGAGCCCGCATCGCCAAGTCAATCCTAAGCCAAAAGAACAAAGCTGGAGGCATCACACTACCTGACTTCAAACTATACTACAAGGCTACAGTAACCAAAACAGCATGGTACTGGTACCAAAACAGAGATATAGATCAATGGAACAGAACAGAGCCCTCAGAAATAACGCCGCATATCTACAACTATCTGATCTTTGACAAACCTGAGAAAAACAAGCAATGGGGAAAGGATTCCCCATTTAATAAATGGTGCTGGGAAAACTGGCTAGCCATATGTAGAAAGCTGAAACTGGATCCCTTCCTTACACCTTATACAAAAATCAATTCAAGATGGATTAAAGACTTAAACGTTAGACCTAAAACCATAAAAGCCCTAGAAGAAAACCTAGGCATCACCATTCAGGACATAGGCATGCGCAAGGACTTCATGTCTAAAACACCAAAAGCAATGGCAACAAAAGCCAAAATTGACAAATGGGATCTAATTAAACTAAAGAGCTTCTGCACAGCAAAAGAAACTACCATCAGAGTGAACAGGCAACCTACAAAATGGGAGAAAATTTTCGCAACCTACTCATCTGACAAAGGGCTAATATCCAGAATCTACAATGAACTCAAACAAATTTACAAGAAAAAAACAACCCCATCAAAAAGTGGGCGAAGGACACGAACAGACACTTTCCAAAAGAAGACATTTATGCAGCCAAAAAACACATGAAAAAATGCTCATCATCACTGGACATCAGAGAAATGCACATCAAAACCACAATGAGATACCATCTCACACTAGTTAGAATGGCAATCATTAAAAAGTCAGGAAACAACAGGTGCTGGAGAGGATGTGGAGAAATAGGAACACTTTTACACTGTTGGTGGGACTGTAAACTAGTTCAACCATTGTGGAAGTCAGTGTGGCGATTCCTCAGGGTTCTAGAACTGGAAATACCATTTGACCCAGCCATCCCATTACCCCATTACTGGGTAAAGGACTATAAATCATGCTGCTATAAAGACACATGCACACGTATGTTTATTGCAGCACTATTCACAATAGCAAAGACTTGGAACCAACCCAAATGTCCAACAACGATAGACTGGATTAAGAAAATGTGGCACATATACACCATGGAATACTATGCAGCCATAAAAAATGATGAGTTCATGTCCTTTGTAGGGACATGGATGAAATTGGAAAACATCATTCTCAGTAAACTATCGCAAGTACAAAAAAACCAAACACCGTATATTCTCACTCATAGGTGGGAATTGAACAATGAGATCACATGGACACAGGAAGGGGAATATCACACTCTGGGGACTGTTGTGGGGTGGGGGGAGCGGGGAGGGATAGCATTGGGAGATACACCTAATGCTAGATGACGAGTTAGTGGGTGCAGTGTACCAGCATGGCACATGTATACATATGTAACTAACCTACACAATGTGCACATGTACCCTAAAACTTAAAGTATAATAAAAAAAAAAAAGAAAAGGAAAAAAAAAAAGAACACATTGTTCTTAGTAAAACCAGTAACAAAATCTGTCTCTAAAATAAAACTAAAAGTACTAACAATTCTTCAAGACATTAAAAAAAAAAAGAAAAAAATATATATTTATACACACACACACATACACACACACACTTAAATAACAATCTAAAAGTGAAACCTTATCTCAGATCGCTGCTACACCTCCAGCTATATGAAAATGAATCCATTTGTTGTGTATGAATGAGATCACCATGAATTCCTTTGTGATGTATACTTCCTTTAAGTAAGCATGGAAAAAAATCTCCATTTTCAAAGATCATGTCCAGCATGATTGTAATTAATCACAACATCACTTTGATGTTGGGAGCAGGCAGCTATAATCTTCCCTCTGGAATATGCTTGAAAAGAATATGACGCTACACAATTTTCCCAGGGAGTGATACCAGCAGATGGAATTACACTCACTTAGCCAAGATGTCATGGGGGGAAGTAAGGAAGGGCAGGCTCATTCCCCAGTACACTGGGTGGCGATATCAAGACTCTCTTTTGTCCCTGGTAGAGCATCAACTTGCTACAGGTTGTTTTGTGTGCCTGCTCCATCAGCAGGTGCCAAGTGCATTGTGCCGTCCCACGCTAGGCCGTGCCGCTCAGATTAAAGTGAGAAATAGGCCACTACGCAAATGTGACTGGCATAATGAGATTTAAATACACTATCATATTTATGCATGCCTTTAAACACACGTTTGGCTTTCAAATTTTGAGATTTTCTTTTTTAAAATGATTCACTACGATTTTTTTTTCTCTAAGCCTCTGAATCTGGGCAGCTTTAGGGGATGAATTTTATTATTAGAACACCATGACAATTTTTTGTAATTGACTGAAGGCAGGTTCTACAATCCAGCCCTGATAAAACCTAGGAATATTTAGTAAATATTATAAAGCACAGGTAAGCAACTGCTATCTATGTGTCTTTTTAAAAAAATGAGCTGCAAACAAGTAAGTACAGAATGGTTGTCTTTATTCTGCGTCCTTACATCTCTATCACAGTTTCCTGTGCTTGTTATTTTCTGCTGTGTCCAGCCTGTCCCCTAATGTACTGTTTCACAGAAATGCTTTTTACATTGCTGTTTTCTTATATGATTTTTCCATTTCTACTCCCTGCCTTTTTTACTTTTTAAACATATATATATATATATATAACAGCATATATATATATATGCTGTATTCCTAGCACTTTGGGAGGCCGAGGCGGGCAGATGACTTGAGGTCCCGAGTTCAAGACCAGCCTGGCCAACATGGTAAAACTCCGTCTCTACTAAAAATACAAAAATTAGCCGGGCATGGTGGCGTGTGTCTGTAGTCCTAGCTACTTGGTGGGCTGAGGTATGAGAGTTGATTGAACCCGGGAGGTGGAGGTTGCAGTGAGCCAAGATCACACCACTGCACTCCAGCCTGGGCAACAGAGTGAAACTCCATCTCAAAAAAAAAAAAAAAAAAAAAAAAAAAAGAAATACACACACACACACACACACACACACACACATAAACACATTATGTATAGACAGAGAGAATGATATCTCTATTATCTCCATTTAACCTATTATTTCTAGTGTTAGATTTATAGCAGTCAAACATTTGCAAGGATGTGTTCACATAGCCCCTCTCTTGGGAAGATCTAGGTGCAATGGCACAGAGAGAATTCATATTGTGAGGCTGGCTTTCCTCATTCTTTCATTTATTGGATAAATATTTGAGTGTCCACCATGTGACAGGCACATAGCTAAATTTAGGTCAACAACTTAAAAATGAACAGGACATTCTGCTAGGAAATAATGCAAGGTAAGAGAGGTGGCATCCTCTGTCTCAGGAAAGAGTGGAAGAGAAATGGGTGGCTCTTTGGGCTGATTCTCACTGTCTTGGTGGGCTCAGGTCTTCCCCTTCTCTCCCCTCTTCTCTATTTTGGCAGACTCCAGGCTCAGTCCTTAAACCAGATTTTCATATCATCACTTTCTCCCTAGAATTTCTCCCTTAGAATCCACAGAGGAATGAAATTAGCAGTCAGAGCTGGCACATCCAATCTTATCTTGAAAGTAAGAAGCCCTCCCTTGTGATCTTGGCATTGTCTCTCCGAGAGCAATCAAACATATCAGCTGGAAATCTCCTTTCAGTGGGATGGCACAGGCCATTTTAAATAGCGTATTTTCTAAAACGTCTTGCTGAGGCATTGTGGCTCTGCCATTTAGAAAGAAAGTAACACCCATGCCTGTGTGCACTGGCCTCTTCCTTCCTCAAGTGAGGTATTTTCTTCATTTAGGATTAGGCAGAGAACCAGGGACTTCAGACTGGGTTTCCTCTCTTTCCCTCTCATCTGCCTAAGTTCCTTTTATGTCTTGCAAAGCAGTATTACAAAGAAAAAAAAAGTGCACACTTACTTATAACTTGTCTCCAAGAACAGCAGGCAATATGTTATGGTTATGTGGTCAGTTTCTGGACAAAGTATTTCCCCCTCCTCCCTCTTTCCAGTGAAATTTTACTATCCAGCAAGCTCAACAGCCCTTTCCTATCCATCTGGTGTGTGAGTAGAAGAGGCTATCTGCGTTAGGGTCAGGGAATATATAACCATGCCTTTTCTTTTCTTGTTTCGAGACAGAATCTTGCTTTGTCTCCTAGGCTGGAGTGTAGTGGCGCGATCTCGACTCACTGCAACCTCCGCCTCGAGTGTTCAAGCAATCCTCCTGCCTTAGCCTCCTGAGAAGCTGGGATTACAGGGACCCACCTCCACGCCTGGCTGATTTTTGTATTTTTAGTAGAGATGGGTTTCACCATGTTGCCTAGGCTGGTCTCGAACTCCTGACCTCAAGTGGTCCGCCTACCTTGGCCTCCCAAAGTGTTGGGATTACAGGCGTGAACCACCAACGCCCAGCCTATTTTCAAAGTACTTTCACATTATCTCATTTGATTCTTGTAACAACTGTGTAAAACAGAGGTAGTATAGGGTAAATTTCATTTATCTGCAATATAGCTATATATATATCTCCTATCTATATATATCTCCTATCTATCTATATATATATAATCTATCTATCTATCTATCTATCATCTACATATCTCCTATCTATCTTGTTATGGTATTTAGATAATGTGTAATCTATATCATAATATGGATACCATGATATAGATAAGGAAACAGATTCAGAGATGTTCTGATTCTCCCATAAGGTTTACTATTAGCAAAAAGTAGAGCCTCATCTGGAACCCATAATTTTTTGAACCCTAGTTAGGTGCTGTGTCTTTGGTATGCAGAGAGAGGGGCACAGCTGTCATCCATGTCTTTGTGTCTTTTGATGAAGTCCTGCATCTGAGAACAGGTGTGACGCTGTGTGCACACGTGCATGTGACCCCTGCTTCAGGACAGCTGAGCAAGAGGAGGCCTGTGAACTAGCCTTGCGTTTGCAGTGGCCCAAGGCAGCAGGGGCCCTGGGAAGCAGCAGTGAGTAGAGGCAGCAAACGGGGATGCAGGTGGCGGCAGTGTCTGGGGCTCAGCAGAACAAAGAGCAGCAGCTGGAGTCCGCTTTGGGAATGGACCATAGCTCTGTGAAAGTGACCTGGAAGATGTCTGGAGCTGGTTTTCATGGTCATGGCTTTACCTTCACTCCTGATCTCCTTTTCCCTCTAGTGTCCTATTGCTTTTTCTTCTCAGCCCTCTCACGACCTGACCTCCCTCCAGCCTCCCCAGCTGCACCTGCCAGAACAGGCCCATGTGGGATTGGAACCACACTGAGCGAGGTGCTCATACTCAGTGTAGACATAGGGGGGTGAGCAGGAGACGCAACCTGCCCTCAGGATGATCTGCACAGATCAGAGGGCTGCAGCTATCTCCTGCTCCACAACACGTACGTACCCTGAGCTTGCGGCCAAAGACATTGACTTTCCCTTGGGCTTGCTCTTTTCGGAATCTCCATTCCACCAAGTTTTGACCGTTCTCGCCAGGCAAAGTCATGTTTCTTTTGGCAACCGTCGGATTAGCGGTGCCAGCCAGAACGTGCGGCTCTGTTTGGTAGTGTGAGTCCAGGCCACTGGCGTAGATAATTCTGAGGGAGCCGTCATAACCAATCTGGTAGCTGTTTCTTAACTGATCTAAAGAACAAGAAGCACAAAACATGAACTATTAGATATGGATTAAATACTTGGCCGGTTGTGCCGTGAGATAGGTTCTAAATTTCTAAAAGTTGACTAGGAATAAGGAGTACCTGATGATGTCCTTTTAGAAAGAAACAAAACAACTTTGATCCTTGGCATTTCATGCTGTCAGAGGTTTGGCTAAATATTAAAGGCAAACTTTAGGGGAATTTGAAGTCCTTCTGCAGTTTAATAGACTTCTTTTTCTCATTTGCCTGATGAAATGAGAGCTCAGCTTCCATGGGATGTGCACTAAGTAAATATTTTGTAAAGAGGCACATATGTGATCTCTCAGGAGCGCGGTGTACACACCTCCAAGGTCTTGGAAGACTTCCCTCCCCTGCACCCAATCCCTGCATCTTCTGTCAAAGATCCTTTGAAAGGATTAATATCTATATCTTGAATACCAAAAATAGAAAGCAATGTTCCCTCCGAAATTGACTTCAATAAAGGAAGACATTTTATATTTTATACAAAAAAGCTCATATTGTAGACTACTGCCTCAGTTTAAAATTTTGAAATAATATAGGACCATTTGGGGAAGGAATGAATTCAAGCAATAGCAGTTTTAGATGGTTAGAGATTACTTCATGGAACAGGTAAAAAAAATGAGTCAAAAAGTTGAATACAGATTTAGTAATTATTCTTAGAGTTGTGAACTCACAATTACAAATGTCATTGTAGACAGGCTTTTTCAAATTTAGAAAGGAATATGGCAAGGAGGGTCCATTATGGAGATATGGCATCTATATGACTATAGATGGAATGAAAAAATGGACACTCCAGGCATTACATGAATGTGTAGTTGGAATTTGGGATAAAATTTCCATGACATGCAGATTAAAATACTGCATCACATATGGCCTCAAAAAGTGCTGTGTCTCAAACTACTGTACTTAGATGGCGGTCAGAAGACCTGCTCTGGAAAACTCTTAGGTGATGCAAAAATCGCCTGATGATGCATGTGAAGGGCTGGAATGAAGTTGTTTTAATACATGGGAATGGAAACAGACACTATTCCAAGGATGACAGATTATCTTATATGTGGTTTTAAAATATGTCTATACAAGTAAATAAATATTACATGTACACTGTAGATTATGTCACCAATATTTCTAGAGGTTTACATTTTCACCTTCCCTTTTCTGGTTCACCTTGGAAAGTGGGTGTTGCCGCATTCTGTCTGGGTGCTGGTGGTACTTGTTTAAAATGATGCTTTCGTGTTTACCTTGAACCATGGTGTAGAAAGAATCGATCGAGGACAGATTTGAAGTGATGCTGACATCTTCTTCTCGGCTAGATGACTCAATGTCCACTGTGATAGCCTTGTCCATGTCCCCATGCAGGTTTGTGACCACTCCAGTTGGAAACGTAACATTTGTCAGACGACCTTCACTGTCATAGCTAAATACAAGAGGCATTAACTTGGTGTTAAATAGGAAACTGCAGTTTCTTCTGACTTATAAATATAATGTGTAGCAATATTAGTTGCACAAATTTGGAGGACTATTTGTCTTCGTGGATGAGCGATGCAGAGTGAAGACTTCAAACATGCTTTGAAGTAATCAAAAACCCGTTTAACATAGAAAAACCTCACCGGTGAGAACACGAGTAAACAGACCAGCTCTCCATCTCAGCACATGATTCTTTGAAGTGTGACCAAAATCCTCCTGCACATCTAATTTGCTGTTTCAAAGGGAACATGTTTGCTGATATTAAATTCCTTAGTATTCCTTCATATTTTCTACAAAGTAGATTTAATTCACTGTTACATCAGTTCTTAAAGATTTACTGACTTACTCCCTCGGTGGCAGTACAGTACAGTATGTTTACGTGCATGTATGTATTTGCATATGTAAAAAATCCTTTTAGTATCTTCAGACATCTTCAACAAATTAATAAAATAAGAACCTTTTAAAGACTTTCTTATTTCTCAGTGATTGACATACTTCATAATGGTAAATTAGAGCTTGAATGCTGGCAGTGGTGATGATAACCCATCTTGTCTACAGTGATATTGAAAGAATGGGGAATATCTTGCATGGTGATTTACTGTGTTCACTGAAATGAGATGCAATATTTCCTGACATTTAATGATTATTTGTTTTTTTTTTACACACTTACTCTTTTTAGCAGACAAATACAAGAGTAACTTATAATTTGAGTGTTAAAATACATTTTAAAAGCTGTTCTGTGCTCATAAATATGCATCATAGATACAACATTTGACTGAAGAATTGAATTTTTGTGACTTTTCTATTTGTGGCAGCACCAGAGAAAATTTCAAAAATGATGGTGTCGTCTGAAGAAAGAAAAAAAAAAAAGCAAAAATCTGGATGAGAAATTAGGAGTTTCCTTGGGACCACAATATACTAAAGGGTGGATTTCAGATTGATTCTAAGACTGCTTCACTAATCGAAGGTTCCCAGTGAGATGGAGACCTGAATCAACATCCTACTTGAAGTAAGCCCAGACACAGAACTAACAGAGAAACAATGCTGTTAGAGAAAGACAGGTTACCAGGGCAGGAAAACAGTGACAGGGGATCATAATCGTAGGTGAAAACACGGGGCCACACAGGAGTGAGGAGTAAAAAAGGTACTTGAGTGATATTTGGGAATAAAAGGATAGAGGTGTTTTGTTTGTTTTTTCAATTTCACTTGTTTATGAGATGATAGGGGTTTTTCGTGAAACATTCATTTTGAAAAATGTGGTTGTTCATCAGGAGAAGATTCTAGGTGATAAAGACAGAGAAGACTCCGCCAGGACAATGTTACAGTAGAGAGAGGGAAGAAAGAGAGGAGGAAGGCGAGGGACGGAGGTCTGTTCCGTGCCCGGTGATGAGCTGATCCCATTAATTCGGTGGGGACAGTATCGGTCAGATCATGGGTTTGACTGACATGATCTGACAACCTGCCACGCTGCTCAGCCAGCGGCAGGAACGGGCACTCAGGAGGGAGAAGCCAGGGATGGAGACACAGAGGAAGCCAATGCACCATTAAGTGGAATCATTGTTTAGACTCACAAAAGGCAGAGCTGAAGATGTCCTCCCCACCAACCCAAACGCCCCTAGCAAAGGAAGGCATAAATGAAAGAAATCCAACAGAGTTTATTGCTGTGATCGCTTTTTTGAAGAAATTACTGCTCTTGAAGAAACAAACACGCACTGGTTTATTTAAGAACAAGCAGCGCAGAGTTACAGAATTATTGACAAAACCAGCCTAAAGTTCTGTCGTTCAGTTTGGCATAAGTCTTGCAGCAGATTACACATCTCATGGTATGATGTGAAGAACGTGCTATCGGGTTAAAAAAAATTAATGCCCTTTTGAATGCCTCTACATAGGAGAATTCTGTATTGTACTATTTCCCCCCCCCCCATTTCAGAGACGGAAAATGAAAATACGACGTGGTTAGCTGATTTGATCTGGCTCTCACGCTATCTCTTGACTGGACCATAACTGGGACTTTTGTGCAGCTGACCCCAGGCCCACTAGCCCTCCTGTAGATCACAGTGCCTGATTTAAAGCTGGGAACTCTAGCTTTATATAGATTGTACCACCTGCAAGCAGCTTGCTGATTCATTCTCCTCTGCCCTTTTTTGACCCTTTTGCTGGTTTATATTTTCTAGCCCCATTCAATCTGAAGCAGAAACTTCACCTTTCTCCTGTAGAAAGCATTTCTGCAACCTCTGACTTTGCTCTTTCATTGGCTTACCACACATTCCATTCCCTGCTGGGCAGGCATTCTATATCACAGGATCCTCGGCACAGGGAGATACAGCCCAGGAAGCTGAAAGTTCAGACTCTCACCTATTAGCCTTTGGTTCTTTGGGAAATAAAAATACAAGTAACCTTTGTAGGTAGTACAGTTAGAATGACAGAGGGTTAAGCTGGGATCCTAGCGGCCCAGCTTAACAGTTTAGCCCTGGAAGTTCTGAATTTGTGCCTTCTAAGGAGTAGCTGAAGCTAAGTGCAGGCACTAACAGGGCTGAAGTGTTTGCACAAGGAAGGCTGCTCCGGTGTCAGGGTCCTCAGAGCTCCTATCTAACCCGGCACCCAACAGTTTCAGAACAGCCTTTCCGTGCAAGCTAAAGCGTGAGGATATTGTGAAAACAGAGAAGTCTGGGTGAGCAGAGGTCATATACGTGACAATTTAACTATTACAAATGAGTGTCCTGTGAGGCTACCACTCACCAGAGTGAGCAGAAGGGGAGATGTGTTCACGCTGACATAGCTGGGGAAGAGCTGCACCCAGGTGGGGACCTGGCCAGGTCCCGGAATAGAACTAGATATGCCTCTGGGCAGATTCTCTGCTTATTTGCAACTGTGTGGCTCAACTGAATGTTGCTTGGCCTTAGTGGTGAACTAGACTGTGGGATCAGGCAGTCAGGCAGGGGCCCGGGTGGGGCTGGGAGGGCTGCGGAGGAAGGTGTCGGGGTGCAGGGGCCCGGCTGAGGCACAGTGGCCAGCACAGAGTCATACTGGAAGGGAGCCTTGGGTGGATCTCCTCACTGGAGAACATGAGGTGCTGAAGAAGGTTTAAAGAAAGCGGGGTTTTAACGAGGAACCTAAGGTGGGGGTGAGAGTGGCTCCCTGACTTGCCAATTTTACAAACCATGAAAAAAATCAGGGATCAACACAGGGTTTTTAAATTAAAAACTACTACCCGTTACTCCCATCGTTTCATAAGGCCATTTAAACATATCAAAGAGAGGCGGGACCTACCTGTAGGGTGAGTTCTTTCAAAAGAACTGTTTTTTTTTTTTTTTTTCGAGACAAGTCTCACTCTGTCGCCCAGACTGGAATGCAGTGGCATGATCTCGGCTCACTGCAACCTCCGCCTCCTGGGTTCAAGCAATCCTCCTCCCTCAGCCTCCTGAGTAGCTAGGATTAGAGGCCCCCGCCACCACGCCCAGGTAATTTTTGTATTTTTTAGTAGATACGGGATTTCACCATATTGGTCAGGCTGGTCTCAAACTCCTGTCCTCAGGTGATCCACCTGCCTCGGCCTCCTAAAGTGTTGAGATTACAGGAGTGAGCCACCACGCCCGGCCAAAAGGACTGTTCTTTATTTATGTATTTATTTATTTTTTGAGACAGAGTCTTGCTCTGTTGCCTAGGCTAGAGTACAGTGGTGCGATCTTGGCTCACTGCAACCTCCGCCTCCCAAGTTCAAGCGATTCTCCTGCCGCAGCCTCCTGAGTAGCTAGGATTACAGGCGCCTGCCACTGTTTCTGTAATTTTTTTGTGTATTTTTAGTAGAGACGGGGTTTCACCATCTTGGCCAGACTGGTCTCAAACTCCTGACCTCGTGATCCTCCCGCCTCGGCCTCCCAAAGTGCTGGGATTACAGGCGTGAGCCACCACGCCCGGCCTAGGACTGCTCTTTAAAAGCAATGAATAAAGCTTTATGATGAAAACATTCTCCACATCATTTTTTTTTTTTTCATTTCAGTGCGGACGAGTAAAAACTTTTTCACAGATTAGCACCTATGTCAACAGAAATGAAAACGAGATGAAGGAAAGACATCAGAAAAATGACCCGGGGACTCTGACTAAGGGAGTGAAAGAAAATGTCTTCAAAGACGACTCTCAGGTACTTCCATAAACATCAGGCTAACTCTTCTTTACCTCCACAAAAGAAGAAAACCAATGCACCCACGAATGTCCAGCTAGCCTCTGAAATACTCTGACTCCAGGTCTTAAAAAGACCTTTCCAACAACTAGATATGCCTCTGGGCGGATTCAGATTCTCTTGCTTATTTGCAACTGTGTGACTCAACTGAACGTTGCTTGGCCTTAGTGGTGAACTAGCCCTGCCCAGCTTATAGATTTGAGAGGTAGTTTTCCTTTATTAGCTTTTTGAATGTACAATGCAATAGGCTCCAGGGAATTTGAATAGAACATCAACTTCATGCCCCCCATTGCATTCCTCTGGCCTTAGCCTCATGGTTTCAAATTCATAACACAGCACATTCCTTCCTGCTCCTGCCTGACCCCTCTTTACAAAGGACTCTCGCTGGAAAGGACAAACTTCCTCAGGCTCTCCGTGACCTACCGCTCTTCCACTGATGAGATGCCCTTATTTGATGTTTATCTGTTTGTTGGTCTTTAATTTGGATTGCATGTTTGCCTAGTTGCTGTTTTAGCTTTTGTGGTATATTTTTAAATCTCTTTTTAAAGTTTCCTAAGTAGTGGGATTATCGACAAATGCCTCGGAGAATCACAGCCTCAGTCATTCTCAGCTGAGAATGCTATATTCAACCTGACGTGAAGCTCCTAACTTTCTCCTTTTCCTTGGTAATGTCTCTCAGATATTTATCTTTCTATTCCCAGAGCTTCCCTAGACTTTTAAAATGGGTCTATCTGCCTCTTCCCATATTCACTGATACCAAATCAATCTGAAACACCATGATTATAATACCTTTCTACTTAAACATCTTCAGTAGATGCTCATCTGAGAGTAAAATCAAGTGATTTAGACTGTTACCAACCCAATGTCAACAGCCTATTGATGTTGCAAATTTATTCAAGTGGAAACAATTTGCAGTTCTCGAAAACTTTCTTTACAACTTGACAACAGGAGTATTTATCGTCTTTGGTGCTTCCCCATAAAATGGCTTCTTTAACCAAAGGTTATGTTTTTAAAATTATCTTCTGCTTTTGAGAAAAGTACGTGTAAATGAGAGCACAGCTTTAGAGAAGCGCATACACCAGGGCAGAGAAGTCATTCTAACTCTGGAGGTGGGCTCTTTTGCGGAGTGACGTGCTCTTTATCCCTTCTGTGGATTGTCAGTCCAGAATTCAGCCTGACCCTGAACTGGCCCGACTCAAACACGAGACCAGCATATGTCGTTACGTATATACTGGCGGCAATGCCCTCCCCACACCTCTGTCATTTTCACCTAGGGAAGCCGGAGTGAGAGTCACTGAAATGTGACTGCTTTCTCCGGTCAAAACCAAGCCTGTTCTGGGCAGGCAAGACAGCAGCAGATGTTGGTTTGGGTTCATTCTGAAGGCCTCCAGATGGGATAAATGTTCAAGTTTCCTCATGAGTGGGCCTTCCTCGGGTCTTCCTCAGGGCCATCCCAGAGCTAGCCTGCTTTTGAGAGCTGCTTCGTGGGTTACACGGGTTTGCTTTCAGACTTGGATCCCAGTAAGAACTCACATGAAGGACTTAATTAACCCATCTTTCTCCCACTTTCACTATAATGTGTATGTGTGTGATGTGTATATATAGTATACGTAGTGTATATACGTGTGTATGTAATATACACACACACCCACCCAGAAACACACACACACATTTTATACAGAGGGAGAATCTTTTCTTCCATCTAACAGAGTTGCGTAGGCTCAAATTTCCTTCCATAGTTTAACGGCCAACAACAACAAAAACAAACAATCCCCTCCATCTTGTCACCGGTTACCGCAAGACTTTTCCCACATTGCTAATTTGTAACAGCCTCGTATCTGTTGTTGAGGTGAAGTGGAACACAACTACTAACCCCGTCATGACTAAACATGTAGGCATAAATCACTCCTTGATCGTCCTTCCTGAGGAGGGACTT
Organism: Homo sapiens; assembly: GCF_000001405.40. Lineage (NCBI taxonomy): Eukaryota > Metazoa > Chordata > Mammalia > Primates > Hominidae > Homo > Homo sapiens. The sequence goes on along the minus strand of NC_000004.12, from coordinate 182,767,305 downwards.
GTGCACAAACAGCGAACCCGGAACGGCGGGCTGATGCGGAATCTTAATGGCAATAATGTGATTTGCAACAGCAACAGCGAAAGATTTTACATGTAAGTCTTCTGAGAAGGAACCTATGGTTTATGTATTTTAACAATTATCATCTCAAAGACAAATCATAATTTGTAGCAAGGTAGTAAGAAATCCTCAAAAATCAGGTTCTGGATAGAAAATGCTTCTATCACCAAGGGAAACAGAGCAGTCGCCTACGCCCACATCATGGCACCACCTGATACTCCCCTGCCTGCTACCTACCTATTATCAAAAATGGCAGGGAAAATGCAAAAGAAGGAAGACAAAAGAAAGTATTATTTTACGTGAGTTTGGTCTTGGTGCTAAGGGGATCCTGATGAGAAAGGGGTGAGAATTGTATGGGGTGGGTGTTGGTAACCCCAATGCGAATGTCTTTGTTGCTGCTGCATTTAATTAGGAGGTCTTGCTGATGGGGCAAATTCTGACCCGTGCTTTGCTCCATAAAACCAGAAAGGGTAGCAGTCTGCAGTCAAGCTGCTATTCTTTTTTTTTTCAAACACCCCCCAGCTAACATGAGTTCAGAGGCATGTAGACAAGGGCAGAGCCTCCCCCACTCCTCTCTGGTCCAGCCCTTTTGAACGCTGAGCATAGTGATAGATGGTCACAGAAATGACATTTTCTTCAAGAATCAAATTCAAAAATAGTGACCCAATGCCTCTTTCCTTTCATAGTCATTACCACATCAGGGAGAACTGACAAAGTGATAATGCCCAGCTCTGAAATTCACAGGCCTTGAGACAAAGCCATCCAAGTCAGGGCATTCCAGAATTAGTTCCCTTAGGGATTCGAAGGATTCTGGGTTAGCCATCATTAAGAGAAGAATCATGTTTAAGACAGTCTGTCTTTTTTTTTTCTTTTTTAAATTGTTTATCGAGTGAGGAAGGCTGACATGGGTAGGATACAGCTTATTTGTTTAGCTATCTGGTCTTGAAATGGAGACCTCCTAGACAGCTGATGGCGAGGAAAATTTTTGCTCCAAAGAATCTGTAAAACAGAACTGTGCATGCCCTCATCCTCCTGGATTTATTCCATGGGTCTGGAAGTGCTCAGAGGACAAACCCCTCCTTCTCTTTTGTTCTCCTTGTATCCTGGTGCCTGTTCAGCCGTACACAGACCCCACACCCTGGCACTGAGCGAGGACAAGGAGGGCTGTGCCAGGCTTCTAGTAAGTGGGAAAGATTTTTAAAAAGTAGGTGGCACATTTGGAAAGAGAAAATTCTATTTATTACTATAAATTGCTATTTCTACCACCAACATAACATATAAGATACTAGTTTGACCGAAATGCAATATGCAATATGCATAACTGTTTTAGCAGAGGAAATTTGGTAACTTTTGTTAAGTGTTATTTCTTTTGGAATACACCTTGACAGGGGCCTATGAGAAGTTGGAAGGAAATGGTAAAAATCACATATTTTCTTGTGAATAGGAAGTGATTTTTAATTACTAAGGAGCCTTTCATGTTACAGGTGAGGACAGGAAAATCCAGACAGGGGCTCTGACTCTCACAGTCATGCAGTTAGGAGTAAGCGACACAATCGCGACCGGAACCCAGGTTTTTAGTTTCATCTCATGAGTGTCAATGACTTGGGAAACGGAGGTGAGTAAGGAGGAAGGGTAAGGAAAAAAAGCCTAAGATGAGAGAATATGGAGACTAAGATGTTACCTACTCACAAGCTTTAAGAGAGAAAATGAACATTGAGCAAAGTGCAAGAAGTAAGGGGAGGCAGAGGAATGGCCACATTTGGGCAGTTAAGGAGCAAAAGGGAGCAAAGAAAGAAGATCAAATACAGAAAGTGATGCAAAATACAAGGGAAGACACAGATTTGAAGATTTCAAAAAATTAGGGATAGAGTATCCAGTAGGAGAAAGTGGATCCTTCAGTATTAACACAGCTGTTGTCTTTTATTATGAAGCCACAGGAAACTCCAGTCTGTAAACTCACATATTTGCACCTTCTTTTTTTCCACTTGTCACCAGATCTTCTATGTTCCCTTTCAATATGATTTTATTCACACTTATAGCTTCGGCTCTCTCAATAGCTCTCGTGTCCACATCTTTGGAATTGTCCTCTAAGTTCCAATCAGACATTTTTTTTTAATCACATGCTAGACTGTGCCATGGTACTCTCAAAGTCATAATTTACGAATCGGAACTCATCTTTTGTTGATCAACCTACAATTCTTCCCCGTATCTCCGTGTCCACTAGTCACCTAAGTTGGGAAAAAGGAAACTCATCCTTGATCCTCTTTTGCCCTTACCTCTTACATTCAGACAGCAAGTTACATTTCATGTCCTAATGACTGACTGACCTCTACTGCCTCCTACCTTTCCTTTCCTAACCTACTTTTCTACCTTAAATCTATCCTTACATTGTCACCAGATTGGCTATGTTGCTGTCCCTGTTAAACTCCTTGAACAGAGTCCCGCCTACCCCGGAGGGAAGATCCACGCAGTCCAGCTCTTCACGTAGCGGTGCAAGCCCTACTTGCGCAGAGGCACCATCTCCCTCCCTGGTTTCATCTTATCTCCCTCCTCCCCACACACATTCGATGCTCCTGTCATTCTGAGCTGTGTGTTCTTTCCAAAGCCTGCCACGTTCTGCTCCTGGGTAAATGCTTTCCTCTGGCCTAGCAGTCTCTTTCTCTCTCTTCTGGGTAGCCTTTATTCACAACTTGCAACACTGATCTTAAAAATTACCTCCCTTGGTAAGTTTTTCTTGCCTCATCCTGTCCCCAGTTCTCAATCGGATTTAGATGATCCTCCTCTGTACCTCCACGGCCTGTCGAACAACTATCTTAGCACTTACCATTCTTATCACTGTTTACTTGTCTTTCTCTCCCAGTGGACTCTGAGCTCCTTGAGAGCAGGGAATGTGTCATCTAGCTCTGCATCCTCCAGCACCTAAGGCCAGTAGCTGGCACATAATAAATTCTTACTGAATGAATGAGCACATGAGTGAATGAATGAATGCCAGGAAATTACGGGCTAAACAGGAAATGCTTGATGATCAAAAAGCACAGAAAACTTCCCACCTTATCAAAACCTAAGAGGTTTGAAATAATTTAATAATTTGTCAATCTGTTTGCCTTTGCAATGTAGCATGGAAAAGACTTTCATTTTCTTTTAGGTGGCATAGCTGCTTTTGGAAACTGTGCTTCCTCAGAGGCTGGTGTTGCCTGGACCAGTCCCATATGGGATTACCTATGCTTGTGGTTAATTGTTTGTGTTAAGGAGAATGGGGTACACTTTAAACATTAAGTTAAAAAACTAGAAATCTTTATTAAATTAGTAAGGGGTGAATGAGCTAATCTTTCATTGGATATGGATACACCGATATGAACATAAAGATAAATTCCTGGGCATAACATTTCTCACTAGCTCTAAATTATAAATAACCACTGCATAAACCCATTCTGACCTTCCTTGAGGGTTTAAAGGTTTGAGGTTTAGTCATCCTGAATATTTTTTGACTTCTCTAGGAATAGTCTGATGCATTTAGACACTCACATTCTGCTCCTCCAGATATAAGGTTCCTGTAACCTTTCTTTTATTACTATAACGCTAACTGACCTAGCTTAAAAACATCATCCTCTATAAATGAGTACTTTCTTCTAATTTTGGCAAGGCTTATGCTTGCCTTTATTAGAACTTGGTTCCATCGTTTCTTTTTTTTTTTGAGACGGAGTCTCACTCTGTCGCCCAGGCTGGCACGATCTGGGCTCACTGCAAGCTCCAACTCCTGGGTTCACGCCATTCTCCTGCCTCAGCCTCCCGAGTAGCTGGGACTACAGATGCCCGCCACCACGCCCAGCTAATTTTTTGTATTTTTAGTAGAGATGGGGTTTCACCGTGTTAGCTAGGATGGTCTCGATCTCCTGACGTCGTGATCCGCCCGCCTCAGCCTCCCAAAGTGTTGTTGGGATTACAGGTGTGAGCCACCGCGCCCGCCCCCATCTTTTCTTGAGTTTGAAACAGAATGACATCTTTCTTCTAGCTGATGCTTGACTTACATTCTTTAAATGCTTAATCAATTAACTACTTTAAAATACACTATAAGTTTTTCAGCCTTTGCTTTTTATACAGTTTTTTATTAAAAAGCCCAGTCATGGGAAAATCTTAAGTTATATCGGACCTACACTCTTAAAATACACTTAAAGAGAACAAAAAGTAGTTTTTAGAGAGCGCTACAAAGGAGTATTTCTTTACATCAATATTTTCTAGAAGTTGTGGGGGGTCTCTCTTGAAGAACCATGGCTTCACCAAACTTTGGGATGAACTTGAAGTCTAGGAAATCTTTTTTGAAGTATATCATCAGTACGTGTGTTTACGAGAAGTGGTAGTGGTGATGATGGGGTAGGGGAGGGCGGTGTAGCTAAGTGAGGAGTTAGGGTGACTTGAAGCATGTAGATGATAGTATCCCCAACCATCCTATCTATCTCCTTCATAGACTGCCTTCCCCAACCCAGAGAGAGCTCCAAAGAGAAGTGCAGTGTCCACACTGGTTCTGCATTTGCAGCCTCAAGATATTCTGACACCACTCTAGGATCCTGAAACATAGGCCAGGGACTTTCTCTGTGCTGAACACCTTCCTGGGAGGCTGAGGAGTTACGGGATCCAGGAGTGAGAGCTGCTGGCATTGCTTTTATTTTATTGTCAGAGGAATGAGCCACAGATGCTGCAAAGTCTCCAGAAAACACTCATTTGTCAATCTTCAGTTCTGTGATTGTAAAACATGAAAAGTTCTCTTGCACTGATCGTCCATGTGTAAACTTATTGCTTTATTATCAATCGTTTTAAATGGCTGGTGTACACAGCTTAGTGTTAGGGTAAATATCTGACAATCACCGTGTAAGGGAAGCTGATGATGCACACAGATATGAGGCCATCAAATCATCTAATCTAGACAGTTGCAGAACGAGTTTAAAGAGGAAACTGGACACTTGTGGAAGCTGCATTTACTCTTGAACCGTTATGGAACAAGTTAGCACATCCGGAATATTGACTTGCCAAATGGAACACCCTGAAAGAGTTAATTCAACCTTGCAACTATCAACACACTCCAGGGACACAGCCGATGAACTGAGAAAATCTGACTAATCTGTTTTTATTTTTTGTGCAATTTTTTGAGTAATCTGAACAACATACTCTTTCCCCAGTTCCTTTTCTCCTTTGAAACCTGGGCAGAACTAATGATTTTTAAAAACTAGACTGCAGAAGGTAATTGGAATAGATCAAGTATTAATAAAAGTATTGCCTTCATAGTGTTCAGGTTAATGCTTGAAATGTACAGCAGTCACTTTAGAAACTTGCCTATGCATTTTTTTATTGATGTCCCTGGAAATACACGTTTTGGTTAATAATTTAAAGCAAAAATTATTAAGCAATTAAACAAAACATCAAAAATAGAAATAAACTATTTGATTCTACTAAATCAAATATTTAAAATTCTATCAAAAATAGAATTTTCCCATGATTTTAAGTGATCTGCTGATAAACTCTCTTGCAAATCATTCTTAAACTCCTAAATGTTTTCTTTCATGAAGAAAGAAAAAGGAAAAGGAAAATAAAGCAGGTGGCTGAGCACCATTTTAAGATATATATGTGTGTGTGTATAAGTGTGTGTGTGTGTATACATATATACTTATAAAGTGGGCTGCTCAGTTTTTAATGCAGTTTTTGGCAGAAATAACAATGATGCAAGGTTCAGTGTTTCAGTTTTTAGGGTTGGATGGCAGATGCTTATCAAAGGAAAGGATATCCTCTCAGTTTTGTCCTGTGGAAGACACCTCTCTAATTCTTCTTCTTTTTTTTGGGATGGAGCCTCACTCTTTTCACCCAGGCTGGAGTGCAGTGGCGTGATCTTGGCTCACTGCAACATCTGCCTCCCGGGTTCAAGCGATTCTCCTGCCTCAGCCTCCCGAGTAGCTGGGATTATAGGTGAGTGCCACCACGCCCGGCTAATTTTTGTATTTCTAGTAGAGACAGGGTTTCACCATGTTGGCCAGGCTGGTCTTGAACTCCTGACCTCATGTGATCCGCCCACCTCAGCCTCCCAAAGTGCTGGGATTACAGATGTGAGCCGCCGTGCCCAGCCGATAACCTCTATAATTCTTCTAACATTAGAAGCGATTGCAGTGGTCACTTTTGTAAGGAGAACACAGCATGGCACTGCAGCCAGGCTGTTTAAATAATAGGAGTCAGTGTCAACAAGAATGGGCATAACTTTTCTAATTAATGATATCTTTTCTAATTAATGAATAATTATCATTGCGTTTTCCTGCATTATTTGTGCTTTTGGTATACAGTTTTGAACTTGAAATAGGCTTAGGCGTAGCACATGCGCTGTTCACATTGCCTGTCTTTCCTCTTCGGGGATCCCTTCTCTGAGGCACTCCTACAGCATGAGAACTGATGTCAGTGGGAGTCGTGGGTTTGCCATGGGCACTGAGTTAAGTTCATTATAAAGAAATGGTTCAGAAGCTCATTCTGAAATTGAAAAGCTTGAATGAGGGACAATAAACCACCCAAATGAGAAGCCGGAGACCCATATATACCTACATAATGTGTAAAAGCTGAAACTCATTTATTTGCTCTGTGAATCTGAATATAGCTCACAAAAGATCACAGAGTCAGCTCCACAAATACAGAGCTCCAAATATTCAAAGTCCCAAGATTTAAAAAAATGTCGCTAACCTGCTGGTGTGCATGTACATATTGGCCAGAATTCATAGTTTTTCATGTTGTCTTCTTTAACCAGACAGAAGAGCCTCTAGATATGCCCAAACGGTTTGTATTTGATGTGGGTAAGCAAGCAGAGAACTGTGAAATGCCATTTACTATTAAATAACGTATTCTGTTCCCCAATTCAATACACTGGATTTCACTTCTTTGTGCATTCGAGTGTAAGAACCGCGGTTTCTTTTCAGGCATAAACTTTTTAAATAATAAATATTTAGCAGGTGAGATCTTTTTGGTTTCCTTGGAATTACTCTGGCTAAGGAATGATCGCGTGTGGCCACTGTTTTTAAGTGGTGTGAAGAGCAGCATGAAGCGGTCCCTAATACTCACTGAAGACACAGTGTCTTCATACAAGGGGACCCTGTTAGCTAGTTGGGGTCCTTTCTACAGCCCAGCAAGTCAATGGAAGAGGAGGTCAGAGCCAAGATGGTTTACTCAGTCCGTAATGAATAATTATTTAGCTCGTGAAACATATTAGTCTAACTCAGTGATTTCAAAGCTGAGTTATAAACCATCTGATACCTAATGTAGTCTTCCCACCATACCATCCAGTAGCATGTCTAAATATATTGGCCACTTCTCTAATGAATCACAATAGGGACATAATAATTACAAGTAACATGGAGAGAAACTGCCGCCAAGAAGCAGATGATATCTCTAGTTTTCGAAATGACAGTTACCATGCTAAAGAAACCCCATCTGTGTACCCCGAAGAATCACCCTACTTACTTTATTGGTGATTGATAAAAACCTTATTGGGAATCAGGCTTTCTTCTCCTAGAATTCTTCCTGATACCAGATACAATAATATCCTTTAACTGTATTTGCATGGGAAAAGTTTTCTGTGTTTAACACCAACATTTCAGAAGAAAGTGCTATCAATAGGAAGTTATTATTTTGTTTAATTATTGGAATAAGAAGATCAACTGAGGAAGTCCTTATTTTATAAAGCAAAATACAGTGAGCAAACATGCAATATTGGGTAAATATTTTTAAAAATCAGTAACAAAAATGGGCAACGTTAACATTTTCAACATTCAGTATTGGTACGGAGGTGTGAACTAACTTAGAACGCAAAAGAGCATTTATAGGTGTTCTCTCAGTGGAGCGTTGGCAAATGCCAGCTTCTGGTTTTACCAGACTCTTCTCTGCAAATAAACACTGACCTGTCTACATCTCTGATTTATTTTTCTATTTCTTCATTCAACAAATAGCTGTTGGGAGAGTTCTATACCCACAGCAACATTCCAGGAGTGGTGGGAGCCACAAAGATAATGGGAGTTTGCATTTTATGAAATACTTTTACATTTCATTTTGTACTTATACCAATACTGTGACATGTTAATGGTACACTCAAGTTTGTACCAAGAAAAACATGTAAGGTAAGTAATTGCAACTAATTCTCTTTTAAAATTTCTTTGGAAGGAACTATGACAAGTGTATTTTTATCAGTAGGCAAATTTATTGATTCCAGATCTTCTTCCATCTGTTTCTATCCTACAAAAGCTTTAATCTCAAGGCTTTTTAGACACCAGGATAGTCAGAAAGCTGGCCATACACAAATGGGAATTTGAGCTGAAAAGTTTAACTTTTCTGTGCGAGGTATTTGTGCAGGAAGATGATTATAGAGCCTGTTATCAGAGCTCAAGGGACTGGTGTCATGGAAGTCACAGAAAGCAGGTGTTTTTCAGTGGGGGATGGCAATTTTTTTTCACAATCTCGTTGTGGTTTTGGTGACACTCTGGCCATTGTCAAACCTGTCAAATCCCTTCTTTGTGAACTTACAGGCTGCCCTTTGTAAGGTCTAAAGTAGACACATAGACACATGGTACTCTAAAAATGAAGGGAAATATTACAGACACGTACTAATATTCTGGGAGTCGGCCAGTTCACCAATAACTACAAAAACAAAGGCATTCCGACGGGGATTCAGAAGCCCCCCGCTGCCTCTATTAGGATGCTCACATCCCGCCGCACACCCAGGTCGGGAGACAAGCAGCAGAAACTCTGTTGTCAAGGCTCTGATGAGTAGCGACAGGGGTTGAGTTTGCCCATTAACCATCTCAAACTTACACAGACAATACGTGCTGCTGTGTCTGAACACAGACAGTGCTTCTGGAGGGGCGGCCTGATAATGACACCTCCCCCCACCCTTTTCTTTTTGTGCATTTCCTTTTGAATGTGTTTTAAAGTTTCTGACCCTTAGAAGAGGCGGCCTTTGCTCTTTCACAGCCAAATTACAAGAATGTATGGGAAGAAAAAAAATGATCATTTGTCATTCTGACACGATGATTCTGAATTCCTTGGGTTAAGTGCTCTTCTTTAACACATTATTTTGCAAAATGCATAAAGGTTTCTTAGACATTTTTTAGTCGTCTTTGCTGTAGCCAGCTTATGAGGAAAATTAACAAAACGCTGGTTTTTAAAAGCAGTCTTTCTGCTAATTTTATTAGAAAAGTCATTTTTAAACACTGGTTTGTTAAACTATGATATTCTTTTATATATATGGATATATATAAAATTGTGAGGGTGATATTTTGTAAGATATTTTAATAATGCTTTTTGGAATAGTGTAGTTGCCCTTACAGCAATTTATCTAGTTATAAGATTTAATAGATATACTTTAAATATGACATGTAATAAGTATTGGTGAAAATGTGATTTTGCTGTATTTTAATTAATTAAAATCTTTCATTCTTTAAAATAATGTTTTCCCATTATATACAAGATTGGCTTGCCAACCCAACCTCTACTTCAGCCAGTCTGCCGATTCCTAAGTCTGAAATTCTTGGAGGTTATTTGTTACTAGAGAAATATATCTTCTTTTTTGCACTATCATTTCTTTAAAAGGTAAAAAATCCAAATTGGTTTATACTATCCCACATCAGCTCCACCAGTGAAATTTCTCTAATTTTCCAAACTTGATTAAAATGCATTTGTAGGCCATAAGCAAACCACTGTATCTGCTGTAGGAAGTTCAAGTGTCAGCACTAATCCATACAATGAACTCCTGGGAACGAGTAAGGACATATTCAAAAATGGCCCGGAGAGCAGGGCTTGAGTACCAGACTATACTAAAAACTTATTTCTCTATGTTTCCCCCACTTTCAACTAAACTGAAACCCTACCAATGCCGCCACCATCTCCTGAAGATCTTTTTTTTTTTTTTTTTTTTTTTTTTGAGACGGAGTCTCACTCTGTCACCCAGGCTGGAGTGCAGTGGCACCATCTCAGCTCACTGCAACCTCCACCTCCCGGGTTCATGCCATTCTTCTGCCTCAGCCTCCCAACTAGCTGGCACTATAGGCACCTGCCACCACGCCTGGCGAATTTTTTGTATTTTTAGTAGAGACAGGGTTTCACCGTGTTAGCCAGGATGGTCTTGATCTCCTGACCTCGTGATCCGCCTGCCTCGGCCTCCCAAAGTGCTGGGATTACAGGTGTGAGCCACCGCGCCCGGCCTCCTGAAGATCTTAGAATCAGAGCAGCTCTCCTGCCCAGTCTCATCTGATGGCAGCACTTTTCTTGTGCTCTTTTTTGCTTCGTTGGCAATCTAGCCTGCGATCACTTTGAAAACAGTGCAAAGGAAGTGCTTTCCATTAACTTCCAATTTATTCCTTTCCTATTGCGATACTAAAATGAGCAAAAGGAATGCTAAGAACAGAATTTTAATGTAATTCAATTGAAAAGGTTTGTTCCTCTGACAAAATCATGCTGCTGGCTAACATTCATTTTATTAAAAGGGAATCTGTCAAAAAAGAAAAGCAATTCAAGCTACAGGAGAACTAAGCTTTATGTATAAGACACATTCCAGAAAAGCTATACAGAAAATATTTGTATATTGAGTCATTTTTTCTACTGACTTTTATGATAATTTCAGAGGTGTGCTCCTACAGAAAGAAGTACCTTTGCTTCACCGTATCATTGTGAAAACCACACTAAGGAACTCAGGATTCATTTCAAAGACTATTTTGCGTTTGTCAACATGCCATCTCTGCATATCTCATTTCCCCTCATGGCTTGTACAACCGAGTCAAGTGAACAAGCAATTGAGAATGCATTTATACATGCCCTAACATACTCAACAGCTGATTCTCCTTTCATTCTCAGTGACTCCCAAGATGTGACTGTTCAGACAGCACAGTGCCCGGGCCACCACTCCATGCTATCTCTTGGAACACCCTGGCTGAATGAGCCTCCTACCTCTTCACATGCTTTCAGGCAACAAACTGCAATTCCTGACTTGCATTTAGTTGTAAGGTTCTTTGAGGCACAGTGTAGCTTCTCTGGTAACGATTACAAAAACTTAAGCCCTTCTACGTAATCAGCAAAGTTCACTGTAAATGTTTTTGAAGTTTTTCTTCAATGCAAGTTCCTGAGACAGTCAGCTTTATCAGGTGGGCAAACCTAGAGCCAAAGGCTTTATGCCCCAAACCACAGCTGCGGGATGCTTCTCAGAAGGTTTGCTAAGATGCTAGGTCTATTGGAAGCAAGATGTTAATCCTTAAGTACAGGTAAATTTACCATGAAGCCAACTGAAACTTAAGCTTTGGGCTTCTCCCTTACACGAGTCCCTTCCCTTTCCAAGGCCCTACATCTTGTATCTTGCAATTTTGTCTTCTTTCTCAGAAAGAGGTATCTTTTTTTTTTTGAGGCGGAGTCTCGCTCTGTCGCCCAGAGACTGGAGTGCAGTGGCGCGATCTCGGCTCACTGCAAGCTGCGCCTCCCGGGTTCACGCCATTCTCCTGCCTCAGCCTCCCGAGTAGCTGGGACTACAGGCGCCCGCCACCACGCCCGGCTATTTTTTTTGTATTTTTAGTAGAGACGGGGGTTTCACCGTGTTATCCAGGATGGTCTCGATCTTCTGACCTCGTGATCCGCCCGCCTCGGCCTCCCAAAGTGCTGGGATTACAGGCGTGAGCCACTGCGCCCGGCCATTTTTTTTTCTTTAGAGATACGTTCTGGCTCTGTCACTCAGCCTGGAGTGCAGTGGCACAATCATAGCTCACTGTGGCCTCGAAGTCCTGGGCTCAAGCAATCCTCCCGTCTCAGCCTCCCCAGGAGCTGAGACTACGGGAATGAGCCACCGTGCCCAGCCGGGATCCAAAAATTACAGAAGCTCTAGACTCTCAAAAACATGGAATCCTCCAGCTCTTAAGATTATATTGTTATTATAGATGATATTATTATATCACAGTATTTTATAATCAGAGTAGAATTTTCATATACTTACTCAAAAAACGTTGTCCATCCAGTTTCATCACTTTTAGTGGCTAAAAGGCCACTATTGCCATGGTAAGTAAACAAAACTAATTCCAGTCCTTGAGCAGTCATGCTTTTCAAACATCCATTTGTTCCTATTGTCAACCATATCACTTGGTTATCAGGAGACACCACTCGAACTGGCATGCGATTTGGGTCCCGTCTAATTCTAAGGGTGTTGCCATTGCTGTCTGTCACAGCAGTAATATCATTGTCATTGCTGTAGCTAAAATTGTAAAGGTAATCACCAGTGACTAAACTTACAGTATATTGGTGAGTACCATTGATGTCAAAGATGTAGAGTTCTTGATCAGTTGGAGACGCAACTTCATAGAAGTTCATAGAGTTAAGTAAAGGCTTATTCTTTGACACAGCCCGGATCCGGATATTCCCTAGATCTGCAATATACAGTGTACCATCTGGAGAAGCAGCCAGGGAGGATGGGGCACTGAGTTTGGCATCCTTGGCGTAGCCATCTCCACTCTGGTAACAGTCACAGTTGGCATCATTTTTGCAGTCACACTCTGAAGGTATTCCGGCCACTAAGGAGATTTCTCCATCTGTTGTGACCTGCCTTATCCGGTTAATTTTCTTCTCATCAGTTTCAGTAATGTACAGGACCCCACTGTAGGACACAGCAATGGCAGTGGCTGATTCCAGTGTTGTCTGCACCGCGTGCTTCCCCACAGGATATTCCACTCCGGGAACCTGACAGTGCATGGGCCGTCCAGCAGCAATGCGAACTTGACGATTTTCAGTGATCTGTAAAACTACATTATTATCCAGGACATAAATGGAGTTATCCATAGGGTTAATGGCTAGGTCAGTGGGCCATTCCAGACGTACCTTAATAAAAAAAGAAATGGCCTGGTTAGTAAGTTACTGCACTACAGTTAATTCGCCAGAAGAGTAAATTAGACCATTCAGGGAAATTGGCATTAATCTGAGATAAACTGTCTGATAATAGTTTTTTCAATAGCCTCAGTAAAATAAACCAAAAAGTAATGAATGAAGATAGATACAGGAAATAACACTTTATTTTAAAATTCAGCTCACAGAAAGATTTGCTAGTTACAGGCAAATAGCAAATAGGCCTCTACGTAGTGAGTCAACAGATATCGATGAGCTATGAACACACATGTTCCTTATGGCAGCAATAACCACCAAATGTTGGGGCTTTCTAGGTTATGAATAGATTAGTATTCTATTGTGTTTTCAATCAGGCCAACAGTAAAGTTTCTATTTCTAAATATAAGTCCCTTGGCACTAATCATAGTGGGTTCTCTCTACTACTTAAGGAGCTCATGCAATCAAAAGATTAGAGATTTCAGTTGTTTGGTTCTTTTTAGAATACCTGCATGCTCCTACTTTACTGGTATTTTATTACAAATGCTTAGCATTTCTTAGTGATAATTGTTCTGTATCTCACTGAATTCATCAAATGTAGAATTATAGAAGAAAATAACTTTTTATTAGCTCCTGTGATACATGTAAATGGAACTGCCCTATCAGAACCACTGCAACACATGATATATGCAGTTTAATATGGTGCCATCATAGTCTACCGACTGAATAAGTCAAGTCACCTAGAGGAAAAACAAACAAGTCCGCTTAGTATTTAACTACCTGGCTGATGTGCATGCTGGTGTCACAAGTTAAAGGTCTGGCTGAAGTCAAATCGTTAGAGCCCAGAAGAGTTGATATGATTCCATTTTGGTCAACTTTCCTAATCATGGTTCCATCAACAAAGTAGATTAATCCATTCTTATCAACTGCCATTCCTGTATTTGAGAGAAGCAAGTATTACTAATTTTTCAAAAATGGTTACTTTTGATTAACTATTAGGCCCATTATTAAACTCAGTTATTTAACCCCAGTGACAACACGGGTGACAGGTAGCAGGTAGGACTGCAGATTGCAAACACGTTAGAAAAAACCAACACAGGCATTTATAATACAAATAAATTAAAAATTCAGTAAGGAGGCAGGGCATGGTGGCTCACGCCTGCAATCCTAGCACTTTGCGAGGCCGAGGCAGGCGGACTGCCTGAGCTCAGGAGTTCGAGACCAGCCTGGGCAACACGGTGAAACCCTGTCTCTACTAAAAAACACACAAAAAAACTGGGTGTGGCAGTGTGAGCCTGTAGTCCCAGCTATTCGGGAGGCTGAGGCAGAAGAATGGCTTGAACCCGGGAGGCGGAGGTTGCAGTGAGCCGAGATCGCACCATTGCTCTCCAGCCTGGGCGACAGAGTGAGACTCCGTCTCAAAAAAAAAAAAAAAAAAAAAATTCAGTAAGGAAATAATCCAATTTTGTCAGAATCTCCTGTGAGTATATGTATCACACAGGTAATACCTGAATGTTTCAAATATAAATTACAATGATTATATAATGTTGTGGTCTATAAATTACAGAACCAGTTTCAAATTCCATTCCAGCTCCCTTACAGTAACCATATCCTTCTAACAAAAATAGATCTAAGCCAAGGTTAGTGTTTTGTTGACCCCGTTACAATGAAATTTTCTATTATGAATAATTCAGTACAGATACTTTTTTCCAGTCCTTGTTCACATAATAGTCAGCAGCTACCATGAAAAAAATAAAGGCCCCAAACCAAAAACATTGTATTCAGTGCCATAATACATGAGCAGGGAATCATTCCTGCCTGGTTTAAAAGCCTTTATCACGTAGAATTTTTTTAGCCCTGTTACCTCCCAAAATTCCTCTCAGCAAGGATTTTTTCCCATGGCATAGAAACAAAAGTTTCACAGCTCTCCAAAGAGGGTGAGGGCTCACAGGGTTGCTTAGTGATGGGTTTTAAAGAAGCCTGGGACTCATTCATGACAAAGAAATTCCAGGACTATGAAAGAATTTGGATACTTCCTTGAAGTTGAACAGGATGTGGCCTGAATTATATAGAGTAGTTAGTTGCTTCATTCTTTGAAGAGCTGATAAAATGGTATGATAATAAAAAATGCCAAGAACCTAGTATTTACTGTAAAACCAAGTTAGGATGCTAGCAGTTTCATGCTACATGGCTTTTAAAAACCCTAGATGTGAAACAGCTTTCCAGAACACTGTCAAAGGTAAAAAGTTAGACTCAGCATTAAACATGACTAGGCACTAAATGGATTTTCAACCCCTTTTTTTTTTTTTTTAATAAATAAAAAGAAATCCTCAAATCGCCAACTGCCGGTACCTTTGGGACTCATGAGTGTGGCTTCCACGGCCTTCCCTCCATCCCCACATCTCGCCTCGTCAAACGGAAGGCATTGCTCCCCTGTCCCTGCGACGACTTCTGCATTTTTAGTCAAGTCTTTTGCCCCCGTAAGTGACTTTGGGCGATAAATTCTGCGGGTGTTTGTGTCAGAAACGTACAGATCTCCCGTGACTGGATCCGTTGCAAGGTAGTATCTATGAGCTGGGTTGCTGCTGTGAAAAGGATCATAGATAAACATCAAAGGGAGTTACTCCTAATACACAGAGGGAAATTAAAAGCAAAATAAAACAGATCATGAGAAACTGATTATAGTCTGGAATCCATGATCAAAGATTAGACATGAATAGTACTGTCTATTTAATAATGACTCAAAAGAATGTGCTCACAGGTAGCATTTCTCTGATATTACTGTTTGCCTTCCTTGCCTGACGCTGAGGATTCAACAATTTACTAACAGTCATCTTAAAAAATATTACCTTTAAAAGGCAGTATGTGTCTACCCTAAAACAAAGAAGCAAATTGTCTAAATCTTTTGTGCTCAATGCAAAGCCATTAAAAAACTGCCCCTGAATGAGGGACATAAAGTTTATTCCAGGGGAAGCATGTCTCCATCAAATTCTCCAGTGAAGTACAATATACTACTGATTCCGCTCATACCTCACCATAGGGTATTATCCTTTCAAACTAAAAACCCTCCCCCTGAAGAAATGTACCACTGTATCTGTCTTGGTTGCTCTATCATAATCCAGAAAAGTGCCAGTGTCTGTCCTATGGGGTTAAATATTAAAATGAGGTCATTCAAGTCTACGGGGGAGTCTTAGTTGGTGGCCTGTGGCAGTGAGCTAGGATGCTGGATCCTTCAGTTTTCTTTCCAAAGTTTGTATACTGAGCTGCTCTGAAACCTGTCTATGAATGTAGTGACATACAAAATGTAGTGCCTCAGTTTTATAAATATAAAGAAATGCAAATGTAAAACATTTTATGTCCCATTACTTGTAAAAAATGGTAAGCCCAACACTGTTAAGGAGGGGACAAATTATGACGTATCATTGGAATTAAAAAGTTAATATCCTTACAGACACTCAATGCCACATTCTTAAAATTAATGTAATCTTGTACATGTGCAAAGATTGTCTTCTGAACAAAAACCTGAAAAATAATTTAAATGATTTGGTGTCCCAACCAAGACGTCAACATGATGGGAATCTATCAAACTCCATGTATCTTTTGATGACGAACTTAGTTATATTAATTAATTCTCATTCCCTCTCTTCCTCTCCCTCTTTCCACATACAGCCACGAACACACACACACACACAGTTACATGCTTGTTTCCATTTATTTTATTTGTGAACATCTAAAATATTTATAATAAATCTACCTATATGAATATTTTTATTCTAATAGTGATGCAGTAGTCTCCTCATTACCAATGAGGTTAGGTTCTAATAAAACAATTTTCACTACTTGATGATTTTCCGTCTAAGTGCTGAATAGCTGTACTTTATCATTCCTGTAAGAGATTCTATTCTTAAAATTGTTTAAGTGTTTCTCATGTTGTTAGAGGAGGCCAGCAGATCACACATGGAGTCTGTAGAGGCCTTGTGGAGCTCTGAAGAGCTCTTAGGCTGTGATGTTAGTATACAGAGAAATACAAAGACATACAAAGGCTTGAGCTTTGTATGTCCTTCAGCTTTGGGATCTCCTTTCCAGCCTTTGAGTGACAAAAGACAGACTAGGGCAAGACATCTTAGAGTGTGTAAATGTGTGTGAAATGGTAAAAAGTAAGATGAACTCAGAAAGATGCAAGTCATTGTGCAAGAAAAACATTTCAGAACAACTGGGTTATGCCAAGTGATCAACTTGCTGTGCTAAGTGTTATGATATCATTTTCCTAAGCTGATGCCTACAATCTTAATGCAGCAACACATATTGCATCCCTTAATGTGGCAGCTTATTACTTTGTAAGAAGTGAAGAGTTACAAATCAATATAACATTCAGAGCAATTTTAGAGGTTTTTTTTTTTTCCTTTCTATAAACAGTCTAATGTTGACACAGCTGGTCTTTCAGGTATATATAATTGGTGACAGAGTTGCAACTCCACCAAGCTGAGTCTACTTTGAAAGACATGACATTGGAGAGGCCCCTCTAGTCTTTCCTACCTCCCTGATTATACAGTTAACTGTGACTAGCTGTGTACATGGTATGCATACACTCATGTGTATACATAACACACATACTTTTTTTTCTTCTCAGTTGTACATCTTTTGAGTATGAACTCTGTACCCGATTGCCTGGGTTTAAGTCCTAACTTCATTACTAACACTAAATGTATGATCTGGGCATGCTGCCTAACTTATCTGTGCCTCAGGTTCCTTACCTGTAAAGGTGGTGATAATAATACATATTTCACAGGATGCTGGGAGGATTACACGAACTATATATGTAAGATCCTTAGAACAGGGCCTAGCGCATACTACATACTCACTAAGAATTAACCGTCCTTATACTCGCTTTTGTCCTGTCTCTTCCTACAGTGCAATGTCTTTTGCCTTATAACCTTAGAAAGTGCAGGAATACAATAATTAACTAAAGTATGAGTTGTTTCTGAAAATATTAAAAGAAAAAAACTGATTAGGTTTAAACTTGGTTTAGGTTTAGGTTTGTTAAACCTAAACTTGGTTAGGTTTAAATTTGTTTTTTTACTTCTGCTGTTATAACAGCAGTTTATAATATCCTAAACTATTAAAATAATGAAGACTCAATATACCCACTTTAAATTGTTTAGAGAGTAATGATGAACAATGATGATTCATTCATGGTAAATGAATCATGCACACTTCCTCAGGATGCCCTCATTTTGAGAAAAAACAAACAAACAGATTATTGAGGTGGCAGCTTCAGTGGTGGTGGCATCCTCTTTAGCTATGGGACGTGAGTTTTCTTGGTGCAAAAACGAATGGACATTCAAGTGATAAGCTTTGCCTTTATTGTCATCAGTTTTATCCTAGTGGGGAAGTAAAGAGAGAATGCCCAAAGTGGTGCTTATATTTGCTTATTTCCTGTCCTGAAGCATCTCCTTCCTAGAAGACATAGAAATTTCTCCATCAAGCAACAAATGTCAATGGCTTTAAAAATGTCTGATAAATGAAAGCTGTACTTTTGGACACAACTCTATTGTCCAGAAGAACAAATGTGGGGGAGTCTACGTGGCCCTAGAGAAGAGAATTAGCCTCTGGAAATATTCCCACAGGATGGTAGGAAATGAGAACTTGACAAATTCCCAGCAGCGCAGGCTAGGATGGCAAATTAGAGCTGGTTGTTAGATGCTGGTCTCTCCTAAATGAAAAGAGGGATCAGCATGGAAGTACTAAAAGGAAAAAAAGTGAGTCTGGATATTTCTAGTTGACAGACTGGTGGCAGTGAAGCTCTGAATCATATGCCATAGGACTGGGATTCAAGGTCACCTAATTTGAGCATAGAGAGTTGACAGTGTGAGCTCGTGCTTGCTTTCCAACTTTCTGAAAAGCCAAAGCACTGAAGAGGCGGGTGTGTGGGTACAACGAGTGGTGAATTTTTAGGTCAGTAATCTATCTACTGTGAAAACGTGAGGCTACCACGACGGAACCGGCTGCAGCCAGCAGCTGGAGCACAGGGATTTTCAAAATGCTTGGTTTTGGGAAATCTCTGCTGAGCGGAAGCACAGCAGCATTCTCATGTGATTGGTTGAGATTTCACTATTTCAGAAAGGTTTGAAATATTACAATTTTGACTAATAGCAAAACCAAGGAAACTGAGATCAAGTTAAGAACCTTTAGTATATTACACCTTGATTCTTAACTCATCCTGAATTGCCTAGATCATCACAATTATCAAGACATCTTCTCTAGTCTCATTCAATTAGACACAGATCCAGTGGTAAGTGCAGGCTGGATTTGCTCATTTATTTTGTCATAATTCAACCTTCTTAGACTAGAGAAATATTCACAAAGAACAAGCCAGAGAACAGATATTATTAGCACTTCTATCTTCTGAGTTGGAAACTGTGTCACAGCCTTTAGAACACAAGACATTTGAAGAAGCATAACAAACTATATTCACATATAAAAGTAAAACAGCTTCTTTTATGGTAACCAAAAGACTGTTTAGAATATTGCAAGCAGGGACTTGGGGTGTGATATTTCCATGCCTGCTTGATTTTTAAATATTAAGTCAATAAGGGGTACTGAATAAAATTTTTATAATTTGGTATCTACACTTTAATGGATTCAAATTCACAGACTTATGATTGACACTTTCTTTGATCCTTTAATTGGTAATATAAAATTCACAAAGTTGATTTTTAGTTCTACATGTTTAAGTGCCCTTTGGCTGGTATTAGTTAATTAATGTAATTTTTAAATTTTGCAATGTGTGAGAATTGGAACAAGGATGAGGTAAAACTTACTACATATTAAAGGGGTTCCTTAGCAAACTAATACTATAAACATCAGAGAAGGAAATGTTTGGTACATCTAAAAGAAAGACATTTTTAAAGAATTGTAGCAGCTTCTATGTATGTAAAAAGTTTAATATGTTGATCAGTAACATTTATACCTATTCACTAAAGTATAGCTAAGAATTTTTATTTCAGGTAATATCCTGGTGGTGCTTATTAGTTTGATATAACAGAACACTCTCTGAATTTTAAAATAAGACAATGTGTTTTTATACTAATTTTTATTCAATATTTTTATTATTCCCCCATTAGTCCAACTAACGAGACTGTTTACAGTATATGAAATATAGAAGAGGATAAAAAGTTTGCATTTTTATATTTTAATCATTAACAACTGGCAATACCATTCCTTTTGTAGATTTAGACACACTTTTCCATTTCTTTTTCTTCCTATGACCTGTTCCTAAGCCTCTCATGACTCATGCTGCCCAAGAAAGCGAGGATAAGGAGCACGCCAGGAAGGATCTTATTAACCAGGAAAGGGAAGGTAACGATAGGCAGGTACACAGGAAGAAGCATCTGAAAAGAACTTTAATTTTTTAAGCTAAAAGAAGAAGTTCCAATGAACTAAAATATGTTGACTTTGCTAGGTCAATTTTATTACTTACTAAGCAAATGGAATCCCTATTTTATCAATGACATGATCATGTTTGATGATTTGGGCTCAAAGACCTTACACATTCTCTACATCTTCCTCTTTCTTATCACTTAGACAAATACTCTCCATTCTCTCCTTCCGTTTATTTTATCGTTTGGCTTTCTTCACTGCTAACCATCCTGTTTTAGGTATCTAGCATCTCAAGCTGCAACAGCTTTCTAATTGATCTGATGTTCAATCATTTTGAACTCTGACACCAAATTACTCTTCCTAAAAGGCCACTTTGAGTGTGCCACTTGTTCAGGATCCTAAAATGGGTCCCCACTGTCTCAGGTATCCTATAGGAGAGAATAATTCCTTAGAGCCCTCAAGGCCCCAAGCAATCTGACCCTCCCCTGCCTTTCTGCCTGTATCTCTCGTGATTACCACCATGAACCCCCTGTTCCATTCAGGTGGGTCTGATTACTCTCAGAACATGTCTTGCTCAGCTCTCCCCCAGTCTCCAGTAACTTTACTTGCTTTCTCTATTTCTTCATGACTGCCCTCTTTTCTTCTTGCTGTTCTATTTAAGCAGACTTCATTTTTAGACCTAGCTCAAATATCAGCCCTTCCAGAAAACGTTTCCTTACCGTAGTGCCATCTCCCAGTAATCTCTTCCTTTACAGAACTATTCTCACATTTGAAACCACGGACCACGGGTATGATTAAGTGTCAAAGAATGATACTGATAATGTTATTTAAGGTGTCACATATATACCTTGTCTCCTCTGCTAGATTGTGAGTTCTGAGAGGAGGTATTTTGTCTTATATTATTATTTTTCAAAGTGCCTAACACACGGTAAGTGATCAGTTAACGCTGATTGATTTCATGTAATTAAATATCCATATAAAACCCAAAAAGTGTACTCTTCATGCATGGCACATAAAGGAAATGCAGAAGCACAAATGTAGTTAGGATGATGGACAGAGGAGAAGGATTATGGAGGATCATGAGAGAGGGATTACAATAGTATCACTGCCAAACACCAGGAGTTAGTACAAAATGAATTTCTACTGTTAATAAAGACGTAACTCTAACCTCATAGATTTTTTTTTTTCCAGAGGGAGAGATTATGGCTTTAAATAACAGGTAAAATGATTGTGAAATAAGTCTTGCTTTTTGCATACCCAGGGAATGAGCCCCTAGAATCTTGGCCACTGGGACACAGAAAAACCGGCTGTGTGGTGCCGTGGAAAGAACATATTTTTAGAGTGGTTTAACTGTCTGCTACCCATTTCTTAGATATGTATTTTGGGGAAGATACATAATCTCCTGGAGCCTCTACTACGTCACTTATAACCCTGAGGGGTTGCTGTGTGGATCTGCAATAACAGATATAAAATATCTGGCACCATGCCCGGCATGGAATAGGCCCGCTTGTTAAAAGGTAGCTGCTTTGATAGTTTTTTCTGTATTGCCTCCAGCATTTTCACATTTACTTGGTGTGCAACCTGTCTGTCTTTCCTCTTTTCTCCACAGCTACCAAGAAAACAAGACCAGCAAGTTTTTGAAATTCTATTGTGGTTTCTAATAGCAGAGCTTTGCACGCTCAGTATCCTGGGGAGATGAAGTGTTGATTTTAGCATGTGACTGAGCTATTAGCTGCAAGTTTAAGATCAATAGGGGATCTCAGGAAAAGATCATGGGGCCAGGTTTGGTCACCCTGATATGCGACAGCTATCCATCTTTCAGTAGAACTTTGGTTTTTGTTTGCTAGTTTGGTTTTTGTTTGCTAATCACTACACAACAGTTTAAATGGGTTATGTTGACTTATTCATCTAAAAGACCTCACATAAAATATTATTAATATTTCTATCTGATATCATTTCATTAGATATTTTAATGACCAAACTAGATCTAGCATGTCTAACCTGTCTAGCTTTTTGCCAGCTTTACTTTAAAACATTGGTTTCCTCCGCCTTTTTTTTTCTATCCCGAGCAAAGTTTTTCAATCAAATGTGTCCATACAAGTCTTTATTGTATCTTCTGCAGCTACGTGTACACAGAAAGCAGACATGAAACACTTCTGAGTCTATATATTTGCTTCAACTATATTCGTCCTTCACTTTGAAGAAAGTCATTTCCTCCATAATAATGGCAATGAAAACATTACTTCTTAAATCTAGTAATTCTCCCAACTTAGGAAAATATAAACTATAGGCAAAGAGGAATTTACGGGAAGCTAATAATTAAGCTTCAGTTTTGGGGCCTCTCACTCTGCCAAGCCACATGTTCACATAATCGTATGTTTTAAAAAATTTGCCAAGGTAAAATATTTCTAGATTCTTTTTCTTAAACAGTCTCCAATAAAACCCAACCTGTCAGGGGTTTTCTTGGAACCAGGCAGGCCTTCTCAAACCTCCTTACTGTGCTTCAGGTTTCATGCTGTTCAACATGGCTTAGATTGTGTCGGTCAGTAACTAATGCTTGGAAATAATTTTGTTATAGAGAGATATTCCTTATACTTTTTTGTAATGAAATTTATTTTATGAACCAACTGAGAAAGATTTCTCAAATTATATCACGTAAATAACTCGCAATATATTGTATAATAATTGTTCAATTAAGCACTTTTAATTCCTTCGATGATGTGTGATACTGAGTTTCCTCTCTCATGATGAAATATTCTTAGAAAACAATTTCAGAGGGTCACATTGAAATGTAAAAAGGATATTTGAAAATATACAATAACCTTAAGGTAAGATGCTTACCTATGTCTAAAATCTTTATTTCTTGGTGGAAGCAGATAAAAAAAGGTAAAAAAAAAAAAAAAAAAAAAAAGAAAGCACAGTTAGAAAAGCCTTCTAAAATATAATGAGTTGAATTCTGAGATTTTAATTATTTGTATGGAAAATTGCCAACTTGGCAGAAATGATACTGGAAATGAATTCTGTAGTCTAGGGCTTACCAAATAACTTACAGAATAGAATGATTTGAAAGTCACACTTAAATGAACAAAGCAAAGACAATATGTTACTTTTACTATTGGCATTATGGCTAATGGATTAACCCAACCTGAAGATCCAATATTCTAGTTAAAAGTTGTAGCCTTAGTCCATTTAATATCAGGTCCTGAAATCACAGGAAAATATTTTATGCCTTAATTTCAACCACTATGAAATAAAAGAGCTACACCTATGTCACAGGGTTATTCTAAAGAAAGCGAAAGAGATTTAAGAATCATAGCTCTAGCCTTTTAGAGCACAGAAAATTCACTGAAATCAGTAAGATATTTGATATATTGGGTGACTTTATGCTCTTTAATACACTTATGGGACAATTTATATGTGTTATGCTTCTCTTAACTTTAAGCAAGAATTTGACTTCTTTCTGGGGGAAATTTT
This sequence comes from Homo sapiens, assembly GCF_000001405.40. Lineage (NCBI taxonomy): Eukaryota > Metazoa > Chordata > Mammalia > Primates > Hominidae > Homo > Homo sapiens. Next base: position 182,743,530 of record NC_000004.12, on the reverse strand, counting down.
AAACCTTAGGATGGTATTTTTCTATGAATAAATCAGTACATCAGACTCAACCTTTTTTTTAAAGAGGCACGTTTAGCTTTGGTTAAAAGCCCAAATTTAGGAAAGACGTACCTTAGTTCTAAGACACTTGTTACATTTCCAGAAGGGAATATCCGCCGCACATAGTTGAAATCGCCTACGTACAGACTGCCATCGATCCCACAAGCTAGCGCCACTGGGGCCAGTAACTTGTTACCATCAGCTTGACCATTGCAACTGGGGCAGGAAATGCTGCGCCTTCGCCCATTGCCCATGATGCTACTCACGACTGGAGGCTGCTGGGAGATGAACTGGTTTTCCCCGTTTCCCTTGTACAGTATACCTAGAAGAAATAAAGTGCATTGTTTTTCTTATGATGAAAAAGTGTAAAGATGAAAAGCAAACATGTTCATGATTGTTTTAACTATAATTCAATGCCTGTCAGGTCTGGATTAAGACATTCTTATTTGAAGCTCCATTGGAATGAATTGTATTCAACTACCTAGTGTAAAATATTACACGATAAAGTCCATAGGATATATACCAACAGTGCTGTCTACTGTGAACTGAAATCATGTCTGGTGAAAGGAACAAAAGCCTGAGAAGAATTAAAACCCCAATTCTCAACATCAGTGATGATCAGTCATGGCTATACACTGGAATGGCCTGGGGAGTTGCCAAAAAATATTAATGCTTGGTTCTCACCCAGAGAGATGGTGGTTTAATTTGTCTGAGGTGCAGCCTTAGCCCTGAAATTTAGAAAAACTCTCCAGATGATCTTAACGTGCAACCAGGTTTGAGAACAGGCTCTACATAATGTTCTTTAGGGAATAACAAGTTTGCCTCATTGTTAATCAATATTGAAAATATTCAGTCAATAAAAATGTGAACCAGGAATACAAATTTCTTTTGAATTTATAATTTTCTTTAAAGTTAACAAACTTTGTGGAAAACAAAGGTAGAAAATAGACATCAAACTCCAAAGCTGTAACGATAATACAGGCTTATTTTAACTCTACCTATCCTGTCAAAGACTATTCCTGCGTACACTCTCATCCAATAGGAGAATGCATATACATGCGGTTATTCAAAATGTCGAACATAACAAAACTGTTGTAGAAGGCCAATGTATTATTTACAGTGAATTCTGCTTTAAGGCATGGAAGTGCCAATAATTTTATCAAGACAAAATGCCAGTCTGCTCTTTTATGGTCTTCAGTGAAAATCTGAGAAAAGCTTCCAAATGAATATTAAATATTTTCATGGTTAGAAATTAGATTTGAGTTGAGATTGTAATTTTATTGCTTTTGCCATTGCTCTATACAGATCAGTGCCTCCAGTTTGGCGTGATGCACACGGGGTAGTCAGCTGCTATTGTTCCATGCACAGTTTATGACACTTCTCAATGTGTTATCATCTGTATACACCACCTGCTGCTTTGACTTTAGAGCGGCATATATTCTATTTATTGAATGTTCTATGTTCCAAAGAAGTTCTCAGAGATAATGGCCCTACTTCTTAGCAGATACACTGTTGAAAGAATAATCCCACGAAAGTACAATCAGGAAACTTGAGAAAGTGCTTTTTCCCCCCACTTCGGGATAATTTTAAAGTGAAGAAGAAATTAGAATAATTATGTTCTCCTTATAACTCAGCACATTTTAGGTGCATTCTGTGATTACTTCTTTAATGCTTTGCTATTTGGGTGATGTAATAATCATAGCAAATTTACATAAAGAAATCAGGGAAAATAAAACAGGTTTATTCAAATTTAAGAAAAATAAGCTAAATAAGGCTGGATCATAACAAGAGGTGAAATGCATTTTGCCTTGAATATTCAAAGAATGCATTAGTGATATCTAAGATTCTTCTTTCTGTGATTACGTTAGTTGATAATTATGGAGCTATAATTTCCTATAAGAGCCAGTTGTGTAATTTTCATCAGAAGAATCCTACAAGTCAGACTACCGCTCTACAACATCTGATTTATTCAGTCATTACTTTGAACGATTGGCCCTTCCTGCTTCTTCTCTATGATGACAGAACAGAAAGATGAACATGAGAATATTTATTTCCATGTTTCAGGGCGCCCGCACGAATAACTGTCAGCATCTACGTTTCCGTATTCTCTTCTTCCTTCATGTCTTTCTATAGCTCATCCACCTTGTCATGACTACAAATCACTTTGTTTATTCAATTAGACACATGTCACTTTGGAAAGCCACTACTTGTCAAAATGTTCTTGGATAAAATTCTAAACTGCAATCTGTTCACCCTGTGGCTGAGGTTATCTCACATTTAAAAATAACACATATTTTCTTTTATTTATTTATTTTTGAGATGGAGTCTTGCTCTGTCACCCAGGCTGGAGTGCAGTGGCACAATCTTGGCTCACTGCAACCTCCGTCTCCCTGGCTCAAGTGATTCTCCTGCCCCAGCCTCCTGAGTAGCTGGGATTACAGGTGCCCACTACTAAGCCTGGCTAATTTTTGTATTTTTAGTAGACACGGGGTTCCACCATGTTGCCAGGCTGGTCTGGAACTCCTGATCTCAAATGATCTGCCCACCTCAGCCTCCCAAAGTGCTGGGATTACAGGTGTGAGCCACCGTGCTCGGCCTAAATATATTTTATAATTTAGAACATTTTTTTTTGAGGACAGCATTTTGGAAAGTTCGGTTTTTACATCTGCCCTGGTATTTTAATAGAAGTTACCCATATGTTATTCTGGTTTAGAATATGTGTGTATTTATATTATACATATACAGAACATCTACATATTTCTGAATCCTCCTGAATATAATATCGTGTGTTGTATCATACAATGGTGAATTACAGAGGCATGGGCTTTTTCGGAGCTACAGAGATGCCTGTAGTTTTCCTATTGATTCGTAATCTCTTGAGTGAAATCCTGTAGCTAACTGGTTATGAACTTTACCCTATACTCTCATCATAACTAAATGGCATCTAGAGACGTTTCCCCTAGTTTTGTTTTTAGAGGGTTTCTGAAGGAATACAGAAATATGTTCAAACTGTGTGAAATATAATTTTACACAATTTCATCAAGAGCAGCTACTAGCATGTTTGCCATATGGCTTCGCATTTTAAAAGACCATGATTGAACCTTGTGCTACTAATATAACAGAATGAAACTACTACTGCTTCAGACACCACTGATGAGTTAAGAGAGGCTCTGAGAGAACACTGGAGTCCCCTGCTTAGTCAGGAGTCCCACCTTTTCAATGTGTGCTGCATGTGGCACTAGTTATCCGCTCTGTTTAATTCGGGGTGCAAACTGAACTGCATCCTGATGTCCAGGACGTAACTGGAAGGGGTGTAGAGCTTAATATACTGCTATAAAATAGTGAAGCAGGGAAGGGTTTTTCTGCTTTTTTGTTTGTTTTTCCTTACTACTGGTTTTCTCAGACTATTATTTCCTGGAGGGAAGGCACTAGCATTTTCTTCCTTTTTTGTTTTTTGAGACGGAGTCTCACTCTGTCACTCAGGCTGGAGTGCAGTGGCACGATCTTAGCTCACTGGAACCTCTGCCTCCTGGGTTCCAGAGATTCTCCCACCTCAGCCTCCCGAGTTGCTGGGACTACAGGTGCGTATCACCACACATGGCTAATTTTTGTGTATTTTGTAGAGACAGGGTTTTATCATGTTGGCCAGGCTGGTCTCAAACTCCTGACGTCAAGTGATCCACCTGCCTTGGCCTCCTGAAGTGCTGAGATTACAGGCATAAGCCACTGCATCAGGCCCAGCACGAGCATTTTCAAGTAATGGTCTTAAAACTACTTTATTCTGTATATATTTGGAAGGTTAAAATGCACCCTCTCTGACACTCACACACAAAAAAATTGTTTCAAGCAGGAATGAACACTGAAGCAACATTAATATGAAAAACTGACCATTAGCTATAAACATTTAATTGTAGTACATGGTCAAGTCAATATTCTGAACCTTCCAAAAACCTCTGCAAAGTCAAGAGTTAGATTATTTTGCTGAGACTGTGACTTTTTTCTCTGGCTATCAGTAAAAGTAGAGTACTAGTATGATATGGTGTAGGACAGGATGCTAAAGTATAATAGATTAACTTACGGTCCTGCTTTTCCAGCAAAGCACCCTTCAGGTTGTCTGAGATGCAGCTAGCATGTGGGCAAAATGTTGGAAACACAGTCTAGACAACAGAATTGTGTTTCATATAAATAATATTCTTGATGAGATTAAGCTGGTCATATTTTGCAAATACTCCTCTTTTGGTCTGCGGCATTTGAAACATGTTTCTTCAGAGCATATTCACTAGGACATTATCAGGTCTACTCCTAGGAACGCTTTTGATTCTTGCTTTTTTCTCAGATTATTCATTTTTTCCCCTAATATTCACCAAGTCAAGTAACAATATATGTGACCCCATTTGAGTGGCAGAATGCTTTATTTCCCTAATAGTCTGAGAAGAACTGAAAAAAAAAAATCTAGATACTCAGAATAATTACCCGAGAATTAAAATCTACTAAAAATATTTTGGTGAAGTCACATGATTTTTTTTTCTTTATTTTAAAAAACAAATCCCCCCTCCCTCCATTTTTGGTAAACCTTTCTAAAGTACTTTGGCTCACACTCACTGACTCACTGTAGAATGAGACACTCTAGGTGAATCTGTGCTGACGACTCCCACTCAGAGATCTTCCATTACAACACCAAAGTCAGTCTTTCACATTCTAATGGGAAAATCATTTTGGCGATCAATTCATGAACATTTTAAAGTATATTAAGAAAGTATTATACAGTTCCCACTTTAGGCTTTTATAATCTTTAAAAATTCACCTTTATTTTTTTTCTGCCATTTCTAATCCTACAGCATGGATAGCATAAAATGTTGCTACAATCTCATGAGTTGGAAAGTGGGCAACATTAGCTATCTCTGAACAATACATTACAACATCAGTTATCTATGAACAAGAGCTTACCGTTCTGTACATCCAGCACGTGATGTTTATCTAATGTCCAGCCACCCATGTTGGACGCATCCAATTCATAGCCCTGCAGAATGGCAGTCCTCTTTTCCCACAGAGTCAGGTCCAAACACGACTCATACTCATATCCAACTGACACTGGAATCCAAACAAATCACAGCTCATCTTTCCAACGACTGGGGGAAATGCAATTTATTTTCTTACTTGGAAAAAACTGCCTTTTTCACATCTGTGTTCTGAGACTGTATTTCCACTTATTTATGAGCAGTTTATTTTTTAATTTAAGAAGATTTCACCAAAGATTTTTTTTTAAAAAAAGATCTCCAAATATTATTTTCCACTGATTTAATAGAAAATGAGTGTTTTTTTCCCCATACCACCCCTTCATGAGGGGTTCACAGCACAAAATAAAGTCCAGATTGGGCAGCCGGTTAAGTAATTAGATCAGTCAGTCTCAAACAGTGATTAGATAACAACTAAAAATAACGTTTGCCATCTGAATAATTAGAACTCTTTAGTTTTCACTCAAGAGTGTTAAATTATGGAAAATATTTATGATAAGTAAGGTTCAATGGAACAAAAAAGCTAGCCAGATTATGACATTATGCTGACATATTATTATCAGAAATAAACAAACTAGCAGTAATATGAATAAACCACAGATGAAAAGCTTTCCAGAGTTCACAATGAAACAGGGAATTTAAAATTGAGAAAAAATGAAAGGAGAAGTGGCAATTACTGGATTGATTTGAACTAATTCAAATCCAAATTACCTATTAATTTCAGAGTACAATGTTCTATTTTAAGGTAAATACTAATTAAAACAAAAACATATCATTCTTTAGTTTTTTATGTTCTGAGCTTGAGCTTGAAGCTATACTATATACCTATTCTCTTTCTCTCTGTCTGTCTCTCAACATGTCACACTTTGATTGCACTGTTCAGTCATTCAATAAAACAACTGGTTTGATTATCCTTTCATTGAATGAACCGGCCGTTCTAGTGAAAACAGCTGATGTAATTCATGGACACAAATGTCTGCTATCCTGTTAAACATCAGTATGCACTGAAACTACATTAGTGTTAGACACAGAAAACAAAAACAAATAAGGAAATCCAGGGAGGTAAAGTTATAAAGAGAAGAAGAAAATGGAAAAAGAAAGGGACAAAATAAGGAAAGAAACATGGGGGGAGAAAGGATGTGACAAGCTGAAACCTCATTCACAGAATTCCTCTACAACATAATTTCAGCCAGAAAAGGCTGATATTTTCTTCTTCTTGCCACATGGAGTACATTCCTTTTCCCACGGTAGATCTAAACCAGCCAAGGTATAATATCCCTAGGACAACCTTATTCTCTTTATATTCTGTTTATCCACTGACTTCCCTGGGTTACAATTAATTTATGATAGTTCTGGCTTTGAGAAAAACTTCACTGCAGCAAAGATTTATATGGAACTTACCAACAGCTTCAGATAGACCATAGACTTTCTGATTATATGCATCTGTTTTATCCCATATGAAAGTATAGGCCAAGTTTGGTGAGGCAGGAAACCACTTTTGGAAGAGTCTTCCTACTACAGCTACCATAAGATGAACCTTCATTAAATTAAATGGAATAATAGACTGGGTCATGGTGATCTTGAGAACTGACTTATACCCTGCAGCTCTGGAACTCAAGTAGGAGAGTTTCAAATCTGTTCCTGGAATTGTAGTTTCCTCGTGGAGTACCTAAGTTTGAATAAAGCAGAAGTTTCAAACTGTGATCACGTATGACGATTAGATAAAATATATTTATGTAGCACATATTCACTATATTTGTGAATAGTGACTCTCTGTGTCTTAGTTTACTTACTCACAAAGACAATGTGCTTATTTTAGCTGCTTTAGAGCAACTAAAATAAAACACAAAAGAATCACTATTCACAAATATGCATTTGAGCTGTTATCTTATTCAATAATTAAAAATAACTCTGCTGCCAGCCCAAATGTCTCTTCCTAAAAGCCTCCTGTCATTTATTCTGAGTTAATCATACCTCGGGTGCTACTCTTCATACGGGAAACACTGTGACTGCTCCATCAGGCTGACATGCACTGACTTGTTAGTGCAGTAGTCACAGTGGATTCTCACTAACCCATCTTTCACCCCATCACCCTGGAGAATTAGAGCAGACATTTGTAAGATGGTTAGCTCAGAACAGGGATGCAGTCTAGGCCAAAGATCTGGCCTGTGCCAGCTGGCTCATTTAGGGACTAAACCAGTACCTATAGCCTCATCAGCTGGCTGGTCACAGCCTATAAAGACAGTAAGGATAACAAAAAACACCCAATCGTTTGGGTTAGATTGTAGCAGATTCCATATCCATGTTGAGAGGTAATGTAATAATAGCACATTGTCATAATTAAAGATTGAGCTCCAACTTACCATGGATTTTTGATATGATGGTAAATTAGCTAATATTTTAAAGCTCCATACAATTTATCCTAGAGAGCAACTAATATGTTATTAAATGCACATAGAACATATCAATTCACACTTTTTTATTTGAAACTGGACTGTAAAAATGAATATAATTATGTGCATAAGAATTATCTCCTTTACAAATTAAAAAAAATTATACTCTTAACCCCATAGATTACCAGTCAGTGTATGCTGACAATATTTATATTAAGAAATGCAAAATACATTATGCCAAAACATTACTTATTTTGAAAAATGTATTTTAGGCAGCATACACAATTTTTCTAAAGAGTTCAGATTCTCTTTACCAATGCTCCTGTTAGTTTGGTGAATAAGAACAGCTCTTCATAGGCTTTCTACATAGGCTGTAAGTGCAAGGCTATCTGTGTTCAAGAACGTGCACCAGGAACTCACTACTTTCTCCACGAAGAATTAAACAGTACTCTCAAAGGCTTCCTTATATTGCCCTATCAAGATTCACTATTCAGACAGAAAGGGCTGCCTTTTCATGTTGGAAAGATCTTAGAATAGTGATTCAGTGTTCAGCAATGTTTCCCCTTTCCCCACCACCTCCACATAGAACAGTTAAAGATGATGTCTATCTGCCACCTCCAAACTTTAATAACTTCAGTAAAACCCTCCAAGACCCCTTGTACTGAGGGTGGAGCTGTCAGCTTCAATATAAACAATCACACAGTTGGAAGCAGCATGAATGAATGGACGAAGGAAGCTTCCATTCTGGCCTGTCAGTCAGTGTTGGCATGAAGAGGGACGCGATGTGGTACAGTACAGTACAGTAAGAGGCATTTCTAATGTAGATACACGAATTTATTACCATTGGAGTTTTCCTTCAAACATGCTGACTGAATTCAGCCACAAAACGGTCTTAAGCAAAATAGTTTACAAACATATAGAAACTTTTTAGACCCAGGGAAACCATTAAATTTAAGATTGAGGGTACTTTTGTAAGACTGTAGGTTGTTAGGGTGAATGGTTTAAAGATAACTCATTGTTCTCCCATAATCAGTGAAATATCAAGGAGTTAATTTGAAAAATAGATTCTGTGACTCCAGAATGACCCTGATAACATGTGATTTAACCCTAAAGCCCATCATTTGCTTCCTCTTATTTTCAAAATAATTTCCGATACATTTGACAGGTTTTCCATGAGTAAGGGACTCTCTTACGAATATTATATGTATTTCCTGTGACCTTCCAGAAGCTGCCTCTCTATTTCAAAATATCATGTGTTGTACTTGATTTTAATATCTGTAATTTTGTTCATTAAAGCATGTGTTTCTCTGATGTAATTTAACTTGACCATGTTATTTTGCATTAGTAGGAAAGGTAAATCCAGCCAAAGTGGGAAAATAAACCATCAGGCCTACTCTTGCCAGCTGCGTGAGCTTTAAATCCTATTCCTGATCCCGTTAAACATTCGGTTAGGAACCATGTCCTGCCAATTCTATCTTCCAATCCCTGTCTAATGTGTTCCCTCTTCTTCATTTCCACTACCATTGTGATTGCGAGGCCCTCTCCATCTGAGCCCTGGATACGCATGGATATACACTTCACAAGAACAGCCTGTTCACTCATTTCTCTTTTCTATCAATATCTTCTGCGCTTCTTTCAAGTGCGTTTTGCCACTTGAGTTAACTTTAGAGAAATGCTGAAAAAACTCCACTGGGGTCTTGGTTCCGCATCACCTAAGGAATTCAAGGTCTCCACTAGATTGCTTCTCAGGGCCATTCATCAGCTGGCCCTGGGGTCATCTTCTGCCTCCTTCCCCATTGTCCCCTCTACAACATGACTTGTTTTTGCCACTCCACTGTTGCTTACACATCTTCAATCTGAAACGTGCTTTCCTCCCTCTCCAGCCTAATCCTTGTTTCAGCCCAAACTCCTCAGTGATTCCTTCTTTGGCTTACTTAGGAATTGACCTCTCCTTTGAACTTGTATCATTCTTCATTAAAATCTTTATCGCATTTAGAATGGCAGGATGCACGTCTTCTTCTTTTTATCTTAGTAAAGTACCTTGTACATAGTAGGCTCTCAGTAAATTTTTATGAAATATTTGCCTACCGCATGAATGAATGAATGAACGAATGGAGAAAAGACTCCATGTATTCATGGAATTGTTGACTATCTGAAACCCATTTTAATGTCCTAGTTTGCTAGAAATTTGGCACCTACAGACAGATACTGACTCTAGGTAAAGTCTATTTTAGGACTGACTACGAAGTTTAGAGTTCCTGCAAGATGGGCCTGGGGAGGAAGTATTAAATTGATTGAGGTTACAATGAACTTCTTAAAAGTTTCAGCTCAAAGTTGGCTTGACCATTTTACAATGAATCCCTGAGGTGTTGCTATTGCAACATCTTTGCCTGTCAGCCTTTTTGACTTTTTGTTATCCTAGACCTTTCTGGCTCACCTCTTGTAGTCTCTATCTGTGCTCCCTCCCTAGGTTTATGCTTTATATTTATATGCGAATGACTCCCAAATTTACCTCTTTAGTTTCAACCTCTTCCCTGGACTCCACTCTTCCATGTCTGCTTCTACCTCCAAAGACTTTTGTCCAAGCCACCATAATTTCTCCTGTGGACAACTGAGGTTGCCTCCTAACTGGCCTCCTTGTTTCCACCCTTGCCCAATATAGGATATTCTCAGCATAGAAATTCCTTAAAGGAGGAAATCAGTGACTGTCATTGCTCTGCTTAAACACCTTCAATGGCTTCCAATTCTCAAAGAGTTATCTTTGCCATGGTCTCCAATGGCTTGTGATTTATTCACTGCCGCCTTCACTCCAGCTGTGCCTGCTGTCCTTTTTGCCACTCCTTGAACAAGCCAAGAATCCCCTTCTATTTTCAGGGCTTATTCTTTTACTTTCTTAAAGTTTGTGCTGAAATGTCACCTTATTGAAGAGATTTTCTCAAACTATACTATGTAAGATCATACCTCTATCCACTGTCCCCTGCTTTATTATTTTTTGATAAGTCTCATCGCAACCTGACATATTTCTTGTTGACTGCCTCTCTCCACTCATGAGTTGGGAAGCTCAGTTAGAGCAGGTACTTCATCTGAGTGGTTTACTGCTTTGTTCTCACATAACAGCGCCTGCTACAGAACGGGTTTTCAAGAAATATCGGGAGAATGAATATGACAAAGCTGCTATGTGCTAGTGTACTTTAATGACCACAGATTTTTCCTTACCTCTTTACGAATACAGTCTATTATGATTATATATATATTTTTGAGACAGGGTCTCACTCCCAGCACCCAGGCTGGAGTGCAGTGGCACTCATGGCTCATGCAGCCTTGACCTCTCTGGGCTGAAGTGATCCTCCCACCTCTGCATCCTGAGTAGCTAGGACTACAGGTGCATGCCACCACGCCTGGCTAATTTTTTGTATATTTTGTAGAGACAGGGTTTTGTCATGTTGCTCAGGTTGGTCTCAAATTCCTGGGCTCGATCCATCCTCCTGCCTTGGCCTCCCAAAGTGCTGGAATTATAGTAGTGAGCCACGCCGCCTGGCAAAATCCATTATTATTACACCTAACATCCTACTTTTAAGATCTGAAAGTTATTTCTAACTGGAAACATGTGGGACGGAACACAATCCTCAGCTATTTCAGTAGATGAAACGAATGGGGAATGCATGGCTATTTCTTAAAAAGTTATATTAATGAATATTTTCTGTCAAAACTACCTTTTCCAAAACACTTTTTACTGACAACAATAATTAAACAGTAAGTTATTGAGGCTAATAGCCATGTGCAATAGTGAGTGGTGTCAGTAGCACTTGGTACAATGTCAGTCAAGCTGTCAGGTACATTTAGGCACTAAAGTTTTTTTTCAATAAATAAATAAATGAACAAAGACATTATTAGTGATTGAGTTTAAGCTACAGTTTCATTTGACTATTATTAATAAATATATAAGGTATATCCTGAAGAAAAAGTATTTTGTTTGAGTAGATCTTTAAGAAATAACTAGAAAGGCCGGGTGCGGTGGCTCACACCTGTAATCCCAGCACTTTGGGAGGTCAAGGTGGGCGGATCACGAGGTCAGGAGATGGAGACCATCCTGGCCAACATGATGAAACCCTGCCTCTACTAAAAATACAAAAAATTAGCTTGGCTTGGTGGCAGTCGCCTGTAGTCTCAGCTACTCAGGAGTCTGAGGCGGGAGAATGGCGTGAACCCGGGAGGTGGAGCTTGCAGTGAGCCGAGATCGTGCCACTGCACTCCAGCCTGGGCGACAGAGCGAGACTCCGTCTCAAAAAAAAAAAAAGAAAAAAGAAATAACTAGATATCCTACTATAACAATGTCTACTGTAGGACACACACACACACACACACACACACACACACACACACACACACCCCAACACCCACTATATATTCATTCTATAGAATTATTTAAAGATAGCACTGGAATTCTATAATCCGTGGTTTTTTTTGGTTTTGTTTTTGTCTTTTTTTGAGACAGGGTCTTATAGAATTATTTAAAGATAGCACTGGAATTCTATAATCCGTGGGTTTTTTTGGTTTTGTTTTTGTCTTTTTTTGAGACAGGGTCTCACTGTGTCACCCAGGCTGGAGTGCAGTAGTGTGTGATCTCGGCTCACTGCAACCTCTGCCTCCTGGGTTCAAGCGATTCTCCTGCCTCAGCCTCCCAAGTAGCTGGGACTACAGGTGCCCATCACCATGCCCGGCTAATTTTTTTTTGTATTTTTAGTACAGATGGGGTTTCACTATGTTGGCCAGGCTGGTCTTGAACTCCTGACCTCATGATCTGCCCACCTCGGCCTCCCAAAGCGCTGGGATTACAGGAGTGAGCCACCGTGCCCGGACTCTATAACCTATTTTTAAGATTCTCTGGCAAAACATGATCTGAAGATCTTGTATTTACAAGTACTGCCTGTGAGAATATTTTACCTGTGTTTCGGGAATGATGGGACTGTCTTCAGGAGAAGATCTGAAAAAGGTGGATAAAGGTGATGACACAATGATGGGATTTGGCCTCACGAATCCACTCAGATCACAGCTGGGAATGTCATTCTCTTCTTTCTTCATGACTAGGGTATCCATCACATAAAAGACATTCCATGGAATCCACACAGTATGATACTGAGTGAGGAATGGGGATCGTTCAAATACCAAAGTTAGAGAGGCCCCACCATTTGCCACCAAGTCAAACCTAAGAAAGAACAAGGTATGCTTAGTGAATTGTCTGGATCCCACATAACTACCAATACACACCTCCTTAAGTTAATATGCTTTATAAAGAAAATCAACTTTTTCTCCCAACTTTTATATGAAATATTTTCAGATCTATGGGAATATTCCAAGAGTTATACAATAAATACTCTTGTGTCCTATGTGTATTCACCAAGTTCACCAATTTTTTTTTCCAAATTTGCTTTCCATTGACTCTTTTCTCGGAACCATCTGAGCTCAAGTTACAGACATTATAAAATATTACCCCTAAAGATTTCAACATACATCTGCTGAGACAAAGAGCATTCTCCTACAAAACTACAGTATTACCATGCCTTAGAAAATAAAATCAACTTTTGAAGAAGTATGTGAGTATATGACTTTAAATCTCTGCCATATGTACTGTCACAAGTTTGTAGAGTCTAAAAAGTTGCTGCATTTCCATATTTAAAAGGACAGTCAAACATGACAGTGGTACAGGAAGGTCTAGTTTTTATATTTCAAATCCTTCAGAGATAGTGTGATGGGACTAACTCACATTCCGTCCTGGCGGGTAATAGTATATCCATATTCTGGGTAATGGAAAAACGAGACATTTACTCCAATAAGTGGAGTTCCATCAGCAGTCAGTACTTGGCCTCTGATGACAGATGCAAGGCTGTTGGAAAAGCAGAAGAATGAGAATGAACATCTGTCTTTTCAGGCCAACATTATCATGATTTATAGATAATTCAACCTAAGGATAAAATAACACTATGCTATGCAATCCATCGTTATTCACAAAAATCAGACCTGAAATACTCCCAAGACAATGTCCCTTTTAATTCAGTGTAACGCATATTCTCTAAAGGGCTTGTGTTTATCCTGGGTTTTAATTTGTGGCAATCTGTTTTTTGGAGCGTTATCAAGACTAATAATTTAGAGATGAATTTTTAAAATGATAAACTCTGTGCTTTTTTCATAAGTCATATATATGGTGCTCACATGAAGAAAAGTAGACTTTCCAATTAATTCTGAGGCAATCAGTAAATCTTCAGGGACCAAGAAGTATAAGATTTAAGGGGGCGATAAGGAACATTTGTACAGCAACTTTGAATCAACTGCTGGCTATAACTGCATTAATGCTGTTAAATTACTGCAGACCCAGGAGTTCTGGTGTAAATCATCTTCTTTTGCTCAGTGAGACACAAGACACCTGCTTTCACTTACTGCTTTACTTTCAGGTCATTACTGCTCTGCAAAGCACCAGTCAAACAGCTTATGCAATCTTACTGCCATGCCGTCAGCAGTTCCATTACATTCATTCATAATTTATATTATTTAGTGAGCTCAGCTAAAAAAAAAAAAGTGCACTTCTGTTCTGCCTTTTGGGGTCTTTTCACTGCTTCTTTTGAAACATTTCCAACTGTGCTAACAAAATCAACTAGTTAAATGAAGATTTATTGACTCTTTAATATAATGTCCTGTTATGTCTCAGGTACTGAAATTGACAAAGTATGTGAACTGTGTCAAAAATGCTTGAAATACAAAGTTTGGTGAAGAATCTGCAGAAAGAGGAAAAACTGTATTTAAAAAACAGCACTTTCCTCAGGTTCACAGTCATGAGTATTTCACATAAGTGTATGTAACTGTTGATAACATCATTACAAATCTACATATGGAAAAGAAGCATTAACCTCTTATTGAAAGGACTTTCTCCAGGTATAACATGGGTGCTATCAGATCCTATAAGGAAACTGATTCGATCATAAAAGGATTTGGCAGCTTGCTGAGAAGGCGATTGAAGGCTTTGGCTAATGATGTCCTGAGGATCCGGCAGTCCCCGACAATAGGGCTGATTCTGGCAGGAACTCTGTAGGCAGCAATCGGGATCCATGCAGTCAATGAGTCCATCTGTAGAGAGAAATGTTCCCCAGTAAGAGAATTTTCCTTTTGATGCCATAATGTAGAATCAGTTTTGTTTCTTGACTGTTTTTTTTTTTTTCACATCAAGTGATTTCTCCCGACTATCTGATAGTAATTTCTATGAGGCATACTTTTTGAAACCAGAAGAAATAGAAATACAATAGTCACATGCCACATAATGACAGACCATATATAAAAGAGTGGTCCCATAGATAATAATGCTGTATTTTTACGGTACCTTTTCTAGGTTTAGATACACAAATACCACTGTGTTACAACTGCCTCAGTATTCAGTAGAGTAACATGCTGTACAGATGGGTAGCCTAGGAGTGCAGTAGGCTGTGCCATCTAGATTTGCGTAAGTACATGCCATGATGCTCTACCATGATGAAATTGCCTAACAGCAACTATCTCAGAACATATCCCCATCAGTATGTGACACATAAATCTACTTGCATCTGCCTTCATAGAGAGTAAATATTTGGATTAGAGATGGCTGAAAAGAATCATATAATGTTTGTTCTGAGTAAGAAATAAAAAAATTAGTGATTAGAACAATCTATTGGTAGGAGTATGAAGGAATATGGATTAGTTGTAAGTAAAGCTACTCAAATATTCTATATTTTAGAGAAAATGCACTAGGAGTTAGCACAGTAAGTGTGTATGATAAATAGGAATCTATGTAGGACGAAGCTCTAAAATTTGGGAGAGGGTCAGAAAGTGAAAGTTTATGAAGTGTAGCAAACACAAATCAATATAAAATGGATGAGATGAGCCAACCACCTTTCAATAAAATAGCTCTTCTGGCCGGTGCAGTGGCTCATGCTTGTAATCCCAGCACTCTGGGAGGCTGAGGTGGGCATATCACCTGAGGTCAGGAGTTCGAGACCAGCCTGGCCAACATGGTGAAACCCCATCTCTAAAATTAGCCAGGCGGGGTGACAGGTGCCTGTTGTCCCAGCTACTCAGGAGGCTGAGGCAGGAGAATCACTTGAACCTGGGAGGCAGAGGTTGTAGTGAGCTGAGATCGTACCACTGCACTCCAGCCTGGGCAACAGAGCAAAACTGTCTCAAAAAAAAAAAAAAAAGTTCTTCTAAGGAAGGTTAAGTGTGTTCCAGATAAAATCAGGCATTTCCCAAATTTTAAACAAGAGCCTGGACTCCTAGAATACACTCACTAAAATGGAGGTATTAATTAAAATGTGGTAAATGTAAATCAGCCATAATATTAGAAATAATAAGAAATCCATCATGAAAAATTGACCTATAGTATTGATGACATAAAAGGAATAATGGATGAGAAGAATTTGCCAGTGCTTTCTCCAGGAGCATCAGAAGGAAACTACACTCAATGGCCCATGCAAGTATCCTGTTTAAAAGCTATAACCATCCATTAGTGGTTGAGTGTTTCAGGTTATGATCATTTGATAACATTATCCTTTAAGGTCAGGCTTTACTGACCAGTTGAAAAACATGAATTTTTCTTTCTTTTTTTTTGAGACTGAGTCTTCCTCTGTCACCCAGGTTGGAGTGCAGTGGCACGATCTCAGCTCACTGCAACCTCCGCCTAACTGGTTCAAGTGATTCTCCTGCCTCAGCCTCCTGAGAAGCTGGGACTAAAGGCACCTGCCACCATGCCTGGCTAATTTTTGTATTTTTAGTAGAGACGGGGTCTCACCATGTTGACCAGGCTCATCTCGAACTCCAGACCTCAAGTGATCCACCCGCCTAGGCCTCTCAAAGTGCTGGGATTATAGGTGTGAGCCACTCAGCCCAGCTGAAAACATGAATTTTTATCTCCTTGGTAATTACATTTATTGGTATAGATTAATAAAAATATCAGTTTCTGAAGACTTTAATCACTCTTAGGAGAACTGACAAAATAGTTTTAAAATCTTCCAACTTAAGTATCAAGTCTGGGTCTGACCACTGTGATGGCAAGCTCAGCTGAAAATATCTAGATGACCATTATGTTTTATTTATACAATTAAAATAAAGTCTTTTTTTAAAAAAATACTATACTAGCCATTGATTTAAGTTAGGCTATTCTTATTAATAGAATGTTAGCTTGCTCCTTCATTATCTGACAGCAAACTGAGATAAAAGAAAACAGACAAAGTTGAATTAAATTGCCCAGTCTAAAAGGCAGGTCAGCAACAACACGGTAAGGTAAGAAACAAGACGTGAGAAGGCCTGGCTCAGCAGGTCATTTTGGCCATCTGAAGAATAAAAGTAGCGGACGCTGTGCTTCCCCAGACCCTTTCCCTTTCTTTGGGCAACAGATGAAACTTTTCGTTTGCGTATCCGGCCTTCCCCACCTCTCAGGCCATGTGCATAACCTTCCCTTCCTGTTTGGTTCAGAAATGTACAGGTGACCTAACATGTCTAACAAGAGCGAATTTCACAAACAATCTAAAAAGAGATTCTTACCCCTCCACCAGGCTTGTTCTGTGAGGCTGTGTGACTGGGATTGCTGCAGCCACCTTGCTGCCGGTATAGAAGCTGCTGGGAATGGAGCCATCCCCAGGCAAGCGGAGCAAGGGCTGGAGCAAAAACTAACAGGTCAGACACAGACATAAGCTGCGCTTGACCTCCTGGGCTTTTCAGTTATAGAAACGTATTCCCTTTTTCCTTAAGTCTGTTTGAATTCAATTTTCTGTCACCTGAAATTGACAGAGACCTAGCTTATCCAGAGACAGTAACTAAAAATCTCTTCACTATTTCCTTTGTAGTTGGGGGAGGGGGGAAAGGCTTAATAAGTGAATATCTGAATTAAGTTTATAAAGTTGGACTCTTTTCACACTAATATTTTAAGTTTTTTGTTACCATAATTTCCATACACATGAAAATGTGTGGGTCAGGATTTCTGATAAGCAGATCTGATTACACACGGTTTCCTTATGATAGCATGTATTTTCATGTCTGTTATATTTCTAAGATAATGAGTTGTTAACCATTTGAAACTGCATGTTTATTTCTCTGGAAAAAAGCTAAAATCATGTTTTAAGAAAATTAAGCCGGGCGCGGTAGCTCACACCTGTAATCCCAGCACTTTGGGAGGCCGAGGCGGGTGGATCACCTGAGGTAAGGAGTTCGAGACCAGCCTGGCCAACATGGTGAAACCCCGTCTCTACTAAAAATACAAAAAAATTAGAGGGGCGTGGTGGTGGGTGCCTGTAATCTCAGCTACTTGGGAGGCTGAGGCAGGAGAATTGCTTGAACCCAGGAGGTGGAGGTCGCAGTGAGCCGAGATCGCGCCACTGCACTCCAGCCTGGGTGACAGAGCAAGACTCCGTCTCAAAGAAAAAAAAAAAAAGAAAAAAAAGAAAAGAAAATCAAATGAAACTGAGTTTGGAAATTTCATATAAATTTATCAAAATATTACTTTCCTAGGCAAAAGGGCATGAAGATGAAAAATGTATAAATATTTCTCAATATTTCTAGTGGAAGAAAGACTATACTATGCTATTGGCTTATTTTTCATGAGGATATATAATAATAATGTAAAACATTTTTTCTCCCTCTCTCTCAAAGAAATAGAAGCATAGTTGTTAAGATTCAGAATTCTGAAGTAGTAGACTGTTGACCTACTGCTCCAATATCATTTCTGGCTTCAAAAAAACAATTAGCCAGGCACAGTGGCTGATGCCTGTAATCCCAGAACTTTGGGAGGATCACTTAAGCCCAGTAATTCAAGACAGGCCTGGGTAACACAGCGAGACCCTATCTCTACAAAAAGTTAGAAAACTTAGCCAGGTATGGTGGTGTGCACCTGAAGTCCCAGCTACTTGGGAGGCACTTGAGCCCAGGAGTTCGAGGGTGCAGTGAGAGATGATCCCACCACTGTGCTCTAGCCTGGGCGACAGGGAGAGGCCCTGTTTCAAAAAAAAAAAACCCAAAACAACAAACAAACCAAAAAATTTTTTAAAACCTCAACCTTTCCATCCCAATTCATAGTTATATGTTTGATGTTTATGACGAATCTTTCAAATGTGTTTTATGATATAGTACCTTTAGTTCTTACTTGATGGATTTCGAATGGGTACATATGCTTGGGAGAATAACAACACAAATATCTGATATTCTTGCAGGTTTTCCCTTGCAGTCATTCTTCAACAAAAGTAGAAATGATTCAATAGGAAAAGTATTTCCAAATATTATATTTTTCTCCATTAATCTGGTAAGTTAAGGGTTAAGTGCTCCTTACCCTCTTCTCCCCCGCCATAATGCTGCCAGTGTCTTCCCTTAGGCAATAGATGGTACAGTTGCCAAAGAGGAATGCTCAAATTTAGTCATTCATCTTTGTTAGTTTATAAAAAGCAAATGTACATCTGGCATGTAGTCTGCAGGTCATAAAACTGCATGAGATTGACACCTTCTGAACTAATCAGTTGGAAATGCATTTTTACAAGCCTCTCTGCTAACATCAATCAGAGAAAGATCTCATTTTCAACAGCCAAGGTGCAGGGACACACTGTTTGTTATTCTTCTGCAGAGTTTATCAGTAACTTGCCCAAGCAAGTGACGGATGGTTATGAATCTGGCTTCCTATAACTTGAGAAAACATTTTTCATTTTTTGGTCTGTATTTATACGGCAGCTAAGGTTATGTAGTATTAACTAAGTTGATTACCCACTTGCCCAAATGTATAGTGTAGTAAAATTGTCTTTGTGGAATAGCTTCTCAAAAATCATCGAGATTCCATTTTAGTTTCAGGAATATTAGGTTGGCTTAAATTTATCTTGGTATAGAAGCCATGTCTAATAGCATTAATCATAAAAATCTACATAAATCAGAAATGCTCAAAACCCGCTGAATAATAACTGCAGTGATCAGTTAAGAGCCTGTCTTTCTTCTGTTTAGGCTTTGCAGTCTACGTGGTACTCTGATGTAAAGTAGATCATACTGTTTATGCTTCCCTCCGCTCAGTCTGTAATATTATTGCTCTCGTTAGCTTTTCTGTCCATTATTTTTAAACATGCTCTTATCTTTCTTTGGGCATTTTCACTGGTCTTTTACAGTGGCTGGCGAAATTATTTTGTAGAACCAAAGAGTAAATACGTTCAGGTTTGTGGGCCATATAGTCTCTATGGCGACTGTTCAACTCTGCCTTCAATATGTCAATGAATGGGCATGAATGTGTTCCAATAAAACTATTAAGAAAATCAGGCTTTGGCTCAGAGGCCACTGTTTGCCAATCCCTGGTCCTGCTTCAAGGTCTCTATCCTGTCATATTTCCTATTATACTTTACACATCACTCTTGATTCTTTTTTTTCTGGCAAATTTAAACAATACACATTTTGTTGGATTATTAAAACTCTTGACTACAGGTCTTTTCCTGGGTTACCTTCTATGCTGGCTTTATGCTGCTTGTCAATACTCTCACTTTCTTCTTTCAAAGAGCTATGGATATTGTTATTTGTTTTTCAAAACCTTGGTTTACAGACTGGACAAAAAGTCATGAATTTTCTTTTTTACTCAAAAGATAATTGATACCCACTGTCCTTCCCCACAGTATTTGGTACTTCGCCCCCACCCCTCAACTTCCAAGTTTCAAGTCCGAATTAGAAATTCCCATGTAATATTTTATTTGTGGAATTCAGAATTTTAAAAGTATACAGGTGTAACTTTTGTTATTCTTTTTAGTCACATTCTGTAATATGCATGAAACAAACTGAAATATGCATTCATTTCTGGATTGGGATCATGCTAGGTTTCCACACATTCTTGGTTGTCTACATCAGTGCTCTCCTGGTGGCTTTGGACCTCATGTTCACATCATTTCAATGCTAATGACTCCAGGCTGGTCATTCTCCTGAACTACAAAGCCACCAATTGCCTTCTAGATATCTGGCTTGGATATTGCACAGGCATCTAAAACTTAACATGTGTAATATGATTTAACATGTCTGTATATGATCTTCTCCTCCAAATACGCTGCTGCTCAATTTCCTATTTCAATGAATGGTTCCACCATCCACCCCGCTCAGCTTCTCATAGAAACCTGAACGTTATCCTGGACTCCTCGTCTCTTCCTTTTTCTGGCACCTAATCAATCACCAGTTGCTTCTTTTCTTCATCTCAAATCTCTCTTGAATTAGTCTATTTCTTTCTCTTTCCCTGAAACTATCCATCAGGCCACCATGGTCCTCTCTTGACAAATTCTTAACAACAGTGTGTTTTCCCAGGTTCCAGTCTTGCCCCAACTATCCATTCTCTACATGTTAGCCAGAGTACCCTTAGAGAAACCAAATCTGATTATTTCACTTCTCTGGCTAAAATGCTTCCTTTACTTGGTCTCCATTGCCTTCTGAGTAAAGTCACAACTCCTTAACATGGCTTATAAGACCTTTCACCACAATCGTTTCCTTTGCCCGGAGATCTCTAAGCTTCTCTCTTACTTCTCCACATAGCCCTCAATTCCTTCAGCAATCATCTCAGACAACTGTCTCATTAAGCTCCTTGAGGGCTCATCTAGTTCACTATCCATCCCTACTATCGTATCCCCAGAGCCTTGCACACTTGCTGGCGCCAAGTAGGCATTTAATACATTTGCTAAATGAAGGAAAAAATGAATTAAGTTCCTAAAGATTGTGAGTTCTAAACAGTTGAAAAGGCTTAGAAGCACATGAGAGATGCCCTGCTTTTTTTCTATCATGCTTTCCCTACCCTCAGACACTATGCTAATCCTTGAATTCCTATTTCTTTTTTACTCCAATAGGTACTTAAAAATGTTCTTGATTAATTGAATATTAAGCAATCCATGGAATTATAAAAAGTATTAGAAGAAATTATATGAAATCCTGTAACACTATGTCTCATCTCAGAAAGGCTCTACTTAGAAGACACGTAACCCAGAAGTCACGACTAAAAAGATAAACCTCAGACAAATTTATGTCATATCAACTGAAAGCTTCTGCATGCACCATAAATTACAAAGTTAAAAGATAAGTGAACACCTGGGATAAAATATTTGCAACACACCTAACAAAGAATAAGTAGAATATATAATGAAGTCCTAAGAGTTAAAAAGAAAGTATCAAGCAGCTCAATAGAAAAAAACAAGGGAAATAAATAAGCAATTAGCAAAAAAAGAAATAAATATAAAGATCATCAATCTAACTAGTAATTAGGAAAATGCAAATTAAAATGATAAAAATGGGGTCATTTTCATCAGACAAAATTGATATTTTTCATTTTGTTGAACATTTTTGTTTACTTACAATAATTACAGATAGACTATGAACACCTTCAGATTGATGAAGTGTTGCAAAGCAATTGAGCAGTAGCTATCAAAATTAAAAATTAAAATACCTTTTGAACCAGCAAGTTCACCTCTAAAAATCCATCCTAAAGAAATATTTGTACATTTACACAAAGATTCATATGCAGATACACACTCACACACACACACACAGATTCGCTACAGATTTGTCTCTATACTAAGGGCAAAAAAATTAGAAACAATTAAATTATCGTCAGTGTAGCAGTGGTGAAATTAATTAGTACACCAGGTTTCTGTTGTAAAGAATGAGATGGGCCTATGTGTACGGGCATGAAAAAAATCTCTAAGATATCGTCCTTGGAAGAATCAAATTTAGAATAGTATTTATTTAAGTTTAATAACATAAATGTGCATATGAATTCACGAGATGCCCACGAAGTTACTGATGGTGGCTAACTCTTCTGACAATGAGAGTGTAGTATCTCTGTACCACGACTTCTAATAAAACCCCTTACCTTAATGCAGGGGTTCTTAACATGGAAAGACATGTAGCCCGGAGGCCTGTTTCTAAAGAGATGCCACGCAGTGCCCACGTCCACATTCTTAAGCTTCAGGTGGCAGCTGCTGGGCACGGGTGTAAAAGAGAGGGGAGACTTTTAGGCCGGGCGTGGTGGCTCACGCCTGTAATCCCAGCTCTTTGGCAGGCTGAGGTGGGTGGATCACCTGAGGTCAGGAGTTCGAGGCTAGCTTGGCCAATGTGGTGAAATCTCGTCTCTACTAAAAATACAAAAATTAGACGGGCCTGGTGGCAAGCGCCTGTAATTCCAGCTACTCGGGAGGCTGAGGCAGGAGAATCGCTTGAACCCAGGAGGCAGAGGTTGCAGTGAGCTAAGACTATGCTATTGCACTCCAGCCTGGGCAACAAGAGCAAGACTCTGTCTCAAAAAAAAAAAAAAAAAAGAGGGGAGACTTTTAGTACCAACCCGTGTGGCTCTGATTTTCCTCTTCTTCTAAAACCCATTAAGATGCAGTGGTTAAATCTTACGTTCCTTGAGTCCTAGCAGGAAGCTACTGAAGTCCTCTGCTTTATAGGGCACAAGCTGGATGTTCTTCCCCCAGAATGGGATTCACTATCCTCTAAAATTCTGTGGATAGCCAAAGGGTTCAGAGTAACCTGAATCTCCTTCTTACTTTAGGTAGGATCCAGTAGAGTCTTTCAAATTAATAGTAATTTCCCCCCAAACCATCATCTACCTGAATAATACAGGGTAATGCTCTGAGACTGTAAGCACCACTCTATGTCTGATAATATCTGGATTCATTTTGGGAAATACTTGTGATCTCTTGTAATTTTTTTTTTTAAACTCCCTCTCCCCCGCTTCCTTTCCAGTGCTGTTTCCTGCCATTTCATTATTTTTATTTTTAAATCTGTTTTTAGAGAACATAATAGTCCCACCTTCTTGCTAGATTTTTAAAAATTCTATTTTCAAACATTTCCTTATTTTCACTGAGTAATCTACAAATATAGATCTCTCCATTCATTATACTCATTCTCATGTTTATATTAATATTTCATCCATTTGTTTTCAATCCTTCACTCCCCTTTTCTAGTGATAGCACATTCCTACTTTTTATTGCAGTTTGTTTGTGTGTGTGTGTGTGTGAGAGACAGGGTCTCACTCTTTCATCCAGCCTGGAGTGCAGTGGCGCGATCATGGCTCACTGCAGCCTTGACCTCCCCAGGCTCAGGTGATCCTCCCACCTCAGCCTCCTGAGTAGCTCGGACTACAGGCGTGTGCCACCACGCCTGCCTGATTTTTATATTTTTTGTAGAGATGGGGCCTTGCTACGCTGGCCAGGCTGATATCAAACTCCTGGGCTCAAGTAATCCAACTGCCTCAGCCTCCCTAAATGATAGGATTACAGGTATGAGCCACTGCACCCAGCTTTCTTGCAGTTCGAATTGTATTTCTGCTTCTTTTGCTTATTTATCTAATTATTTATTTCTTATTTCTATCTTTCTTATTTCTGAATAACCTCAGTTGACTTGTGCTTTCTTCTCAACTGTAATCAGCCCCTAGAGGCTTGAAAAAATGGCCTGTTTTAGGTACATCTTCCTGATATACCCCCCAAAAAGTAATAATTCTAAAGGATAAAAGATAGCTCTAGGCCAGGCGCAGTGGTTCATGCCTGTAATCCCAGCACTTTGGGAGGCCGAGGGGGGCGGATCACAAGGTCAGGAGTTCGAGACCATCCTGGCCAACATGGTGAACCCCGTCTCTACTAAAAATACAAAAATTAGCAGGGCGTGGTGGTGGGCGCCTATAGTCCCAGCTACTCGGGAGGCTGAGGCAGGAGAATCCCTTGAACCCGGCAGGCGGAGGTTGCAGTGAGCCGAGACCACGCCATTGCACTGCAGCCTGGGAGACAGAGCGAGACTCCGTCTCAAAAAAAAAAAAAAAAAAAAAAAAAAAGAAAAAAAAAAGAACTCTATTTTACTGGTAATATGTATTATTCTTGGCAGGAGTTATGCTTTGGTATTCCACCATTCTTGCACAAAGTTTAGTATGTATCTTTTAAAGTCATTCTTGTGCCCTCAACCAGCCAGTCTCCAGGACAGGGCTTGAGTCTCATGTCTCAGGTGCCCACGGGGGAGCTGGCCACTGGAGGACCAGACAGGGACGCAAGGTGTCAAAGGGAACTGACTAGATCTCCCTCTGGAGAAGATGGGAGCTTGGTAACGACTGCCAGGGACAATGCATTGTGGAGAAATCATCTTGTTAAAAAGTATCTTAAGTTTCCATAGAGACAGAATTATCTCTGGCGAGCTATTGCCTTTTGGTGCTTGCATAGTGAGACCATCATTTGGAGAGCTATTTAAAGTCAAGCAACCCCTTGCCGAATGAGTCTTCGCAGCAGGCTAAATAAAAGCAATGATGCTTTTAAAAGTATATGGGGAGAATTAGATAGCTGCCTTGCTAATCTTGGGCACTAAAAAGCACATCAGAGGTTCAGCACTGGTATTCTTGTCAAGTCAAAAGGCTATACTTTGGCAAGGAAGGAGGAGACAGAGAGAAGAAGATTCCTTCTGAAAGTGACAGTCCATGAGCATATGAACTAGTTACTGCAGTACATGATCTGACTGTACTAAAGCTGAATGCTGTGGAGAACTATTCTTATTCCCATAGTAGACCGTTTTTCTGCCTGCCCAGCATCCAAGCCCCTTTCTTCTGGTGACAGCACTTCAGTTTTCCTTTGGGCAGGTGACCTAATTCAGACCAACGAGAGTGAGGCTCAGGCTCAGGCCCAGGCCACACACAACCATGAAGAAAGGTGTGTGTTCTTTGTGGTGGAGTTATTAGGAAGTGAAATGTAAACTCAGAGCTGGTGGTGGCCTTTTTGGGGAGGAGATGGCCTGAGAATGATTCTAAGGTAGAAGAAAGCAGAGTTAACAGATGAATATACCTAAGTTTCTGGTGTCATCATTTGAACACCTGGGTGCAACTCTATCTGAATTTTTCAGTTATATAAGCTAATAATTTTTTTTTTTACGTGTAATAATGTTTGAGTTGAACGTCTCACATGTGAGACCAGGGTCTTTCCTGGTCAGAATGGTCAAGTAGAACCTTCAAAAAGGAGAAGGTTTTCCTGTTGAGGGGGAGTGGAAGTCTGTGGTAGGGTTCACTGTGAGACAGGGCAGACTTCAATGCAAATGGCTGGTGAAAAGAGGTACTTGAGGAACCGAAGACTGTGGTTAACAGTCACTGTCTTAACCCCCACTCCAGATCGCACTTCCTTCAGGAGTGAGCAGCTCCCATCTCTTCACCTTCCTATTCTCTGGACTCAGCAACTTCATGATCACAGTGTTTTGGGATATGAGCAACAAATGCTCAATTTACAGGACTGTTGTCTTCATAAGTAAAGTTGGAGTTGAAGAAGAAAGATTTATAAGCCATGTGAAGTACTGGTGATCATTTGCTCTAAAAGCTTTCTCAATTAGGACAGGACAGCAACTAGTTGCTCCCAAAGTGTCTACGTGCCCCATTGGGGATATTATCCACAATTATCTGGTCCAGTGAGCATTGTTTCTGATTTCCACTGTGTGATTTAAGAATCTAGTAATCCATTGCTTGCCTTTGTCAAAAGGATCTGCTCCCAAAGCCTCTATTTGGTACCTGGAGCTGGATTTGAGAAGCAGATGAGGGGGATACCTTACTGATTTCATAGAGAGTGGAGACCTTTGTCAGGGCCCTTATTACGGGTAACAGATTGCCCTTAGCTCTGAAAAGCTACAGTTACCCAGCGTACATGACAGCTGTTTGTCTGAAAGGAAACAAGGACCTATTGGAAAGCAGCACAGGTGTTAAAAGGGTGGCTGAAGATAAGTCGCCCCCATCTACGTTCTTCCTATTCCTCATAAGGAATTCCCTTCTAAAGCAGCTTTTTAGAGATAAAGGGGGACAGACATACATGAAGGCAAGGAGGAACACCTATTTAGTGAGATTCAGATGTTTAAACTCTTTACCATTGAACAGTGGTGATGGGGCAAACTTGACGGGGTGAAGTAAAATAAATTTTGCAGGGGAAGGAAGATGCTTGGCCTAAGAAGATATTTCAAGATCTCCCTATATGATGGATGTCTCTTTTAAAATTTTTTGATACTTCTTTAGTTCCGGGAATGGTACGCAACTTCCTTTGCTCTTCTTTTACAAACACTGTGTTCTACAAAATTGCTCAAACTATAGTAGCTATTTATTGGGAGTGTTCAATTGCTGACTAGGGCCACATTGGGCTCTTCACCCTCTCCTCCTCCTGAGTTCCTTAATATGCTAAATCAAGTTACTTAGCTACTCTCTGGATAAGTCACCATTTTGATAACTAAACTTAGACAATGGATCTATAACACTACAATCAGTCACCATATATCCTAGAATTTCAGTCTAATAAAATCCAGTCTAGTCCTAAATAAGGAGTGGATTTATAGTTCCTAAACATTCTGTTCGACTGTCTTCATATAATTGACATCCTTCATTGCCATCTTTCGTGTTTTGATTTGGGGTTTGGTGTGGAAAATACCATCTTTATACATGTAGCTTATGCTTAAGTTCAAAGAACCCGCTGGCTTAGGTTATAAAGCATCCAGGTTACAATCTCAGGGCATAAGAAGGCTGGCACTGAGATTCCTTCTTAAAAGATCAGCAAAATTAGGTTAGAGGCAGGAATACAAATTATGTGAGATAAGCAGAGAATCCACAGGAGGTCTTCTGTCAGCTCAGATTTCCCCTCCGAGAGGGGAGCCTAGAGATAGCATAGTTTCATGCTAATCAGAATAAACAAAGGGGAATGAGGCCAATTCACAGTTGATAAATTTTGAGGAAAAGGAAAAACCTCTTTAGCTGATAATACCACTAAAGAGTTGATTAGCCCCTAAATTACTCGGCAGTGTCTCTGCAGACTTGGTCCTGCAGCCCGCTTCCCTCTGAGAGACTCTGTAAACTCCTCAGTGCAATCTTCTCTTAGAAGCAAAATCTGAACTATATGATCAAGGAGAAAGAGAAGCTCTCCTTCCTCCCTAGGCAATAGCAACATTGGAGTAGGGGGTTCTTTGGGGGAAAGTAACGAAGAGAGGAGCCATCTGTACTGTGGTTTTGAGAGGATTAATGCTGCCATGTCTATAAAGCACACAGTTAAGAGGAGTCAGAGGCAACAAGGTATTATTAAGCAGGAAAAGCTGTGAAGGCTACGGGCCACCTAAATCTATCCGGAGCAGGAAGGAAAGGCTTTAGCTCAGAATTTGTGGCTCAAGTTTCTTGACTGTCCAAGTTAAGAGAAAACAGTGAACAGTCTGCTAGAAACTAAAGGAGAGAATTGCAGCACCTTGTCGGAAGGATAAGACACAAGTAACATTTGCTTTGAGAATGACTGTCGGCCCAGGCTTGCTTGTATGTGTGTCTCTGTGTGTGTGTGTGAGTGTGTGTGTTTTGGGTTGGAAGGGAGGTTGAGGGGTTGGTTCTGGTCGCTCTGTTTCCTACAGAATAGTAGTTGAGGCCCTCTATAGGTATAGAAAGGCAAAGGCTATTCAATCTTCTCTGACAACCTTCTATGAAGTTCACTTAGTCAAGATGAGCACTTTTGAAAGCAAAGAAGGGAAACTGGATAATAATAGCTGCTACTTAGAGCAGGCTCTGTGCCTGGCAATATGCTACACACTTCACATGCATCTTCTCACTTAATCCTTTCAAAAACTCTTTTATTCCTATTTTATAGATGCGGCAATTGAGGTTAAAGTGATTACAGATTTTGTCTGAGGTCACATGATTACTACATGGTTCAGTGAAGATGTGTCTGCTCCAAAACCTACACTCTAGCCAGTGCTTTATCATCCATGTGCACAGTCTCAAAAAGAGCAGAGAGAATGGTTGGGGCTGGTGGAGTGGCAGGGAAACACAACCTAACACACGTGGCAAGTGTCCACAGAGGCCCGGATAGGAACTACAGCCCTCCTAAAAATGCAGCGCTAAAGCTATGTCAAAACTGAACAGCTGGCTGGGTGCGGTGGCTCACGCCTGTAATCCCAGCACTTTGGAGGCCGAGGTGGGCGGATCACCTGAGGTCGGGAGTTTGGGACCAGCCTGACCAACATGGAGAAACCCTGTCTCTCCTAAAAATACAAAATTAGCCAGGTGTGGTGGCACATGCCTGTAATCCCAGCTACTCGGGAGGCTGAGGCAGGAGAATCACTTGAACCCGGGAGGTGGAGGCTGCGGTGAGCTGAGATCGTGCCATTGCACTCCAGCCTGGGCAACAAGAGCGAAACTCTATCTCAAAAAACAAAAAACAAAACAAAACAGCTATCAGGGCCAACTATTCCATCACTGGAGAGGAAATCACCAACTCTCACTCTATTCCCTGAAATTAAAATACAGTACATGGAGGCTGAGGTCAACGGTGAAAATAATTATTCTTAACCAAGGGCTTCAACTGGGTGGAATCTCACCATCTTTTTAACCGAGTATCAAGTTAAGGATAAAACGTCACTAGAGTACAGCATCCAGGGGACTGTTCTCTGTTACTGTTTTGTTTTTTTCCATCCATGCCTTTCAACAGAAGAGGCTGGAAAATTCTTTGCATCTTTTGGAATGTCAGTTATTAAAATACTGCTTTGGAGCTCCCAATTCACAGAGCCCTAAATACTGTGGTTGAGGAGAAGAGTCACCTGGGGACCAGGAAAAGGAATGGAGAACAATGGACATTATGCAGTAGCTTGGTTACCTTGCCTTTTCCCTGAATGATAATAATCTTGCATTTGTTTCAGGAAAAATGGAGAGCAAAATCATTCTATCAGCACTCATACATTTTTCAATCAATCTAATCGATGGGGATCAGGTTTTTTTTTTTTTTTTTTTTTTTTGGCAACAGATATCTATGTACTCACTGTCACTTACGAACCTGTGCTCTGGCACAGACTCGTGTTCATGCTCAGTATTTCTTACCTCCTTCATTGTCCTTGCTATCTGTGCAAAGAGTCTCCATGGCTACGTCACAGCCTGCTCCTCTCCATCCAGGCTGGCACACACAATGCCAGCCATTTTGGTCCAGGGTACATCTTCCATTGCTGTTGCACAGACCAGGACAACCCTCTGTCGAGACAAAGAAGGAAAACACCAGTGATTTGAGTATTGAGTTTTTGCACCTAAAATAAACAGATAAGGGACACTTAGTGGGAACAGGCCTTTATAAACAGCACAAATACTGTAATTGCACATGGATAGAAACAGCAACGTTATCTATGGAATCTAATTCTTATCCAAGTGGCATCTTTGATTGGCCTGACCCTTGAGACACCACTTACCTGTGCAGGACAGAAATATATGCAACGATCCACTAAATAGCTGCAGGCCAGACAAAATTAACTTAAATTTTTTCCCTTTAGCCAAGCAACAAGGTATATTGTACGGTGTGGAAAAGCCATCTCAACAAAATAATTTCAGAATCCCTAGTCTAGATTTGTAATCTGTTTTAAACATTACTGGTCATTTATCAAGACATGCCTTCTTAAAGCACCTTGTTGCTTAAAAAAATTCCCTCAAACTCCAAAAGCATGAAAGTGGGTATGAGGATATGAATGATGTCAAAAAGAGAACATTAATTTTATCTGGCCTCGGAGTTGCCGTACATTCATGTGAAATTACAGTGCATTAAATAATTGCACAAAGTATAGGCCAGGATTAATGACTATACTTTATGCCAAGAGTACATTCCTTGTCACAGAATAAGCAAAGCCCAGGAAATAGTGAAGCAGCTTAGCATCTATTCTAACAAACATTAGGATTCAGGCTGCATACGGATGGGACAGGACCGACAGGATTTCCAACTAAATGTAATAGCTGTGCATATTGGATTACTTAGGACGGACAAAATGAAATACCATAAGGACCACAATAAAACATTGATAGACTGAACAAAAACACGGTAGTGACGTGCTTCAAGACAGATAGCGAAGAGTGATATTTTGTGACAATCTCCCTAAGGCTTTTATGCTGTTACCTTTATATCCTATCTTGTCTGCTTTTATGGGCAAGGAGGGAAAATTTGGGAAACAATTAAAATAATTTAATATATCCAAAATCTATAATTGTTTCAGTCTAACATGACATTTAAAAAAAACAATTTTTGCCACTTCCTACTGATGATATCTGGCATGCAGCCAATGTGATCTGTTTATGAGGATGACACTTGGGTAGATTCTGGTGTCCTTGTTTATGAGTGTGATATGACACTGACAGAAGCAAGGAGAGAAATGCTCTAAAATTCTAAGAATAACTGGCTATTCATCAGATTTCTGTGGACAGAGCTATTTATAATTTGGTATAAAACATATTAATAAAAATACTTGCTATAGCAATTGGGGTTTGTTTTACAGCTTCTTATCATTTGAATGCTACTATTGCTCCGGTGACAAAATTTCAGGGAACAATCTGTTTTTAAAGATGTTTAAGTCTGTGTTAGAAGAATTATTCATATATTGGTGTCCCCTCCTCCACTGTGGAACTTGAAAAGAAAATATCGCCAAGAGACATTCTGTCTCTTAAGATTAGAGTTAACAGAAAGAAGACTATTTCGACTGTCTCTCATGGAAGAGTACAATGAAATTACACTTATGGATACCATCAGGTCAGGAAGAGATTAATTTTGCTGCTTCTTTTCGCTCAGACAATTACCGTCTGTATTTATGGATTATTCAATAAATAAAAGGTGAATCTTCCTTATGGATGTGTTTTTTTTTTTTTTTTTTTAATGAAAACGAAAGGTTGAATTGCCCCACTGACAAGGAGGTGCGGCAGCTGACTGACTGCACGTAGGAGTTGGTATATGAAAGCCTGGATATTGCCATGAATATTTTCATATTCTAATGAAAAGCACAAACAAGGAATAGAAAGTAGGTAATCTGAGGAGAAAGGGAAGGGGAATTTTCTCTTCTGAAAAAACTTTTTCCATCTATTTCTACGATAACTGAAGATGTGAGAATCTGCTGTTTTCTGCTGAACAAGGTTATCAGTTCTTTTTTTAATAGACTGTACAGTATTTATAGGTTTTAAAAAATAACAAAACACAAATTGTGATACCACATATATTTTGAAACATTTAGGAAAAAAACCAAAGAAGCTTCCATATGAAATAAACGAAATTTCTCTCAACATGTTAACCAGGATCTTCTTTAGATTGACAATTTCTTATTCTGTGATAAGAGTATTTGTGATTCTTTAGCTTAGAATTTAAAGCTCATTAAGCTGAATTGCCAACAGTGAAGATCTTAAAAAAAAGAAAAGAAAGAAAAAAACCTCCAAAACCAAAAAACAGCAAATGTACCATTATCTTCAGTTTCTGGTTCTAGAGAAAACTAACGCTTTTACAAAGAATGAAATCTGTGATAACCCAAAATTATAAAAATGAGACACAGACACTTAAGTCTCAATACTTTAAATCCAAGGCATTTTACATAATTTAACTCTGATTTATAATTTACAAAAATATGCATGGAAAAGTCTATTGTCAAACCTAGTGATATACAGTTATATAGAGATATATATGTAGATATGTCAACAAAGAGCGAGTATACAGTACCTTTAACTATCTTATCCAAATAGTGAGCTTGGGAAATTAAAAAGGAAAAAAGAACAGACAGACATTTCAGAAGTGTCACATGGGACAAGAAAATTTTCAGAATCTACATGCAAATTGAGTAGCTTCAGCTGACATAAGACTCACATCACATGACAGAGATGCACTTCGTATCTCCTAAAAATCCAGTCTATTCACATTTTTAGCAAATGTAGTCATGATTCCAGCAAATACTCAGCATTTTCAACTCACTGAACTAACACTACTTTTCACAGATTATTTGGAATGCACTCCACTCTCGTCATTTCAACATTCTCCTTTATAATAGCTGAGCAGAACAAATGGAATCAATTCTTTATTCTTAAAGAACTTTGGAAATTTACAACTATGAGATCTACAAATAATGAAACTTTAAAAGTTAATAAATAAGCAAAAAGAAGAAAAAGAAATGGAGACTGTTGAGCAAATGTAATATTTTGATGTTATATTTGGAAAAGGCACATGTAAGTTCTTTAGAAAACGATTACCCAGTATCTCTTGACTGCAAGCCAGATAGACAATGATTTATCGCATATATAGCCCATTAGGAAACAGGGACTATTCTAAGATCCTGTTTATTTTCAGAAACCTACTGGAAAAGGCTCTTTTTCTCACAAAAGGTGTGTAGGAACAGTCAGGACTAAGACTGAATCTTTTTCTGTACCTGTACCTGCCCCTGTCCACTTGTTTCATGAGGCTACAATTAGGCTATGCCTTTCCCCTGGAAATGAGACATAAATGCCTCCTTCAATGTGGAGACCTAATAAATCTTAATCAGCCTCAAATCTCCCGCCTTGTCAAAATTCATACATCTTTAATGATCTAAAATTGCTTTTCAAAGATGCTTTTGTTGATTATTTTTCACTGCTGACATATGCAAGTGGTAGGAGGACTCCTAACAGAATGACTGAAACTGTAACCCTCAGTTGGGCCACTCAGGTGTGGTGGTTCTGTCATGTGTGTAAACAAAACAGTACATGGTTTTGATACATCTGTACTGTGTATGTAAAAGGATTCTTCACTTTGCCACAGGATTCTATTAGAGGCGTTTGAATGGCATTTTAAAATAAGCATGTTTACAGCTAATTGATAAGATGATGCAAGGAAAATTACAGTGAAGAACATATGGTGTTAGGTGCTACTCTGAAATTATAATAATAAAAATAATTTACCTTTTAAACATTAAAATAAAAATGTATTACTGCATAACATTCATATAATTTCTTTATAATTCCTTCTCCATGCTATATACTTTACATGCCATATAAACTAGTAGAACCCTGTAACAGCTTAATTGATGATTTGAACATAAAGAAAGTGCCATCGAAACTTCTGGAGTTTCTGATTCTCATAGGGTAGTATTTCTACAGAAATTCTTAGTTTACAAAAATTAATAACGCTGATCACTGTTAGAGAGTAAACCTTTTGCTTTTACGTTAGGCCTGCACAACCAAAATAAATAACACAACTTAATTCTGATCTGGATTAGCAGTTTTAAGGGTGGACAAAATTATTTCTAATCAGCCAATCAGATTATTTTTGCCAACAGAATCAATTATGCAAAGCTGTAGATTGATTTACAGGTAAAGGTAGGTCTTTGGGTCACCAGAACATCAGAAGTAGAAAGCAAAGTAGAAAATACATTTAAAATATATAGCCGGTCAAAATTAACATAATACTTAAAATATTTGCAACTCTTAACACAAGTTTTGCAAAAGGCTAAAAACCAACCGTAAGAAAAATATCTGTACTGAGAAAGATACCACGATTCTTCATTTGCATTTTATATCATAGAGAACTGTGAGCCTGAGAGCTTAAAACTAAGAGCAAAAGAAGGAAGAACAACAAGAAATATTTTGGTATGGAAGAAAAAACTTTCTGAAATACCACAAAAACCTGGTTCTAAATAATGAAGAAGTTAAAAGGAGATGTCAATATATGAGGTTCAAATAATTATTAAAAGTAATAATTGCAACAATATAAACATCATTATATAAACCACAATAGGAAATAAAAAAATGCAGACATTTTGTAAGAAGCCATTAGAAATAATAATCATAAAAACAATTCAGCATATTTAAAAATTAATGTACCTAACAATTGCTGAAATGCATATTAGGTTGCAAAAAATTACTTTGAAAACTAACGAGTATGTTCTGACACTAGAGAAAAGTCATTCCTTCAATCTACTAAGAAGTTGAAATTTGTTTTATACGATAAAACTCTTACAAAAATGGGTGCTAGACATATAAAATGGGAACCATTAAAAAAACTATTTTCCAGAGCTGGATGCGGTGGCTTATGCTTGTAATCTTTGCACTTTGGGAGGCTGAGGCAGGAGGATCACTTGAGGTCAGGAGTTCGAGACCATCCTGGCCAACATGGTGAAACCCCGACTCTACCAAAAATACAAAAATTAGCGGGGTGTGGTGGTGCGTGCCTGTAGTCCCAGCTACTTGGGAGGCTGAGGCAGGAGAATTGCTTGAACCTGTTAGGCAGAGGTTGCAGTGAGGTGAGATTGCACTACTGCACTCCAGCCTGGGAAACAAAGTGAGACTCTGTCTCAAAATAAAAAACCACAAAAAACAAAAAAAAACCCACTGCTTTCTAGTAAAATGTTGCAGTCATAAAATACTTTCCCTGGAGTTTCAATTATTTACCTTGGAAGAACACCCACGTGGGACACACGGCATGAGTAGGACCATATTTCCTGTGAGATGGCAAGTCTTACTCTTTTCTGGGTCTCACATCTTTTTTTTTTTTTTTTTGAGACGGAGTCTCGCTCTGTCGCCCAGGCTGGAGTACAGTGGCGCGATCTCCGCTCACTGCAAGCTCCGCCTCCCGGGTTCACGCCATTCTCCTGCCTCAGCCTCCTGAGTAGCTGGGACTACAGGCGCCCGCCACCACACCTGGCTAATTTTTGTATTTTTAGTAGAGGTGGGGTTTCACCGTGTTAGCCAGGATGGTCTCGATCTCCTGACCTCATGATCCACCCTCCTCGGCCTCCCAAAGTGCTGGGATTACAGGCGTGAGCCACCACGCCCCGCCAGGTCTCAGATCTTTGAGTAAACTGGTGAAAGTTTTGGGTTCTCTTCCCAGAAAAATTCACATATGTTCACAAACACAAAATGCCGCCTTGATTTTAGCTCTTCCATGAGCCCTGGCTCTGTAATGTACAGATTATGAACACCTGGCTGATGTATTAATGATTCCTAAATTTCTAGCTCTGGCCCAGGCCTCTATCTCGTAGCTCTGACCAGGTTCAGAATGATCCAGGGACACACACGAAGCACTTTGCCGCCAGCCCTGCTCGCTGTAGGTAATAATAAAGGCTTCCTTTGTGCCAAATACTGTTCTAAGTGCATATATTATTCTCTCATTTCATCTTCACCACAACCCTATGATGTAATAACAGTTGAGACAGTAAATACAGATGAGGAAACAGAGGAGAGGAGTGATTAACTTGGGCAAGGTAACACCTTGGCAACCTAGGCTGCCTGGCTCCAGAGCTTGCTCTAAACCACTCTATCACAATGTCGTCTCTTGGAGATTTAGAAAAAAAAAGAAAAAAAAAAAGGTGTTTTTTCCCCCCAGTAGAAAAAACTGATGAAAGGAGCTCAGAACCAGACACTTCGTTCTCCAAAGCCACCAGGCAGTTCCACCTTCTTTTACATGGCTTCTACATGGATTCCGTAGGAAAGCACAAGGCAGATCTACAGATTACTCTAAATGCCAAGGCTAATTCTTGGCCTTAACTGTTTTTCAAAATACATTCAGATACACAGCCATCCCTGGAACATAACAAATGAGGCAAGTATTCGGGTTTCAAGCCTATGACCTGCGGGTCCTTGGTCTACTTGCTGGTACAGGTAGGCAAAGACTCATGGAAGTTTTGAATGTGAAAGACAAATGTGGCTCATCGAAAATGTTTATATTATATATTTAGTCCATAAATTTTCAATATCAACAAAGCAAATGACTACTCCTGTATTCTTTTCACACATCTCCCCTCTAGGTGCTTCTTTTTAAGAATTCCTTTTTTTTGTAAAGCCCCTAATTGCCATATTTCCTCCTTTGTATTTTGGGAAAGATAGGTGGAGGAGGACACAAGATAATTTGCTCTTTTCTGCACCCCTTAGTGATGGACCTGGACTCTCAGGTCTCTGAGGATGGGCCTCACTCATATATAGTATTGTATGCTTCATTCCTCCCATACAGATCAGGAAGGAATAGCATCTTTTTGGAATTCTATCTTCATGCTGTTGCCTCATCTGCTTATCTATCAACATTCTGGGCGCCCCTCCATCTCTTCTGTTATCTTATTCTTCCTTTTTCTTCCCTCTACCCCAGCACCTCTCTTGGATAAGGTCTAGGAGTATGCACATCAAAGTGCATGTAACAGGAAAAGAGAACAATCAAGAATTGGCCGTGATGAATTCACTTCTACTAACAGATGCCATGAAAATACTAGACTTTAATGACCTTTCTAGGCATAGGTGACTTAATGTGTAAATCGTCCCCATTAGAGAGGTAAACTCTAGGCCACGTAAATCACTGCATTCCCACTGCCTGGCTCATAGCAGAGTCTTTTTGTTTTTTTTTTTTTGGATACAGGGTCTCACTCTGTCACCCAGGCTGGAGTGCGCTGGTGCAATCACAGCTTGGCTCACTGCAGCCTCAACTTCCCGGGCTTGGGTGATCCTCCCACCTCGGCCTCCCAAGTAGCTGGGACTACAGGCGCACCCCAACCATACCTGGCTAATTTTTGTAGAGACGGAGTTTCACCCTGTTGCTCAGGCTTGTCTTGAACTCCTGACCTAAGGTGATCCAACTGCCTCAGCCTCCCAACTGCTAGGATTACGGGCATGAGTCACTGTGCCTGGCTAAAGCAGAGTGTTAATATCTGCTTTATATTAAAGCAGATAAAATGACCATATAAAATGACCAAATGTACTTTTGGTGGCCTTAGTATGTCCTCTATGTGTCTGCAGCTTTTGAAGAAATTCTATAAGTAATACAGAGGCCATCTTTTGAGAAAGAAGCAAAAGTGAGCAAAACCTTATTTACAACATCCTTCCCCTGTCCTTCACCCATCTGTTCCTCTCCCCTCCCATGTATTCTAACTATGGACAGTGGTATTCGCAATAACTACCATTTATTATGTGCTGAAAACTCCTAAGCATTTAATGTGAATTAACCGGTTTAATTTTCACCACCCTGTGGGGTAACAGGTACATTATTATCTTCCCTTATTTCACAAATGAGGCAACTGAGGCACAAGAAATTAGAGAAGTTTCCTAAGATCAAAATGCTAGCAGTGGCAAAGACAAAGTTCCAACCAGGCAGTCTGACACCAAAATCCATATTCTAAATAAACGTTATAGTTACAACTCAGAAGAACCAGAACTGTGTACCTGTGTAAGGCGAACTAGAAGCATCATCTGTTTATAGATTTCCCAAGGAATTTACTGGAATAAAAAAAATCAGACTAAACAACGTGGAAATCCTTAGTTCCAACACTGACAGTTAAAGGAAATAAGCTTAAAACCCGAATGAATTTAAAATGTTTATCTGATGACACCGCTTCATAAATGACAGTACCTTATATAAACTAAAGAAAGCTTTAATGCTGTCATCTGTTCTAAAAAATCCGAAGTTTGGAAAACCAGTGGGCAAGATAGTAGAACTAGGGATAAAACCAGGAAAAATAAAAACAAGTAAGTTGAAAAAACCAGAAACCAAAAAGCCTCAAAGACCAGAAGCAGTTGAATGGATGTACAAATGTTGGACGAGAAATATCTGCTGAGTAGTAGTTCCCAAGAAGGCAGCTCATTTAAAAATGAGGTCTAAGGAGTATATGTTCCTGTCCGGCTGAGACATGGAACAAGGTTAATTCCAAGTTTGCTTCCTTTTGCCATCAGGCTGACTCTCATAAACACAGAGAAGCAACAAAGGCAAACCAAGCGGGTTATATAGACGTCAGGTAGCTCACAAGGGAAGGTCAAGTCGGTTTCACTGTATATAAGCAGTTGCTGATGTGTATGGCTATGAACAACTCACATTGTTTCCGCTGTCAACAATGCGCTTGGTGGAGGCATATTAAATAGTACCGTATAATATTTTCACCGGGCTACTGGCTTGAATCCTCGGTATAGTGTAGACATCAGATACGTACATCATAAAATACAGACATATTCTTCACTATGATAATTACTGTGAAGTCCTTGGAGTAGAGGGCAGATTTTTAGTTAGCATTGAGCATTTCATAATACTTCCGAACACGGACTTAAAAAATGACTCACATTAGTACCTCATTAAAGTTGTAAGTAGGTATCATTCTCAGATTAGTCAAGTACCAATTCCTGCAGGATGACAGAAAAGCTACAGTCTACAAATACGTACATATTAAATCCACTTATTCCAATCAGCAACTGTTTAAATCAGCGTGCAAGGTGCACACCCATTGATTTGATGTTCCTTAACTGCTGCTCACTGCAATGTTTTATTACTGATTACCATACCATAAAGGATTATGACAGTGACATAATTTTAAACACCATAAAACAATTACATATTCTTAAGAGTTTACTCAAGACTCCTTAAAATATGTTCTCTTTCACCACAGAATTATCAGATTATGGACAAACATCAAAAAAATTCTTTCCTATTTAGGAAAGTCAATTAATTTGCATTTTACCAACTAGTAAGTGAGGTGGTGTCAGCAAAAAAAAAAAAAAAAAAAAGTTTGTGTGTATGCATGTGTGCACACGTGCTTTAAAGGGATCTGCTCCCCTACAATTGGCAATACTTTTTCAAAAATTTGCTTCAAATAAACTGCTTTTGAAAGTTTACATATTTTATTCTTTTTACAGTTTGGAAACTTGGTGTAAAAATTATCTGAATAACTACATTGCCTCTTACATGCACCTACCCAAGCAAAATACCATACTTCAACTTGGAACGGTATTTATACCAAGGCATTCCAAACGAGAGAAATAATATTTTTCCTGATTTAAGTCAGCCCAGAAAAATCCAGATTCTATGGAAGAGCTGCTTTGAGATAAATCACATTTTATAAAGTCAGCACTGCTGAAAGAGTGCCTTTATAAGCTGCAGAGCTTTGTAGAGATGACTGGTAGAACAGAATTTGGTATTTTCCTTCAATTTAGGATTTCATGCCTGACCATGGACTACATACAC
Organism: Homo sapiens; assembly: GCF_000001405.40. Taxonomy (NCBI): domain Eukaryota; kingdom Metazoa; phylum Chordata; class Mammalia; order Primates; family Hominidae; genus Homo; species Homo sapiens. Next base: position 182,704,365 of record NC_000004.12, on the reverse strand, counting down.
ATAATGGAAGTAACAGTGGAACACTCAAGGTGCAGAAGGCAGGCTCACTGATGTTGGGATGTGCATAGCCTATGCAAAGAGATGCCTTGTGTGGTGTGTGATGTATGAGTTTTGTGGTAGCCTTTGCATGTGGGATGATTTCATCCACTGAACCATAAACATACACGTGTTAGTAACACATCTCCCTTATTTTTTATTCCTTGTGTGAGTTTATTGAATGACACAAGCAAAAAACACATTTTAGGATTTCCTAGATTAAAAAAAAAAGGTATATTTTAGTACTCCAATTTGGTAATGAAACTAGTCAGAGACAGCTCTTAACATTAATTAAAAAAAACTATAATACAATGTTTTATACTAGGTGAATATTTGGCTATTTAAGATTTAGGAAAAATGAAGTTGGTTATAACAGTGATTACAGTGGTGTCTGGATAGTGCTAATAAATCCAATCACAGGAAGCCAGAACAATCATCCAGAGATCTGGGCAATATCAATGGGTAGAATTTTTTGTCTGTAATTGCCACTTTTGTCTATTCACAACATTTAATATTTAAGAAAAATGTATAGACTAACACTTTTACGTATGAAAAATATAATGGGTCTTTCTCATGTCAGTTTTCTTGACCATAACTGGAAAATAATAAACAAAACTGAACAATCCTTTTAACTTACCTAGGATACATTATGATTTATTTTATGAAAATAGTAAACAAATGGCTGTTCTCAAAGGTGATTGATATAGAAAGTAATTTTGCTGTATTTGTAGGTGAGAGTATGCAAAGATGTTTACCACTTGTATACACTTTTCTCAGCCTTTTCTCATGAGCTGATGCTGGTGACACAAATAATCTACCCACTTTCTATGAGAGTTTTCCATTGGCTAATGTCTACATAGATTCCAGCCCACTAACTTCCAGTGACAGGAAAACAGGACATTAATTTAAATTTTGAAAGGAAGTGGGTAGAGTGTTCAATAGCTCCCAATGTTCTTAAATCCTCCACAGTATAAACTGATTTTCCTCAAACCATTTTTTGTTGTTGTAATTGTTATTTTTTATTTTGGCAAATTACAAGTTCTGTTATCAGCTATCATTTAACATTTCCTGGATAAAAAAGTGTGGTACTTTACTAAGACATCACCGGCATTATTGTTTTTGCATCTGTTTCTATGACAATTCAATCTTTTGTGACAGGGACATATACATTAATTTATTTTCAACACATAAAAATTAATTTTCATCTATTCCACTATACACATACACACAAGAACAATTGAAAAATAATTCAGGAGGCAGGACAGTCTATCTAGGGCTTAAGAACATGGGCTTGGGCCAGGCGCGGTGGCTCACGCCTGTAATCCCAGCACTTTGGGAGGCTGAGGCGGGCAGATCACGAGGTCAGGAGATCGAGACCATCCTGGCTAACATGGTGAAACCCCGTCTCTACTAAAAATACAAAAAATTAGCCGGGCATGGTGGTGGGCGCCTGTAGTCCCAGCTATGTGGGAGGCTGAGGCAGGAGAATGGCTGCACCCGGGAGGTGGAGCTTGCAGTGAGCCGAGATCGCACCACTGCACTCCAGCCTGGGCGACAGAGCCAGACGCCGTCTCAAAAAAAGAAAAAAAAAAAAAAGAGCGTGGGCTTGGAAATCGCTCACATGGTTCTGATTTTGTTGCTTACTAGCTGTGCGTCCACAGAAAACTTACATAACCTTTTGGAGCCTCAGTTTCTTCAGTGGAGATTTTACTAGCTTCTACCTGAGAATTAAACATGATAATTAATGTAGAACAGTTTGCATTGGGCCTTAGCAAGTAGTAAATGCTCAATACATATTAAATATTATTGATTCATCTTATTAATAGGGAGAGTTTAAAAAGGACAAACTCATGAGGGAGCTGGTATTTTTTAAGTGACTATGAAGAAAAGAAAAAGTCTGACTTTGAGGAAAGAAATGTGGGATTGGCAATGATTTGGTTTCATAAGCCCCAGGGTCCATTCTGCTCCATACCAGCAGGAGAAGCCCCTTGTACTCTGCCTCCCCAAGCTGCCCTCCTTTTGCTGAGAACATTCTTTATATGAACTGGCCTGTTCCCAGGGTAGGGACAACTCCATTTTGGAATCAGGAAGTTTTCTTCCTTGTCTCTCACAAACCCTCTGCTGGTTAGATGCACAATTCCTGGTCAACATGGGGTTCAGCTTTTTGGAATAAAGAACACATCACAACTTGCCCTTATATATTTTCTGCTCCTTCACTAGTAATTTTATTTGAGCAAGATAAATTAATCTTTTCTAAAAAAGTGTAGATACTCACACAAATATTCATATAGTCCACTCAAATTCAGAAATACAAGTCATGTATTTACAGTAACTATTTGGAAACTAAGACATTCAAATATTATATTTTACATGCATATCCCTATCCTTACATTGTGAGTTTGCTAAAGATTTTTCATTATGAAATATACTGAGCAGACAGGATATATATTGCTAACTTTTCATAGCAGAATGGTGTAAGTTTATATGTCACCATTCTTAAATACAGGAGGAAGGCCACCCTTGGCTGAGACAATCCTTTCTAGTAGCTGTGGGTGGCACACAAACATGTAGTCATAATTGCATATCTAGACTTTTGCTATGCGGTTTGTTCTTACACTGGTCACAATTCAGAGGACAACGCTTGTAGGGGCAGGGAAGAGTTAGAGTAAGTGAAATAACCACATAGTTTCCTCTTTGCTTTTCATGGCAGCTACATGGTGATTTTTTTCCTTATCTATACCAATGTATTGCAGTGGATTACTCACATACATAATCACTACTGGGGACTCATCTTAAAAGTCAAGAGTTGGGGCCAGGTGCAGTGGCTCACGCCTGTAATCCCAGCATATTGGGAGGCCGAGGTGGGCGGATCACGAGGTCAGGAGCTTGAGACCATCCTGGCTAACACGAGGAAACCTCGTCTCTACTAAAAATACAAAAAATTAGCCAGGTGTGGTTGTGGGCGCCTGTAGTCCCAGCTACTCGGGAGGCTGAGGCAGGAGAATTGCTTGAACCCAGGAGGCGGAGCTTGCAGTGAGCCGAGATCGTGCCACTGCTCTCCAGCCTGGGCAACAGAGCAAGACTCTGTCTCAAAAAAAAAAAAAAAAAAAAAAAAAAAAGTCAAGAGTTGGACTGTATGTGAAAAGCATTATTTTACCCCTTATTGTTCAGGTGGGGACTCATTAATGAATACCTTATGTCATTAATTCACAATTAGATTGCTTATGTTTAACCACATGCTTTCTGTGGACACATATATAAATATTAATTTTGGACAGAATGGTAATCATTCAACACCATAACAATTAAGCAGCTGTAACCTGTCTCGTGCACTAAGTGGTGGAGCTGCAGGCGAGCTCTACAAGCAGATGGTCTTACCCACCCATGCTTAAAGTTAAAGACTTTTTTAAAAAGAGGTGTTGACAAATCAGAACAACTAGGCATAGTTTTGATGCAAATTGACCAATTTGCAATGTAGATTACCCTAAAAACTAATTTAGTATATAAGAAAAATTAAGCTCTGTTGTTAAAGGAAGACATTATATCACATTTAGATGTAGTAGATTCCCCACCAACATAATTATTTACTAATTTCATTCAACCAACAGAGTTTAATGGAAAAGCAGCTGGCAAAGTATTCAAATTTATGGACCTCCTTTGACTGCTCCTTAATTTATCCAAGGTACATGCCTGTTAAATCCCAGAAATGATAGTCATATTTCAGACAGCTGGGTTCCAGCTTCATTAAAGAGGCACTCAAAAAAGAGAGGGTCACTGAACTTATCATGAAGAGCAACAGACAAAAATTGGCTCCAGTCACACCATAATCTGCGAATATGTTAAATACGAAGGCTGCTGGAAGGCTGTGCTTCCGTATGGACAGACACCACAACCAAACTTGCACTTTAAAATAGGGAGGTGGGAGAGGGACTGTTTTAAAATGAAAAGAGGCTATTTTCAACTTGTCATATTCAAGAAATGGCAAAGATAAATTCTGCCATTGAAAAGATAACAACATACCATGTGGGAAGGGATAATCATACTTCTTAAAATTGTGGGCTTAATTTCTCTACCCTTACATTAAACTGAATGAAAAGTCCCAACATTTTATTTACCCCATTAGGTAATAAGGATCTCAGCATATAAGGAATATTACTTCAAAGCCTCATAAACACCTCACTAGCTGCCTTTCACTCTCCAGTTACCTGGCTTACTTTTGGGAAGCATGTGGCATCCTTATAATCTGGAACTCGAGAGAATCTTTCTCTTCCTTGCTGATATTGTGAAATAGCTGACAACATATTATTCTGCAGCTGGTTTCACTCTTAAATGCCTTGGATCTAAACTTTTCAATAAAAGGCTTCTGATGAACTTGGCAAGCAGAAGGAGCATTTTCTATCTTTATTTCTGGTTAAATTGTATATCCAGTCAACTGAGCTTTAAAACCTCCAATATACTCGGTTTCGGTGGTAATTTAGATCTTAGATGGTTTTTAAAAGATACAAATTAATGAGGTGTTCCAAATGGAAAAAAGATCCTCTAGTATATTAGTAAAGGAACAAAATGTCAAGTTTGTAATGAAACAGTATCATATGAATTTGACATATCACTTACTCGGCTTTTATTCAGATAACATGTCTCTCAATAAACTTTTTAAAAAACAACTTATATTGGCTTAACATGAGGCATGCGGTTTCAGAAAGAAAAATGGAAACCACAGGCATGAATACATGGCTATATTCATATTTTAAATTTCTGGCCTGGCATATAACTGTAATTAAAATTAATGGATTCAAAAATTTCCTTGAGATAATAATTATAATTTATAAATTGTTTCCCTAAGACACAGAGCCACTACACAGTAAACTGTTTTGAGACTTAAAAGAACTAGTTAGCAAACCATTAATTTCACAGTGGGAAACAAACACGAGGTCCTGGGAAAGGAAGGAATCGGGTTTGCCAAGCCTAAAGGAATCAGGCATATTTCAATGACATCTAACTTATCAAAAAACAATACAAATCCTCAAGTTGCTTATGTATTGCTCCCAGTTGAGAAAAATCACAACAGGTTTAACTCTCCATTCTTTCTGAAACAGCTGCTTCTAATGCCAGTGGGCCCGCCTTCCAGTGGGCCTTGTAGGAGAAAGCTTAATTTAGCAATAGCTATTGGGACTCAAGTTAGACCACAGGAGGTAGACCGGAAAGAAATTCCTGCACAAGTAAACACCACAGTATAGAATTCATTTATCATATGACCCTAAACAAGGACGTGAAGAGTATGTGAAGCGTATTTCTTTTCAAGAATTCTAACTTCTCATCCTCACAGCTATGTGTAAATCACTTCAGTGGAAAAACGTATGTTAAATCCAGATGTATTCACCCACCAAGCAATTATTTACACTCAGAATTGAGTCTCAGAAGGCCTCAAAAAATGTTCCTTTTCTAAAGTATGGAAAAAACACATCTAACGTTTCCCAAAACAACACACCTGTCCTAGAAATTTACCTCTCAGTAGCACTGGCACTGCCGTCTGATATGAAACCACGCAGCTCTAGCTGATGACTATGCTGCTGCCTGTCTTTTTCATGAGGATAAATTACGGCATGAAGGATAGGGTGGAGAAAGAGGGAACTCAAGGCCTGATGTCAATAGTGAGAGCTGTTTATCCCCACACTTACTCCCATTCTAAGGGACAGAAACCGAGGCCTTGGGAAATTCTTTAGTGGAAAATAAATCACCAACATGACTGGAGAACGTGTATCCACATGGCCCTCGGGACTGTGACTTTTCCTGACGGTTACACAGCAAGTCAGGTGCAGAAGTCAGTGAGGAGTCTCACCTACTTTTTTGAGGATGTAATCTGTAAACTGAGTTGCAGTTGTAATTCTAATGGGACTTTTGGAGACGTCATCGTATGACTCACACGGGAAGGTGAAGGAGATAAGGAAGGAGGGACACTACAAGGTTAAATCTGTAACACACTTCACCAGAGGTTGGTAGAAGAGTCCAAATTACTACCACCTTTGGGGCTTTATAGTATACAGATTGTAACAGTAGAAATGGAATGATTTCATAAACCCTTGGCAGGTAGTATTTAAGGCTAAACTATGATAGAAACACAGAGTCAAACTTACTAAAGTTTCAAATTTAGGCCACTAAATTTGTTTTTGGTGGTTGATTACTCTCTCACTCAACAGGCTGTGGAACACTGAGCGAAAGACGAATTTGGCTCAGAGTGCAGATCTGCCATTGCTCTCAATGCTGGCTGCAAGGAAGCGGAACCCAAGGCTCCATGTCCTTTTTTTGATGAAATTGGTGTATGTAAAGACAAGCAAATACGAAAGAAGAATTTGAAGGACAGACAAACTGCAACATCAACATAGATTACAACATCAAAATAAACATTATCTTTGTAGTAGTTTTAAAAATATTGAAACAGTAGAGAATACTGACAACCAAACAGGGCCTCCACCTTTTAGAAAGGTCAGAGGAACCAGGTTTGCATTTGTAGAAAAGAGATTAAGTGACCTCTTCTTTTAAAAATTACAAGTCTGAGGGGATTACAGAGGCTAAAGTAGTGTTTATAAAACTGTTAACTGAAGAAACTAGACTAAAATGAGAAAAACAGTATTGGAAGGCCCCCAGTGGATAGCTGCCAGTGGATACTGTCATCTCAATGGAAGAAACAGACACCGAAATCAGCCCGGTTCTCAGAACATGGGTGATACTCCCGAGTTCTGAAGGGGGCTTTCCATGACTCTCTCAGGGATCTCTATCCCCTCTGTCCATCAAATTTCTTATTACTGAGAATCACTGGGACTTGCAGAGCAGGAGGGACCTCAAGAAGTTCTCGTTCTGCAAGCTTCACAGAAGGTTTTTCAGCCTGTCAATTTAGGAGAATTTCCCCTAGATTTTCAGCGCCAATCAGGTCAGTTTAGGAGAATCTCCCCCTCAACTCCACGCCTGCTGCCTCCTTGGCGACCCACTTTCCACTGTGAATGACAGATCATGAGGCATCTATGTCCAGACTATTCATGTGCCAGGAGGCAGAGGGGATTAGCTCTCCTTGTATCCAGCATGCACTCCTGTTTTTTCTGGAAGAATTAGCCGAGGCTAATTCCTCTGCCTAGAGACAAGATTTAGCAGGGAGGAATTAGTCACAGTCAGTTTGTTATGAATTTCAGTCCAACGACCAGCAACAACAACAACAAGAAACATCTATAGGGTGTTTACTGTGTGCCAGGCACTGTGCTAAGTGCTCTTCCACATGACCTGACCCATTTAATACTCTCAGGGACTCTACGAGGTAGTTACTATTTTCATTCCCACTTTATAGATGAGTAAACTGAGGCACAGGGGGCTTAAGTAATTTCCCAAGATCATACAGATATGAAGTGACAGAGCTGGAACCAGGGGGAAATCCAGGGTTTATGGGTCTGAAATTTACATAATTTGGGAGGCCCTCTTTAAGAAAAAGAATATCAAAATATAAAAATGAAATCAGGTATAAAAGTATTTAGAATGAGAAAAACCGCAACAAAACATTTATTTTTCAGTTAATACCACAAACATGAGAGAAGTCATATGCATTTTTGTTTTTTTTTTTGAGATGAAGTCTCGCTCTGTCACCAGGCTGGAGTGCAGTGGCACAATCTCAGCTCACTGCAACCTCTGACTCCCTGGTTCAAGCGATTCTCCTGCCTCAGCCTCCCAAGTAGCTGGGATTACAGGCGTGCACCACCACATCCAGCTAATTTTTGTATTTTTAGTAGAGATGGGGATTCACCATGTTGGTCAGGATGGTCCCGATCTCCTGACCTCGTGATCTACCCGCCTTGGCCTCCCAAAGTGCTGGGATTACAGGCATGAGCCACTGTGCCCGGCCCCATATCCATTTTTTATTCAGTGCTTGCCATGTCTCTAATGAACATTTTTCCTATATTTTTGGGCTATAATTACTCTTTGATTGCCTCTTTATATGACAACGATTTTTGTAATATTTTCTATAGAGAGTATAGAGAGATAATTGAGTCTATATTCTATGCGATAGTTTACTTTTCATTATTGATAAAACTATCAACAGTAGTTCATTTGCCTTCAAAATTTGTTATTGGTAGTGTCATGTAAATTTGTGCCGTTACTGTCAAGTTTGGAAAGACTTTTTTTTTATTGTGTAATAAACTGATCTTAAATATGCTGAGTTGATAATACTCATTAACTATTTTGTTGTGATGTCTGTAGAGTAGACTATTTTGAGTTTTATGTTAAATTTGCAATGTCAGTATTTGACGTCACATAAACAAGACTTTTTCTGGTGCACTCATGTGATTCAGTGATACACTGGGATGAGTAACACATGTGATTTCACACACTGTTGAACTCAGTATCTGCAGTACTGCTACAGACTTATACCCTACAAACACAGGAATTCTGATAAATACTCAAAGGAGAAATATTCATCTAAAAGAAAAAGCTATGGCATGTTTATAATTATATAAATTCTATTATCAAGTACATGCCTGGTGGGAGAAAACTTCTGTTTTAATTAGGCATTTTAGGTATTTGATGACATGAGGAATTTTCCAGACTAGCTTCTGTTTCCATACATTTCAAACCTTACTTCTCCTCCAATACCTACTTGCTTCTGGTGCAGAGCTCCACAGGACAAAGTCGTATCTTCATCTAGTAACTCCCTGACCCTGTACTTTCGTGTCACTAGGTGAGTCAGTGGGAGGTAGGAAGATTCCTAGGTGGCTAGCAGTAACAGCCACAGAGAGAAGTGATTTCACACCTCATATGCATATCCCATTAAATCTAAACTAAATGTACCCCCAGATCAAATTCTCCTTATCGGAATTCTCAAAATGCCCACAGCCACCCCAATGCCACCCTGCACAAGGAAAAGTGTGGTGGAGAGGATGTTGGAGTGTGAAGGGTCAGAAGTCAGCTGATTTGCAAGTTTTATATTAACATACGACACCTGAACCCATGGGTGTTCCCTTGTGGGATCTTAGGAGGTGCCAGTGCAAATGAAGGACCCTGACATTTATGCTACACCAGCTTCACAGTAAACCTGTCTCTGGCAAGGTCAGGGACGCTGGTAGTTTGGCGCAAGGTTGCCTTTCATCACCACTACCAACCACTGACTGATGTGAAGCCAAATGCCTCCCAGAACAGCTATTTGTGGGTATGATGTGGTGCCCCATATCCACTGTTATTGGAAATTATAAACAAAATGTGACTTAAAATCTAAAAAGATATTTTTAGAATTACATATTGTTTTATTTTGGATATGATGCTCAATCTGGGAAACACTACAAAAGTTGCAAAGAATATTGAGTTTTGTAATTTAAGTGAAGCACTTATCAGAGTGGTCATTTTATTTTCAAATTTGTCACTTACTTTTTAATTTAACAATTAAAGTACTATTCTTTCACCATTATCTGAGATAAGAATTAGAACACCAAGCCTAAGCTTGTCTGTATCAGTAAAAGTTTTGCTCTTTCTCTCTTTCCACCCCATCTTGTTTCCGAAATACCTCCCCAGCTGTGTGCATTTCATTCTCAATTTCTAACCTTCGGCATCCCAAAGCCCAAGGGCAGCCCTGGTGTTTAACAGAGGATGCTGAGTACTGCATGTGTGAGTTTTGTCTGAGCAAACAAAGCATGTCTTTGTGATCATTAATGATCTTGTTTCCTAATGTACTAAGAATTAGAATAAAAACAAATAGCTGCTCTTTTGTAGTTTAAAGGAATTAGGATTTCCCCTAGGCCAAATTTCCAAGTGAACTGCCTAAAAGTACATGAAAATCAATGTAGCTCAATATACAACTCTGTGTTTGAGACATTACTAGAAGAAAAATACATCAATATCCTCCACCTTTCTTTCATCATCACGATTTTAAAAAACAACTCTCGGCTGGGTGCGGTGGCTCATGCTTATAATCCCAGCACCTTGGGAGGCTGAGGCAGGTGGATTGCTTGCGTCCTGGAGTGTGAGACCAGCCCGCCTGGGCAACATGAAGAAACCCCTTCTCCACAAAAATACAAAAAATGAGCCAGGTGTGGTGGCACACTCCTGAGGTCCCAGCTATTCGGGAGGCTGACGTGGGAGGATCACTTGGGCTCAGGAGGCAGAGGCTGCAGTGAGCCGTGACCGTATCACCGCAGTCCAGCCTGGGCAACTGAGTGAGACCCTGTCTCAAAAATAAAAAAATAAATGAAAATTAAAAAAAAATAAAACCAACCCTCAAACCCTTAACCCAAACATACAAATTTCTTGTTAAACAATATCCATTATGAGACTAGATTATATTTTATAATAATAAAATGCAAATGTCATTAACTCTTTAAAGTAAATGTCCTGGACAGGAGTTTTGTTCTGTTGTTCTTGTTTTTGAATGTTGGCACCCAAAACATTTTCTGGGTTGTACTTTGTCTCATTTACACTTAATAACAAAATTAAAACTTGAATTTATTGAACATTATTTGCTAAATGCTTTACATTCTAGTATTCCATTTAATTCTAATAATCCCATGAAGTACATAATATTCACATTTCATATAAAACAGGTTAAATGACTTGCCCAAGGTCACTCAGTGGTACGGCAAGAATTTCAATTCCCAAAGCTCTTAAACATTATTCTGCTTCAAAATCTCATATATGTACTATTATAGCCATTTTACATTGCGAAAAAACCCAACTGAGGCTAAGAACAGTTAAGATAAAAGCTAAAGGACGGGCGCAGTGGATCACCTGAGGTCAGGAATTCGACACCAGCCTGGCCAACGCGGTGAAACCCCATCTCTACTAAAAAATTAAAAAAGTTAGCTGGGTGTGGTGGTGGGCGCCTGTAACCCCAGCTACTTGGGAGGCTGAGGCAGGAGAATCACTTGAACCCAGGAGGTGGAGTTTGCAGTGACCCGAGATTGAGCCATTGCACTCCAGCCTGGGCGACAGAGTGAGATTCTATCTCGAAAGAAAAAAAAAAGAAGAAAAAAAAGATACCAGTTATAGTGAATAAATTGTAAAACTGACCTAAAAACATTTTATTTAAAATGTCAAAGCCCATACCTTTTTTATTATCTTACACTGACTTTTGTAAGAAATTGTTCTCAGTATCACAGAAGAGATGTTCAATAATTGCTTACTGGACACATAAATGAATTAATTAACAAATAAAAAGTAAGTGAGGCATGCAAAGTAGAGCATCCCACAAAACAAACCCCAAATGATCTGAAAAAGTGAAGATGGTTTCTCACTATGTTTCAATGCCATAGGAAAAACAAAAAGTTAAATGACATAGAGATAAAAAGAGAACCCCATGTTTAAATCTAGTAGTTTTCCAAATAAAGCAGAAATTATCAACAGCGAAAAAATCCTAGAACTGCAAGAGACCTTGAGGGGTCCTTCAAATAGGGCTACTACACAAGAGACTTGATCTTTTAGGATAACGGATGGAGAGAAGTTAAAAAAAAAACTCCCATTCTAAAAATACTCCTTAAGCTAACAAAAAGAACTGACGAAACCTCCAGTGTTTCACACCTAAGTAATCATAGTATTAAACTTTAACAATACTACGATTACTTGGGAGGTTCCAAAATTTCTTGAGTAGCTTGTTCCAGGATTTAAATATGCTTTCTGACTCGAGCTTCTTCATTATATCTAACAAACATTTATACATTGTAAACCCATATTCTCCATTTCTGTCTCCTGGATAAATGGAAAATGCCAATCAGCCTCCAGAAGACAACTTGCCTGTCTACAGAGAGCTGAGTCTTCTTTTCCTTCACAACAACCCTCCATAGTAGATAACAATCAAATATGTTATTCAATCATTACCCTGCTATGGTCTCAATCTCACTTACAGCCTCCAATTCTCTGGGATACAAATGAATGAATTCTGGGGTAAACCTCTTCAACAAATACTAAAAAGAATGGTTCTTGTGGAAGTGATAGGTTAGCAGTAGTAAAAATTTGGTACTTAGTATTTATCATTGTCCAGGTTATTTACTTCGTATTACACTTAAAAGTGATTGACTCTGCCTATAACCATCTGTTCAGCAGAGCCTACCACTGCATTTGCATTGCATCTATGGCCAACTAACTGCATCCACAGGACAGTCCCATAGGAGATTTTCCCTCTTTTTCTAAGCAAGAAGAAGCCCAATTTCTCTGACCTACCTCAACTCTCAGATGACAGAACTGTTGAAGCTTTTTTACATAGAGATAGCCAGATAATATTCTTATTATGTCAACTATTATTTAAAAAACATTTCATTATATTTATTTTTAACTTGTCTCTGAATCCTCTAAATATTTTTACATATTTCCTACCCATGAAAAACAGTGGCAGCACATGAGTATAATCCTTTGAAGCTTATATGGAATGGTCACATATAAAAGAGAGTATTTTTGTAGTGGAGCATCTATATCGGTGCTATTACTGTTAAATCATTTTAGCAGTAAGTACTGGTGCTTATTTGATGTGGTTTAATCATGTAACTTCTCTTTTTCTTTATTTATTAAAGGGTCTAATAATCATGAATGCTTTCTGGGGAGGAAAGGAGAAGTATCTATTTTAATCACAATATTGCTAAAAGTAGATTTCTCCTTGTTTCATTTTCCATCTGCATGCATCACCAATCAAAGGGAAACCCAAGAAAGGAGGACTTGGGATGATGAACCTGCAGACGAATATGCCTAATTTGCTGAACACATGATTCATAATGAGAGGAAAATATGAATACTCTAATAAAAATATCAGAATAGAACCCTTTCAGGTAGACAGGGTGTTCAGTGAACACTCCAAATTCATAACCTATTTTACTATCAAAATGCCTATGGTTTTATGAAAGCATAGACAGAGTTTATGAAGACAGTAGGATGACTAATGAAGAATGTCCTTTGCTTTCTAGTGGGAATTTTTGTTTGCTTCTGTTTACTTTCTCCTCCATTTCTCTTTCAATTAACCTTCCTGTTTGGTATTCAATGAGATGGCACATAATATGGAGAAAGAAAAAAATCTGGCTGATTTATGAGCATTCTTTCACCAAGTGGCAGCTTCTTTCAGCCAGATGCGTAGGGGTTAAAATGGGGAGGAAATGCAAGAACAGTAACCATCCCAAGTGAGAAAACACACCAGAGTTTCCTGGGTGTTTAATCTGTGGCTCACAAATGGCCCCGTAGGGCCACTAAGGGCCCTAACCAGGAAACTATGGTGGGCATATACACAGGTAGTAAGGAAACAGGGGAAAGGCAATTGGATCTTTGTATGCCAAAATTGGAAATAACTCATCTTATTAGTATAAAAGAGCAGAATGCTTTAAAGGTGCTCTACATCTTTTAAAAGGTTCACATCTAAGATTTATTTGTAAATGAAGCAGGTCCCTTATTTCCCACAATGTTATTCATATGGAGTATAAAAGCAACAGAATAAATTAAAATGATAGGAAATGGAATTGTTAAGAACTATTGCAGGGTTTATTAAATTATAATACAAAGACCCACTGCTAATAAAAATCCTGTTTGTTCCTAAACAACTAGAAATTTGTTCAAGAACAGCTCATCTATGGGAAACTATTATCCATGTAATAATACCAAGGCCACTGAGAACAACACTAAAATGATTTGTTGAATAACTATTGGTTGGTAAGTTAAATCCGCCTATGGATAACTTTTTGGCACACTTCCTGGTTTTCAAAGCTATACACACGTGTTTGTTGTACTTCCTAAGATACATACAGTCAGATCATAACTTTTCTCCCTCAGCTAGACTCAACTCATTTCTTCTGATGTATCGGGTATCGGGTGGTGGAGTCACAAAGAATGAGGGAATGTGATCAGAGGTATAGTTTTCCTGCCCTGCCTCTGGTATATAGGCATTCTGGGACCTGGGGCATGGAGCTGTTTGGTTATAGAGGTATTGCATTGTCCCTTGTATGGCCACAAAAAGATACACAAATCCTGCTCATCAACTTTCTTCTGCCTTAATGTAGTTCACATGAACAACCTGCTGCCACTGCCCTACAAAGCCTCTTTGGGAGGGGAAAGCCACATCAGTGGGGACGAGCCCTGTGCAAGCGCTATGACTGTGGGCACCTGTTGTTGATTTCAGGCGGGAAGCTCCAATGCAACAAGCGAAGCTCCAAGGATGCTGTGCAAGTAAGAGCTAACAGTGGGCCTGATCTGCAGGATTTTGGCGGGCTGGCCCTTGGCTGGCATCTGGAAATTTGGATGTTCCCTACACTGATAAGGTTATTTTGTCCACACCTACTCTTCTTAGGAGAGTTGGAATTTTGGTGGTTGTGGCAGACAGAGGATACCTCCTGGAGAAGCCCCAATAAAAATCTTAGACTCTAAGTCAGGAAAGTCCATCTTTAGGCTTCTCTGGGCCACACTGGAAGAATAAAAATTGTCTTGGACCACACAAAACATACATTAACACTAACAATAGCTGATGAGCTAAAAAATTGCAGGAAAAACTCATCATGTTTTAAGAAAGTTTATGAATTTGTGTTGGGCCTCATTCAAAGCTGTCCTGGGCCGCATACGGCCCACAGGCCTCAGGTTTGACAAGTTTGCTCTAAGTCTCGAACAGGCTTCCCTGGGCAGAAATACTGCAAATATGTCGATTCGTTTCGCTGCTGGGAAAAGGAGCATGCTACACATGACCTCTCCTAGTGGGAGAGAAGGAAGATAGGAAGCCTGTGCATGGATTTCTGCAGACTCTGCCGGATGTGTCTTTTTTCTTTCTGGTTGTGATACATTATAGCCATGACACAACTACCTCTGGGTCCTGAGTTCTTCTTGAAGATCACCAGCGTGGGGGCGTGGTGGGACCCTTGAAACAGATGTCAAGGATGTCAGTAAGATTAGAAAAAAACTTACATGAAGTGTATAATGACACACTTGTGACAATTTATAAGACACATATGATTTCAATTTTCCCATGACAAAGTTCCCGGCTAACCAAATCCTGTGAGCAAAAAAGCGAAGTACATAATACTTACGGATACATCGGAAGAAGAAATCTTTAAAAGACACTGACACTCCCCACAACAGATTTATCAAATTTCACCCTAGGGATGTAAAACAATGTGGAGAAATACTATACCACAAATTCTGAAATTTTGGTAGGACCGTGCCACTTATAATTAATACTGTGTACTTTCACTGAAGTGATATAGAAATTTATTACTTACTTTTGTTGTACTTTTAAAATTAAACATTTTAATTTTAGTGACAAATGGTAAAAGCAAAGACACTAAGTATCTTGAAAACATGATATATATGTTTTGGATACTTTTGTATCTATGCTAAATATTGTTTATATACTAATGTTTTGATCTGAAACATCTATCTGATGGTTTTATTTAACCTACAGATGTTCACAAATGTCATCATATATGAAAAAGTGTTAACCATACAGGTTTGTTTAAGAGCAGCGAGATTTGTACATTTGATTCTACTTTATTTCTCATGATACCACAAAATGAAGTCATAATAAGTCAAACCTCTTTTGCAGAGACTCAAGATATGGACAAGTCTAAGCTATGTGATTCTGGAAACTACAGAGGCCAACAAGGGCATATATTTGAAAAAAATTTAAAGCATTTTTTTCTAAAGTGGAAAATCTGCTATTAAGAAATGCAATGACAATATGGAACATCAAGAAGTAATATTCGATAAAACTTCACATAAACAAATCATTAAGTCTGTTTTATGTGAGTCCATTTTTGTGGCCGTCCCAAAAACCAATGAATAAAAAAGTTTATAGCTCATACTTGTGACAGCTGTTCTAAAAAGAACTGAATTGCCATTATAAAATGACAACCATATTTAAAAAATAATTTCGTGTTAAGAAAGACAAGTAAAAAATAACGTAAAGAAATAGGCTTTTTCCAAGTTGAAAACAGCTGACCGTCGGTGCTCTTCTCTGGGAGGAAGGGGACAGACACAGACTTGCAGTAAGCCTACCGATAGTGCAGTGCTCTCCATTCCAGCCCTGGCTGCATTCACACTTGCCATCCTTGCAGGTCCCGTGCTCGGCACAGCGGGGGTGGCAGGCTCTCTGATTACAGGCTGGGCCCGTCCAGCCTTCTTCACAGCGACACGTCCCCCCCATGCAAACGCCGTGTGAGCCACAGTCCACAGAACATATTTCTATGTGGGAGGAAGAGGACACAAAACAGGAGAGAAGAGTGGCGGGAGAGAGAAGGGGAATTAATAAGCAGCTTTTATCTTCCACACAAATTTGTTCAAGGGAAACACAAAATCATCCAAAAGAAATCAAAAGTATTTGTATGCTACGTAAATTTCAGCACTGACTACTAGGAAATGATCAATGGTGGAACTCTACGTCTTTATTCATCATTTAATTTTACATGCTGCTCTAATCATGCAGAAAATACACATGACAATTGTTAGAAATAATTTCTTTACATATACAATACTTTATATAGAAAACATTACATATATAGAGGGTGGTCATATTTATATACACCTATCACCAAGAAAACATGTCCCCACACCCCCATCCCCAAATTAATGAAATATTTCAGCATCTCAGGTATCTAACAGGACTTGGATTTCATACATATGGCAAGAATTTGAAATGGGGTTGTTTCTAATGCCACATTTAAATGTTTTAAATATTCAGAAACTTTCACTAAGAGGAATCTACTTAAGTAAATTAGCTTGCTTCTGACACAGACATGCATGTAAAAAGAAACTGTTTTTCCTATTCAGTAAATTTGTACAGTTGACAGATACAAATTTCTTAGTCCACAGTACAAAACCAGTTTAATAATACATATAATTGACTCTCCTTTGAAAAACAAGGTTTTTCAATTCCTAGAATTACTGAAAAGAGCACAAGTGACCAAATGAATTCAAATGTTTTAATACCAGGTTAGGTCTTTAAAAAGAATTCAGATGTGTAAGAAAAAAAATTTTAAGCTTTCTTAAAAGCTTTATTTAACTAGTTCCAATTGAGAGACAGGGAGAGGCAAAGGTAAAAGAAACTTTGAAGGTTATTTCATTTTTACATATAAGATTAAAGTTAGCTATAGTTTTTTCCCCTAAAATTCTAAGACTATTGATTAGTTTTGGTTTTCTTACAAAAATAAAGCACTGAACAATAAAAACCTAAAATCATTTCTAACAAACAGAAAATGTACTAAAACCTTTTTTTGATTAAAAAATAGTAGCTGTTTATGTAGTCACATGTTCTGTTTTCCCTATTCATTCCCCAGGTAACATTTCTCAGACACGTGATTCTCTATCTCACAGGCTAAACACCTTATCAAGGCACTACGAGAGTTGTAATATTTTTTATAAACAACACCCAGGACTATTAACTGGAAGAGGGTAGCACGCAGGTTTTTTCATGCAATATTTTCTATCTCCTTTGAATTAAACTTTTGATTAAGAGATTCAAGATAGTTTGATTAACTTCAGAGCAACATAACATCAACCCAGCTCCAGAAGTGAGAGGGTTCTTTCTGAGGTACCCTTTTTATTCAATCTAATCAATTTTTCATTAGGGTGATGGTGTTTATCAGCATTTAGCACACTAGCTTTGAGCAAGGTGCGTCAATCTTTGTAATGAACTTATTAATTAGAGTTAATTTAATTGAAGTGGAATTGAAGGGCTAATTAATGAACAAACTGCTGTTGAAGATAGAGGAAAGCTCTGTTGCTTTCAAACCTATAAACTTTCAGATGGAAATAATTCATTTCTTCTCTTTTAGCAGCTTAACCAATGTTTCTTCGGGTGTAAAGTCTATTCTCTTATTGAATTTAGATATCTGAAGGTCATTTCCACATCAACAAAAGAGGTAGGCAGTAAAGTGTTTTCCTTTAGGATTCACTTAGAAATTCAGAATTATACTGCTTGTAAACTTTAAGCCACAAATGTAAATTAACAGTGCTTTTATAAGCTTTAAATGAGAACTGTGCAACAACCAGATAAATTTGAGGTACACAAGACCAGATATTTTCAGTGTGATTGGAAGCATATTTGAGACCTTTACTATGAATTCTAAGTAAGTTTTCTGTCTTTTTGTGGCTAATAGCAAAGTTTCATAAAGATTTTTTCTATACTTAGTATAATTACTTTCTTCAAAAATAGAGTATTATATTCATTATACTACTCTATTTATTGAGAGTTAAATATATGTGAAGTTTCTTTTTTGCATTGAGGATATCAAGATGAATAGGATAAAGATCTCTGCTCACTATGATTAAGCAGTCATTTAGTATACAGGTAAAATTAGATTTTCAACTACCAAAATAATTACAGTAGCATGAAAAAAATTCCGTCTAAATATGTAAAATAATGATGTGTGATTTTTGGCAGCCAATTTAATCTTTTAATGAACATTTATATGTATATTTTCCAATTCATAGCAGTATCATTTTATGAAGAGGGCTGAATTAACTTTTGAGTTATTTAGTATCAGTTACAAACTACCCTTTATAAAATAATTCAGGTAATATACTATAATAACTTTATATGAAAAAAGGGGCTATTGTGCTTGTTCCTTTCCGACTTGGATAACTGTAGGAAGCAAATCTGAATGACAGTATTTCAAGCAAGTATTATTCTACAGCTAGTCTTAATATGCCTGTTTTACTGATGGAGGCCTAAGAGACCTGAACCAAGTACCTTTACTATAGAAGTAATTATCTCTATAACATTTAATTGGATATTTTTTGTGGAAAGGGTTTTTTAGTGTAGGTAAAAACTCAACAGAAAACACTAAATGCTTATTTTATATGTAAATTATATGTAATTACAAAATATATTTTATGAATAGCGGACAAAACAAGTTAACATGTTATTTAAAATAATACCACTCACTCATGCTGGGTAAGTGTTGGTTGGTGGTAATACCCTAAAACTCTTTAGTAAGACATTCAAGGCTCTCTCTAATCCAGATCCCAATTTGTGTTTTTACTCTTATTTATTCTATGCATGTTATTTGCTCTAGCAGATGTGAATTTTCTCTACAAAGTTTCTGGTTCTTCAAGCTATCCAGAGGTGTATGGGCCAAAAGATGAGGGAGAATGAATAAAACAGGAAGGAAGGGAAGAAGAGAAGGAGGAAGGAAGGAAGGAGAGATAAGAGAGGGAGGGAAGGAGGAAGAAAACTCATACAAAAATCAGAATGGGAAGGAGAACTCAGGATGAAAACTTGTCTCTAAGTAGTATATGAGTTCAACAGAAAATTTTCATCAATATTATACATTAGCTGATAGGAAACATTTGTTAGTCTGGGCTTCCAGGATTCAATCTGTAGTAGGTAAAGAGTAGCAGATAAATCTGTCATGCTGATACTGACTCATAGGGCAGCAGAGATGTCACCCAAGCTTCTCAAAAGGCCAGGAAACAGCAATTTGTAAAAATTACTAGCCTTTTTACTTCTTGCTAAAAATAAACATGTGAATTAGCTTCTTAGCACAAGATTTCATGTAGTTTTATGCCATTAGATTGTACTAATAGAGGAAACAATTTGCATTTCATAACTTTCACATTTAGGGAACCATGTCCAATCACTGCTTTAATGTGGAAGCTCCTCTGAATTGATGAGAAATTAAGAATGACGAACTACAATTAGCCTTTAGAATACTTCTACCATAGTAACTACTACCACCACCCTCTACTACGTCTATTAATGGTTAACACTTACTGAGCACTTACTGTCTAAGGTGCTATTCTAAGTGCTTTTCACATACTAGCTCATTTAAGCCTTACCTCAACTGTATAAAGTAGTCCTGTAATTATCTCCATTTTACATATAAAGAAACAGAGGCACAGAGATATTAAATAAATTGCCCAACGTCATATTGCCAGTGAATGGCCAGTCCAAATTTTTTTTTTTTTTTTGTGATGGGGCCAGT
The DNA here is from genome assembly GCF_000001405.40 of Homo sapiens. Classification (NCBI taxonomy): domain Eukaryota; kingdom Metazoa; phylum Chordata; class Mammalia; order Primates; family Hominidae; genus Homo; species Homo sapiens. The sequence continues at coordinate 182,684,425 of NC_000004.12, read as the reverse complement.
CCAAAATTTGAACCCAGGCAGTTCAGTGTCTGAGTTCTGGTTCTCAGCCACTTACTGTTAAACAGGCTTAGAGAAGGGGGCAATCAGTGTGGGCAGGAAAGTAGATAGACCCCTTCACTGAAGCCAAGACTTATGTTTAATCTAAGCAGGATGTTTTTATTCACTCAACACTGCTAGTAAAATCCATTTGCTTTCTCCTTTCTTCTGCTTGTCCTTCCTCCTCTATCATTGTCCTCTTCCTCCTCCACTTCTCTCTTCCCTGCTTCTCTTTCTCATTTTTCCTCTTCTTTTGATGAACTGTGTAGTTTTGCTTAGTTTGAGTATCCAAACGGAATTCATCTCTTTTCTATTTCTCACTTCTCTTCCATTGCCTCCCTACGTCCTGCCTCTTCAATCAGCCTCCCCCTTTCCCAACTTTCTTGCTTCATTCAGGGACATTAACATTAGCACCAATTTTCCTTGCTTCATTCTTACAGCTCTTCTCAACACACGTCTCTATTGTGTTTTTTTCAGCAGGTCCTGTCTGCTTTTCCTTTCAAATGTCCCTCAGATTTATCTTTTTTATTTCTACTGACTCCCAGCCAATTCATGCTGTCATCACCTCACGCTTGTGGGAAAGTCCTCCAGCTTGTCTCTTCGCCATCAAAGTCTCACAATTCATGCTCTCTGACTTATTATCTACAGGACAGTTTTCCAAAAACAATACTCTCATTGTCTTAGTGGGCAAATTATTGCTATCGATAAATCCTCCATTGCCTAAAACTATCATTTCTAAACCATACTCCCCAAAATTGGGCCCAATCCAATTTTTTTGCCTCCAAATACTTTTCTTTTCACTGTCCCTTGAATATAATGATATTTCTCACAATTGCATCTTTGCTAATCTTTTATTTAAATTACTTGGAACCAGAAGTGATTTGGATTTTAAACTTTTTCAGATGTTATAATATTTGCAGAATAAATACCCCTGGAGCATCCCTAATCTGAAAATACAAAATCTGAAATGCTGCAATGAGCATTTCCTTTGAGCATCATGTTGGTGTTCAGAAAGGTTTGAATTTTGAAGCATTTTGAATTTCAGATTAGGGATGTTCTATGGTAGTGATGATGGTGGTGGAAGCTATCTTTAGAATTTATTATCAGCCAAGCTCTGTACTAACTATGTTATATATATTATTCCAAGTAATTCCCACAGCATCTTTGTGAAGAGTGTCCCATGATTTTACAGATGAGTAAACTGAGGCATATAGTAATTTGCCTAAGATCACATAGCTCTTAAGGAGTACAGATTGGATATGAATCCACACATCTGATTTCACAGTCCATGCTCTTAAGTACTTTCTAATACTGTTCACCTAGCCAAAAATTATACCCTTACCCAGACTACCACCATCATTAAATAAAGAAATGTTAATACAAGTCTCCTTGAAAACTCTGAATACTCATTAAGTTAGAATCACTCCTCTGAATGTCCACTGAATTTAGCATAATATTCCATGTAACACTCAATATAGTATTAAACTAGGATGTATTGATTTAGAATTTTTCATATGTATTCATCTTATCTCCCTAAATAAACTGTAATCTTCCACACTAGAATGGCATCTTCTCAAACCATAACTTATGAGTTATGGAATTAGCTCATGAGTTGCAACCAACATTTGAAAAAAATAAAATAGGCTTGAAAAAAATCAGCGTGTATCACTTTGTAAAATGTTTATTTCAATTATGTGAGTATGTGCATGTATACTTATACTAGGTCATGATGATAGTTCAAGGTCAAAAAATTAGAAAGCCATTGTTCTAGAGGGCAGACACGATTTGTTAAGTCTTTCAGTCTTACAGGGCCTATCACAATGCCATGCACATAGTAAGTGCTCAATAACAACTTGGCTGATTGAATGAAATTACCTTGTCTTATTTCTATTATAACCATGTTATTATGATTAAAAACTCAGTGTTGAACCATTTATTCATATCATAATGTCTATACCTGTATACTCTTTACTGTGATGTTTAGCCTTATATTGTCAAATGATTTTTTTAAATTGAGCCTTCCCTGTTTATAAGATAATGTGCTTAAATCCCCAAGCTATACTTAAGATTTTAGAGAGGTTAGTTTTGGTTAGTAGTTCCATAAATTGAGAGTTAAGAAGATATGGTATCTCATGCAGATGAAAGATGAGTCTCCGCATAATACTAAAGGGGAAATTTTAGTGACAAACTGGCTAAGCCTGGTTCCTTCTTTTTTATAAGGCAACTACATATCATTACTTTTAATATTTATTTCCATAAAGAATCACTTTACTAAAATTTGTATTAGGTTTAAAAAGGGAGGTTTAAAGATTAAAATATCATCTTTAGCCAAACAGTATTAAGCAACTCGATTGTACTGCATTTATTAACCTCACCGTTTGAGCAGTCTGGGCCAGTCCAGTTAGGGTCACACGTGCAGGAGCCACTTTCTTGAAGATACGTTCCGTGGCCGGAGCACTGGTCTGGACACATGGTCTTCAGTATTTCACAATTGCTACCTCCCCATCCTGGACTGCAGTGACATTCCCCGTGGATACACACACCATGATTAGAACACCCAGGGTCTATACAGTCAGCTGGTGTAAAGAAAAGAACAATTTTATTAAATCCAGAAGATATCATAGTGCATGCAGAAAAAAGAATTAAATCCTAATCTAATTTATATGAACATTTTGGAAAATCAAATATTTATCTACCATTTTCAAGAACTTGTTTCTGAAAATGCAAAGAATTATAATACAATAAAGCATTAAGATCCAGCCTAATGCCATTTAGGTAATTGAGACTCTTGCAAGGATTTGTAATTTTCCTGAATTACACACACAGGCTCTTGAGGTTTCAGACTATTGCTCTCTGTTCTGCCTAATCACAGAGTAATAAGTATTGCCTTCTCTATAACAAAATCTGTGACCACTGAGTACTGACAGCTGTATGGGATCCTCACACTGTTTGAGAAATAAATGAGTTGCATACTCTCTATCCTTCTTAATTCACTTCAATGTGCTTTAGATGACGAGATTTAATTTAGCAATTTGACTCAATAAAACTTTACACTTGTAGGGTCAATGGCCTGAAAATTTAATTCCAGAGACTTAATTGCATTACTTTGTGTGTGCAGATCAATAAAATCAATTTGATTGAAGAATGGAAATGGTGCTTTTTTGCTTTCTGAAAAAACAATTCACCTGCACTTTACAGTATGGTATCTCGACTCTCATCATTATACGTATACAGCTATGGAACACATCCATGATGTCATACTTCTTTTAGGTAGCATATTATGTGTACTACTCTGTCTTTCTAGAGATGTCAAAATGCTAGATTTAGAAGCTGGCATCAATGTAAAAAACTATAAAAAGAAAAATAAAATCAACCGTCCGCTGTTAGTTTCAAGGCATAAAGGTTTGCTTGCTTTCTCAGAGTGAAGAAAAGGAATGATTCACAGTGCTGAAAAAGAGCAAAGGGGCCCTTTGGTGCTTGTTCTTTTTATTAGTTAAAATGTTAGTAAAACAATGCATTCATAAACATGGATTTTTCAAAATTGCTTTCAAAAGGAAGCGTATAAAAGAGATCTGCCCAACTAAAGATTACAGATACAATCTGTTTCTTTATGAAGATAACAACAGACTTCTGTGAATATTGACATGTTTACCTTCTTCACAACTTTCTCCTTTGTATCCTGAGTTGCAAGCACAAGAGCCCATGATACAAATCCCACGACCCCCACACTGTGGGTCAATACACTGGGTAGTCGGCACATCACACTCGGTGCCCTTCCAGCCGCTGAAACACAGGCAGCGGCCCTTGGAGTACTGCCCGTTGCCACTACATAACACTGGACAGGCGGCTGTGAAACAAGACACGACAGAAGAATTACAGCCACACTTTCCACCGAGCTTCCGAAAGAAAAGACACATCGCTGGAACAAGCAATATGCCAGTCTCCCCCCCCCTTTCTTTCCTGTCTCGGTAGTTTTTGGAATCACTTGTGTTTCTACAGCTTATTTATATCGGCTTAAGAGAAGAATCTAACTTGCATACCTCTTGAACAATCCGGACCCAGAAATCCTGGAAAACAATGGCAAGTTCCAGAAACGCATTCTCCATTTCCATGGCAATTTCGGGGACATTCCACCACAGACTCTGAAGAAAAAGGAAAGAAGGAACACTTGTTGTATAGCCTGCCTCTTGCAAAAGATAAACGGTATCACTTTGATCTTCATTTATGCTAGATAATTTGAGTAGTAAAGCAAAGCACTGTCACTTCAAATGCAGATTTTCAAAGTGTTTCATGACATATTCTCCTCTCCCAAGGTAATTCCAGAAAATATTTTCTCCCAGTGCTTCACAGTTTGTCACATATTCCCAAATAAAGGTTTAAAAATAATTCTCACATTTTACCTGGGCTTTAACACCCTAGGAATTACCCCAAATTGGTACAGATAATTTAGTTTTTATTAAACACGGCGTTTAGGCTATAGCCTGGAAAATGCTGCTTTGAAGACTATTCTTACCTATAACAATGGTATTAAAAGACACCTGCTCTGCATTTTTCCCATCATTATAAAAAGCCAGATGCCAGATTCCAGAATCCAAGTACTGGATAAAGCCGGCCTCATGAAGGCTGACGGATCTCGCCTGCCGCCCGGCTCTCTCCGTCTCAAGCAGGCTCCGCTGCTCTCTGGCAATCAGCCTGCTGCCATCCAGGAGCTCCACGAAGTCATACTGGGGGGAGGACGAGGAAAAATAGTCAGAAAGATAAAGGGTGGCTGCTTCTCTCTTTTTTTTTTTCTCTTCAATCTGTCTTCCTTTGCTCTAACAAATACAATGTTAGAAAGAAGTTCCTGACAGGTCCAAATGGTAGAAGTCTCCCATGCATAGCATTTACAAGGAGGACGCAAACTATTCGCCACACAGGGCTGGATTCAAACATCAGGGACCATTTTTTTCCCTTATTGGGCAATATGGTTTCCAAATTTATTTAATTCTACTGACTGATCAAAAGTTTGATGAGTTTAGGCAGTTTGGGGATACAAACATAAAATCTACATGAACTGACATTTCCAATCCAGCAGGCTTATTTTTAATGCATTAAATTCATAATTGATATATAATAGTCGTACGTATTTTGAGTGCCCTCCCGGCCTCTGGTATCCATCATTCTACTCTTTCTTTTTTTTAAATTTTATTTTAAGTTCTGGGGTACATGTGCAGAATGTGCTGGTTTGTTACATAGGTATACACGTGCCATGGTGGTTTGCTGCACCCATCAATCCATCATCTACATTAGGTATTTCTCCTAATGCTATCCCTCCCCTAGCCCCTGACACCCTGACAGGCCCTGGGGTGATGTTCCCCTCCCTGTGTCCATGTGTCCTCACTGTTCAACTCCCACTTATGAGTGAGAACATGCGGCGTTTGGTTTTCTGTTCTTGTGTTAGTTTGCTGAGAACCATCATTCTCCTCTTTCTGCTCATTCACTTTTTTAGCTCCCACATATAAGCAAGAACATGCAGTATTTGACTTTCTGTGCCTGGCTTATTTCACTTCACACAATGAGCTCCAGTTCCATCCATGTTGCCAGCAACCTTGTTTTAGTTAGACCACAAGATAACCCTGTACAGTCTTCTCTGATTTAACATTCATGTAGCAACAACTACTGTTGAATCCTTACTCCGTGCTGGTTCCTCATAGGAACCCTCGTAGGAAGGCTTTAACATTTGCACTTTACAGGTGAAGGAATCTGAATCTTGAGGAGGGTAGCAGGCTCTCAGACATCTGGTAATGGTGGGGTTGGCTTGTGAACTCAAGAGCACTTTGCTCCAAGTGGGGTCATTCCTCCCACCCTACTCCACCTCTCTTGTGACCCTGATGTGACCATCTCAAGCACCATGGAGAACGCCATGGGCTTTACTTAGTTATTGTTAGATTAGAAACATGTAACAAGATGCCTTTACATCTTTGATCTAAACAGTTAAACAATGGAGGGGTTCTGAAAGGATGGCAGTAACAGTAAACGTGCCTGATTATTCTTATGAATGGGTCATCATTAAACCTAAGTTTTGTTGTAGTAAAATTAGACATGAACATTGGTGACTGGAGAGTTTAAAAAAGAATTAAAAGTATAAAATGTGATTGTTAATATAGTGGGGTAAAATTTTGTAACTAGAAATAATACAGGGAATTTGAAAGACACTGAAAAGACTTTCCAATGTAGTTTCAAGGAGTTTTTTAGATTACAATTGTTAAAAGTAGAGTGATTCAGTGTCTATAGAATGTTACCTAGTTTCATTCTATTCCTGAAGTGTGTTTATGGTGAAACATATGCCATAGTACTATATATAAATAATTATTATTATACTACTGCATATATAAATCATAAATATTCTACTTTCTGATAGGTTTCTTAAATGGAATTTCATCAGAGGCCTATTTAAGAAAAAGATTATATGAATCTCTTAATCCAATCAAACTGGAATAAAATCAGTTGTTGGAATTTCTGAGAATCACAGTTAAATATATTGCCATTTTACTGACCATAGACCTCTACTGTTAATATTGGAGAGAACTTAGAGTATCTAATTCAGTTTCTGACTTACTAAAATTTTTATTTATAAGTAAAACCTTTTTTTGTTCTTTTGTGTAGTTTCATCAGAACAGAATTCAGCTGTGAGAAATATATAAAAACAGTATAACCTGATCAGCAGTCAAAAATGTTTATTTTCATTTATACCTTATAAGGATGAAAATACTGACTGGTGTGGATACATGACCTATAAAATTTGACTGGAATTCTATTCTAGAATTGTCAGAGGAAAATTAATTCAGCAGTTTTGAATGGTGACTCTGTCTCAAATAAGCCATTCATTTCCTCATCAGGTTTAAATATTTACACATTTGCATGGCAAAGAGACAAGAAAAAGTTTCTTTTTATGACCGAAGCATATAAACATTTTTCTTCCCTAACATTAAACACGGTAACTGAAAAAGTGAACGGGAGGAATTTTGAGTTTTAGCTGGTCTTTCAAGGCAAAAGCACAACCATCACCTTTATCATAGAAATAACCATTCGCATCACACTGTGAACAATAAAATAAGGCCAGGGTAGTGGGCATGATGGTGGGGAGGAGGAGCTGACAGGTTTTGAGTATCTACCCAGTTCTAGGCTCATCTGCAGAAGTGTTTCGCACATGAATTCAGGAGGGCGATTCAAATACCTAAAAAAAGTTCCCTACTTTAACACTAAAACCATCTTTGCCCAAAATTACCAAATTACAAGGAATAAAAATACTTAATAATCTTTGTTCTTAGGGCATAAAGTGGTCACTTAAGGGCAAATGTGAGTTTTGCTTTGTAATATTTCTAAGATGGAGATGCAGATATATTTTTGGGGAGAAGAGGAGTCTTAGGACCTTATGCTCTTTTTAGGAAGAAATTCTTGGGGCTAACTCTTCAATTGCACTAGTCCGCGGGAGCCATCGTGAGACAAAGCTTATACTTGATACAGGTTTCATATAAAGTGAGATAATTTTAGTGTGAAAGCTCCGTTTAAAGGTCATTTTCTTACGATTTAATATTACCAAATATACACGCTTTAAAAATCCTCATTTAAAGTTGCTTTAAACTACAATGTATTAATAAGCCGTCTTTTGGAAAATCAATAGAAGAAAAGTTTGCCCATGTTTGTTGTATTTATGCTGATTATCTAATAGACCATTTAAAAACAAATAGATTTTGTTTCAGTTATCTTGGTAGTTCACTTCTGAAGTTAGATTATATGTTTAATTCAATTCCGTTACTAAAACGATGAGTTCTTAGAATCTATGAATACTTAACTGTGTCCTTACATCAACTCTTTGGTAGTGGCACAGTCTTGCTGTAATTGGAATATAGAGACTAAAGAGATTTTACAGATCATCTGATCCAACTCTTTCATTTTACCAATGGACACTAAGGCTCAGAGAAGGGACTCTGCAAGGTCACACAGTGAAAAGGTGGTGAGGGTATGCTAGAACTCAGGCTTCCAACTCCTATTCGACAACAGCCTTCATGTGAATGCACTAAAATGCTACAGTATACTTCACCATAAGGCTCTGCATTGACTCCTGAGGCCACTAACTGACCAGGAGAATGAACTGGCATCAGGGAGAAGAGAGCCCACTGATTCCTTGGCAACAATCAAACGGGCAGTTTTACAAAGGGTCACAAAGACTGCGAAAGCTCAAGCAACTATTCTGAATGGCTGGCCAATTTTAATTATTTCAGGTTGATTTATTTAATGTTCTCCAGAAACAGAGAAATGTTCAATTTGGGCTGCCTTATACAATATTTCATGTTTAAACACTGAACTCAGAAACAGTTGTTTGCTCTGCTGATCTTGAATAAACCACAGGAAGAAACTATAATAACCGTGAAGCTTAAGAAAATGCATAACCTACTTAAACACATATATTGTGGTAGAAAAGAAAAGAGGATATCACATGTATTGTGTTTAAATACTAGAAGGATTATGAGAAAACCCGAAACTGCACCTTTCATTTCTCTAATCTTAAATGTTATATACAACTTGCAGTCAACTAAATCTTTAAATAAACCTTTCAAGTACACAACACAATAGACAATTCTTACCTGAAATTATTTTCTAGAATTTGTAAGTTACATGTTTACTATTGTGCTCAGCTTAGAGGTATATTTCTTGAATTATACACAAATAATCACATATGCGGTTTCAGTGGGAAAATATTTTTTCATATTTCACTGGACAATTGCTATAAATCCAATCTGTCTACTATAATTGAAGTTATAGAGGACTTCCACTTAAGAAAATCTGCTTTTTTTTTTTTTCTCCTAGACAGAGTTTTGCTCCTGTCGTCCAGGCTGGAGTGCAATGTCACGATCTCTCACTTACTGCAATCTTTGCCTCCAGGGTTCAAGCAATTCTCCTGCCTCAGCCTCCTGAGTAGCTGGGATTACAGGTGTGCGCTACCACGTTCGGCTAATTTTGTATTTTTAGTAGAGATGGGGTTTCACCATGTTGGTCAGGCCGGTCTTGAACTCCTGACCTTAAGTGATCCACCCACCTTGGCCTCCTGGTGCTGGGATTACAGGCCTAAGTCACTGTGCCTAGCCTTAAGAAAATCTGGTTATTATATCCTAGTCAGTGTCACCTATAAGATGAACTGGAGTCAAATCTAAACTTTAAAATGGTCTAGACTGGCTGGGTGCGGTGGCTCACGCCTGTAATCCCAGCACTTTGGGAGGCCGAGGAGGGCAGATCACCTGAGGTTGGGAGTTCGGGACCAGCCTGACCAACATGGAGAAAACCTATGTCTACTAAAAATACAAAATTAGCTGGGCATAGTGGTGCACGCCTGTAATCCCAGCTACTCAGGAGGCTGAGGCTGGAGAATCACTTGAACCCGGGAGGCGGAGGTTGTGGCGAGCCGAGATCATGCCATCGCACTCCAGCCTGGGCAACAAGAGCAAAACTCCATCTCAAACAATAAAATAAAATAAAATAGCCCAGACGCGGTGGCTCATGCCTGTAATCCCAGTCCTTTGGGAAGGTGGGCGGATTGCTTGAGCCCAGGAGTTCAAGAGCAGCCTGGGCAACATGGTGAAACCACATCTCTACAAAAAATACAAAAATTAGCCGGGGGCGGTGACACGCATCTGTAGTCCCAGCTACCCAGGAGGCTGGGGTGGAAGGATCACCTGAGCCGAGGAGGTTGAGGCTACAGTGAGGTAAGATTGTGCCATTGCACTCCAGCCTGGAAGACGGAGTGAGACCCTGTCTCAAACAAAAAACAAAACAAACAAAAACCAAAACCCCAACAAACAAACAAAAATATAAAATTTAAAATTGGGCATTAGTACATTATAAGAAGTATACAATGCATAAGGATCAAATTTACTTTAATAATATAGATATTAAAAATATTAAATAGGAAAAATGAATACACTAAAGCCTGATATTCAGAAATTTCACAGCCATAAAATTAATATATGTATATGAACTAAATCCACAATTACATTAGAAAAAGCATGTTGAAATCTTCTTACTCATCTTCCTTTAAAGATATAATTTCTTTATTAATATGTGATAACTTTTCTTCATAATTTATGTTCCTAGGTTATAGAAAAAATATTTCTCACAAAATTATATGATATAAAGCATACATGAAAACTCTCCAGCCCTTATTTTATAAGTCACACTAAATCAGCATGAAATTCTCTAGGTAAATAAACTGATTATTGAATATAACTTTAGGCTCATCCTACTGTCAATTTTAATGAATCAACTCTTACATTTTTGATATTCCTCTATGTACTAACGTAATAGTTGATCTTGGGGAAAGTCTCAGTTCCAATTTTATGGTAGGTAATTTAAATAACTTCTCTTAGAGATGATGAAACCTATATTAAGCGACAATTTCCAGTTTACATACTATGACCCGGTACTGTATTAGATTATGAAAAAGGCTGTGGAATTGCCAGCAGTTCTCCATCTGTGATTGCTGTTGTGAGGGGATTTTTATGCAAGGGAAACGACTTTAAAGTTCTTTGATATTAAGGATATGTGAATTGTCTTGTGTACCACACTGACATGATCATACTTGGTTATCTCTGAAAGCTCTCTTGCCTCTTCATCTCAGCGTTGATCATTTTAGATGAGGCACGGCGCCTGAGTTGATAAAGCTCATGTCATCATATTTATGTTGATGTTCCCATCATTTCTCTACTAAGAGGAAATCTGGCATAAACTAAAAAAATACATTTTCAACAGAATGAATACGTGTTAGAGATGAATATGTTATGCATCTATTACATGAAAGGAATAAGATCATCGGAAATTATCATAGAATCTTTGTAAAACACTTGGAAAATCCATGGTGTTTTACTGGGTGCTCAGATGATGCTCAATATTCATTAAGTTCCTCACAAAATTCAGTACATTTTAAACAGTCAAATCAGGAAGAAAATATTGTTCTTCCCACTACTGATTCAAAAACCTCAGAACAAGTAATCTACATTCAAAACTCTTTCTACTGTAGAAAGTCGATTCAAAAGTCGTCAAACAGTTAACCAAACAGCTGAGCTTAAGAAAGAGAATAATTTCAAAAAATGCAACTGGCAGTTTTTATTTTATTGATAAGAAAGCCTAGTCTTACCTGAGTATGGGAAGGCGGTAAGCCTTTCCGGCCATATACTCCAATCAATGCATCCTTCTGAAGAGAGATATTGAATTTAAGAAACTGTGGCTGATCAATGAAGAGCTGTGATCTCCAGAAGATCCCGGGAGGAATCTCTTGAATTGCTCTTCGGCCAATATCAAGTTCTCCGGAATCTATGGTGTTATTTTCTTGCGTAAATCCACCTAATTTTCCTGAATGTAAGAGATGCACTGATGAAGAACAAATTTTTTTTAAAAAAACAAAACAAAAAAGGTTTTTAAACTTTTTGAAAAAGTTATTTTTACCAAATGCTCAAGCCATTTCATCTTCTGATATATTACTTTCATAAAATTTGCACTTTAAAAGCTTCTACTATTAGATACTGGTGTTTTACTAATTCTGATTTAGCTCGTAAGATATTTAAGTTAAAATCCTTTTGACTTCCCCCAAGGTATGCCCATTACTAAAGCTGTTTTCACACCTACAGTCTTTCTGTTCACTTGAAACATAATTATCTTACAAATTATGAGTCTTGTTATTTCTTGGGAGAGATTAGGGTCTGGTACTTATCAGTCATTCTAAACATACTATAACACTGCAAAGTGTAAATTAAGGCAGAATGGATTATGGAGATTTCTAAATCAATCCTTAAGCAAACAATAAAACCAACTGATGGCTCGGATTCATGTGGTTCTATCTAAATGATATACTAGGATGAATGAAAAACATCAGATGTTGGCAGAGAGATAGAGAAGGGGTACTTGGGGCATTGTGAGGGGAAAGGAAGGAGGGGTAAGCTTAAGTGCTCACATAGCTTTTGTGTAGGCTGTTATAACTTTTCCTCTTTCTTTTGAGCCTCATTTCAAACTCACTTGTAGTCTTAGTGGACATACTGTGTTACTTCTGACCACACTGATCTTTGATGCATAGGAACAAAACCTCTTTTCTCCCTGGATCTCTGCCACCTGTTAAGAGACACCATCTCTTCTCTTCCTGCATGGCCTCCTTCTAGAAAACAGATCCAAGACTCCTCTTTTTGGTACGATGTTCCTCTTTTCCCTCTTTGCCAAGGTTCTTTCTCAGTTATTCTGATGGGGGTCATGGTAGAATTTCTGCAATTTGCCGTGAGTGGAAATATAACTACATTGTCTCTTATGCAGACGGGTCCAGAAGGCTGAGGAACAGAATGGAACTGGGCAAATTATCTTCTATCAATTCAGCCCTTTTACACTGATAACAACAAGAGGGTGAGGAGTGAGGATCACTTGAGCGCAGGAGTTAAAGTCCAGCCTGGGCAACACAGTGAGACCTCGTCTCTTAAAAAAAAACTGATAACAAAGTTGACTTACTACCAACTTTGTCTTTTTTAAAAAAAATATTAAACTGTTAATTCAAAACGCAGAGGAAGTGATTTTAAGTCTGAGCTGTAAGCTATCTCATCTCAGTGATAAGGGAGACAGGCTTCTAACTATCTGTGAAGAGTTATTAGTTTAACTCTGAGTTCATTTTTACTGAGTGTCTGCTAGCGGCAGCACTGTAGGTGACTTAAAAAAAGAAATATAAACCAAAGAGTAGAATCTTAGAGATTATCTAGACTTCCATAGCTTCTGCTATCAAGTAGTAATTACCTGGGTGGGGAGACAACACCCACAAACTGATAAATTAAGTGAGACCCTAAAGCAACATATGAGTAGGGGTCAGAGAAAGGCACTATCACTGCAGGCTGGAGGTTGAGAGATTTCACAGGAGTTAAGTTTGGTGGTAAACATTGAGGAACAGGTAGGATAAGGTTTCTGAGCTGGGATAAACATCGCTATCACAAGCATGGCCGTGGAACTTGACAGGTGTTAGGTTGAGGCTCAGCAGAGAAATCCATCTGGCCAGAAAACAAGATAAAGAAAACCCGTTTTGGAGTCAGACAAACCTGGGTTTGAATCCTGGCTCTGCCAACAATTAGCTGTGTGACCTTAAGGAAGATACTAAACCTCATTTAGAAAATGGGGAGAGTAACATAATGATTGCACCGTTACAAGGATTCCATGAGGTTTGGTGCATCAAGGGCAAGCTGCAGCGTCTGGCTCTCAGGAGGTACTGAATGGGTTTGTCGTGGGAGGGATGCGGGATAAGGTTGGGAAGGGACGTGGCATCTGTCTGTGGAGGGCCTTGAATACCAGGTTAAAGAATATGGTCTTTATACTTTATGCTAGTGATTTCTTGTATTTTCACTCTATCAAGAGTGTTATTACACCCTTTTCCCTGAAGATGTATATATTTACTAGTATTCTGTTACTGTGCATGTCATTTATGGTATGTTTTTCAAACAGATACTTGAAGACTGATTATGGGTAAATTGCATTTCGATGCCTCAAACACACTTATTCTTGTGTGGTGGTGGGGTGTGTGTATATAATCAAGAGAAACAGAATTGAAGATTACTACGGAACATGACCTGCAATCACAGACCCAGTTTATGGCCTATAGGATCTGAAGCAATTCACAAAAAATTCACACTTACAGATAAATGTGAGGTTTGAGGGAGAGTACATCACTAGCAAATGTTAGAATTGCTTTCCATCTGGACTACTGCATCCTACATGACACACGTACCATCAGTTGTGAAGGACAGCTATAACTAAATGGAGACCCATTAAAGGTTCTGAGCGGGCTAGAGGTGAAATGAAATCACTGTTTCAAGAGCATTACTGTGCAGTAACTGTGGGAAGCCTGGACATGAAGAGATGAGTGAGGACACAGCTGCAATAACCCAGGTATGAGGCAGAAGAGGGTTGTACTAGAAAACTCAATAAAAAGGCATTATTTATAATCTCCCTTCCTCTCTTCTTTCCCAGTGTTCACAATCATGGTAGCTATCAGGTCTATTTTTCTTGAACCAATTCAGTAATATAAAAGGATCTAAGGAATAAAATTTCCAAATTGAGTTATAGTAATCACTATAATTTTTCCACACATCAACTCTTAGATTATAAACTGTAGATCATTCATAGGATTCAAAGTATTTATTTTACAATAGTAATACTTGTTCATTTCAGCAAAATTAGAACATACAGTTAAATAAAGAGAGAAAAAATATGTATAATGCTACCACCCAGAGATTATTTTGCTTTCTAGCTAAACAGACGTCTTGCTTTACTCAGAAATTTTTAATTATCTGAGACCAATTTCTACTTTTCATTTAGGAAGCTTCTGCAAAGGAACCTACATTTGTCATGAAGGAGCTTTTACTGAGAAGATTCAGGGGAGAGAGAAATGGAACTAATCTTCACTGAGAACCTACAATATGACAGGTAGTTTCACCCAAGAGGTTGGTATCATTTTGAGATGAGGAAACTAAGGCTCAGAGAAGTAAATGATGTGGCCAAAGTCAGTGATGGCATCAAGACTGAAATCAAGGTCTGCAGAATTCCAAAACCATCTGTTGTATATAATCCTCAATAAAATCTTTGCTTTTTATTAAAACAAAAATATTATTTTAAATTACTAAGTTTTAAATTTGTCTATTTCATATAAAATCAGATATATTAAGTCACTGAACCACCCTAGAGAATATACTTACAATGTCAGGACATAAAGTTTATACTTATTTTTATAAGTTTTATATTGATAAAACTTAAAAAACTGACATGGAAGGCCGGGTGTGGTGGCTCACGCCTGTAATCCTAGCAATTTGGGAGGCTGAGGAGGGCGGATCACGAGGTCAGGAGATTGAGACCATCCTGGATAACACAGTGAAACCCCGTCTCTACTAAGAATACAAAAAAATTAGCCCGGTGTGGTGGCGGGCGCCTGTAGTCCCAGCTACTCGGGAGGCTGAGGCAGGAGAATGGCGTGAACCTGGGAGGCGGAGCTTGCAGTGAGCCGAGATCGCGCCACTGCACTCCAGCCTGGGCAACAGAGTGAGACTCCATCTCACAAAAACAAAAACAAAAAAAACGTGACATGGATATTATAATATAATACTCTTTATGTTATAATTCATAAGTTCCTCATAAGTTTTTGTCTTTTGGTTGACTTCTACATGAAACTAATTTTAAAGTACTGAGTAGAGTAGCTGTTCTCTTCCCCTCTAAGATGTCAGTATACATATCATATTTTAATATGAACATAGTTTATATGTAGACTCATTCATCAAGTTCATACATTTCTAAGGCTATGATACTTGATTGTCATTAACAAGTTTCATCTACTATCCGAAGCATATGTAATTTAATCTACTCTCTTGGGTTGACCCTATTGCTGCTATTAATGGTTTTCTGAGTTTTAATAGCATACCTGTGCTTTGAGAACTGGTAAACATAAATTCATAAACTGGTGCCAATTTCAGAATTTTTTTCCAAAACATTATGTTTACCCAAGAGGATTAGCTGTGGTAATGGTAACCAAGTTCTGATTTCTAGGGTTTCCGGTTTCACTATGTCAAAGGCATTTAATAAGCTAGGTATTCTTGCCTTGTTTCTTTCTCCACAAATTAATTTTGAGGGGTTAAAATCTTTCTCACAGAAATGATATGTGAATACATCGTTGTGTCGCGAAGTATATCTATTTATCCTGTTAGTCCCATATATAGGTAATTTAACCAGTGGTTCTTTTCCAGAAAAAGAGGGTTCTTCATTTGTAAAACAAAAGATCCAAGATTGGTGGAGTGTGCTTGAATGGGATAGCAATTGTGATGATTTTTTTCCTCCCGTAACGAAAAAATACCTAATTAATCATAACACCACAGAATCTTCGAGTTCTAGTACCCGTGGGGGTCATCTAGTCCAGGGGTCTTTAAAAAAGGGTAGCCATATCCCTAGGAAACATTAAAACTTTTCAATAAGGAACGGGGTAGGAGATTAATTTCTATTAATAGACCCTCAATAACATTCATGTGTTGACTTTCTTTACAAAAGAAAGGCGTACCTCTCACATACCCAAATATTACTATGACTTATTGTCTTGGAGCATAAAACTTCCAGTATGCCAAAAAAAGGCAAAATTAAAAGTATTGTGGTGGTGAAGCCTCTTTTATTGAAGACACCATAAACCCAAGGTAGGGCTTCAGCGACTTTCCCTGCTTAACATAGTTCCATTAAGGGCAAAATGTGGGGTTAACAATGGGGTATTTAGGACTACTAGCATGCTTTGAAGTCAAATACATCAAGAAAGAGAGATAACCTTTTTAATGAACTTATCACTCACCCCAACTACTGTCAAAGAATGCTTTTCTTTTTAATTAATTAATTAATTAATTAATGTATTTATGTATTTATTATACTTTAAGTTCTAGGGTACACGTGCAAAACGTGCAGGTTTGTTACATATGTATACATGCGCCATATTGGTGTGCTGCACCCATTAACTCATCATTTACATTAGGTATATCTCCTAATGCTATCCCTCCCCACTCCCCCCACCCCATGATAGGCCCCGGTGTGTGACCCCGGTGTGTGATGTTCCCCTTCCTGTGTCCAAGTGTTCTACAAAGAATGCTTTTCAACTGCAGAAGAATTTCATGACTACCAAGAACACAGCAATAAGGTAAGAAACATGAAATGTAATGATGCTTTATTTATTCCCGTTGTCAAGGTTAGGACAAGGATTTGTGCTTTATCTTGCTACCTCTCTACCTAGAGCAGGGATTCAGAACTGAGAGGTTCTAACAAAATGTAGATTAATTTATTCGAACTGAAAAAATAAGTCAGACTTTTTCTGACAAAAGGTAAATTTGGGCCAGGTGTGGTGGCTCACACCTGTAATCCCAGCACTTTGGGAGACTGAGGCAGGTGGATCACAAGGTCAGGAGTTCGAGACCAGCCCGGCCAAGATGGTGAAATCCTGTCTCTACTAAAAATACAAAAATTAGCTGGGTGTGGTGGCGGGCGCCTGTAATCCCAGCTACTTGGGAGGCTGAGGCAGGAGAATCACTTGAACCTGGGAGGTGGAGGTTACAATGAGCCGAGATCACACCACTGCACTCTAGCCTGGGCAACAGAGCAAGACTCCATCTCAAAACAAAACAAAACAAAACAAAACAAAACAAAAAAATGGTAACTTTGATTTCAATGAGTACTGGCTCTGACAGTTAAATTATATGGTGGCTATTTCCCATAAATTAAATGAGCTAATGAAATAGACACATTTAAAGCATATACAGGCATACCTATTGCACATTTTGTTCCAGACCACCACAATAAAGCAGATATCACAATAAAGTGAGGTACACACATTTTTTGGTTTACCAGTGCATATAAAAGTTATGTTTACACTATACTGCAGTCTACTAAGTGTGCAATAGCATTATTTCCTTTTTTTTTTGAGACAGGGTCTCAAAAGCTGTCACCCAGGCTGGAGTGCAGTGGCCCAATCTCGGCTCACTGCAGCCTCAATCTCCCTGGGCTCAGGTGATCCTCCTACCTCAGCTTCCCAAGTGCCTGGGACTACAGGTGCACACCACCGAGTCTGGCTAATTTTTTGGTATTTTTTGTAGAGACAGGGTTTCAACATGTCGTCTAGGCTGGTCTAAAACTCTTGGACTCAAGCGATCCACCAGCCTCGGCCACCCAAAGTGCTGGGATTGCAGGCATGAGCCACTGTGCCCAGCCAATAGGTTTCTACAAACCAACGTACAAACTTAATTTAAAAAATTTTATTGCTAAAAAATGCTACCGATCATCTGATCAAGTCATCATCTTTTTGCTGGTGGAGGATCTTACCTCAGTGTAGGCGGCAGCTGATTGATCAAGGTGGTGGTTGCTGAAGGTTGGAGTGTCTGTGGCAATTTCTTAAAATAAGACAATAATTAAGTTTGCCACATTGATTGACTCTTTTCATGAAAGGTTTCTCTGAAGGATGGGATGCTATTTGATATCTTTTTACCCACAGTAGAACATCTTTCAGAATCGGAGTCAACCCTCTCAAACCTTGCCACTGCTTTATCTACTAAGTTTATGATAGTCTAAATCCTTTGTTGTTATTTCAACAATGTTCATAGCTTCTTCATCAGGAGTAAATTCCATCTCAAATACCCACTTTCTTTGCTCATCCATAAGAACAACTCCTCGTCCATTAAAGTTTCATGATGAGATTGCAGCAATTGTCACATCTTCAGGCTCTACTTCTAATTCTAGTTTTCTTGCTATTTCCACCAGATCTGCAGTTACTTCCGCCATTGAAGTGTGAACCCTCAAAGTCATCTATGAATGTTGGAATTAAGTTCCAAACTCTTGCTAATGTTAGTCTTTTGACCTCTTCCCATGAATCATAAATGTTCTTAATAGCATCTAGAATGCTAAATCCTTTCCAGAAGGTGTTATTTTTTTTTGAGACAGAGTCTCTGTCTGTCGCCCAGGCTGGAGTGCAGTGGCGCCATCTTGGCTCACTGCAACCTCCGCCTCCCGGGTTCATGCCATTCTCCTGCCTCAGCCTCCTGAGTAGCTGGGACTACAGGTGCCCGCCACCATGTCCGGCTAAATTTTTTGTATTTTTTGTAGAGACGGGGTTTCACCCTGTTAACCAGGATGGTCTCGATCTCCTGACCTCGTGATCCGCCCGCCTCAGCCTCCCAATGTGCTGGGATTACAGGTGTGAGCCACCGTGCCCAGCCTCCAGGAGGTTTTTAATTGATTTTGCCCAGATCTATCACAGGAAAATCACTATCTATCTATGATAGCCTTACAAAATGTACTTCTTAAATACGACTTGAAAGTTGAAATTAAATTAAATATGACTTGAAATTACTCCTTGATCCATGGGCTGCAGAGTGGATGTTGTGTTTGCAGGCATGAAAACATTAACCTCCTCGCACATCTCCATCAGAGCTCTTGGGGGACTAGGTACATTGTCAATGAGAAGTAATATTTTGAAAGCAATCTTTTTCTCTGAGCAGTAGGTCTCAACAGTGGGCTTAAAATATTTAGTAGCCACGTTGTAAACAGATGTGCTGTCATCCAGGCTTTGTTGTTCCATTTATAGAGCACAGGCAGAGTAGAATTAGCATAATTCTTAAGGGCCCTAGGATTCTAGGAATGGTCAATAAGCATTGGCTTTAACTTCAAGTCACCAGCTGCATCACTAACAGAGTCAGCCTGTCCCTGGAAGCTTTGAAGCCAGGCCTTGACTTCTCCTCTCTAGCTATGAAAACCCTAGATGGCATCTTCTTCCAGTCTAAGGCTCTTTCATCTACATTGAAAATCTGTTTAGTGTAGCTACATTCATCAGTGATCTTAGCTAGATCTTCTGGATAACTTGCTGCAGCTTATACATCAGAACCTGCTGCTTCACCTTGCATTTTTATGTTGCAGAGACGGGTTCGTTCCTCAAACCTCATGAACCAACCTTTGCTAACTTCAAACTTTTATTCTGCAGCTTCCTCACCTCTCTCAGCCTTCATAGATTTGAAGAGACAGCCTTGCTCTGGAGTAGGCTTTAGCTCAAGGGAATGTTATATCTGGTTTGATCGTCTATCCAGGCCACTCAAATGTTCTCCTTATCAGTAATAAGGCTGTTTTGCTTTCCTATCATTCATGTGCTCACTGGAATCGTGCTTTCAATTGCCTTTAAAAACTTCTCCTTTGCACTCACAACCTGGCCAAGTATTTGGTGCAGGAGGCTTAGCTTTCAGCCGATCTCATCTTGGACATGCCTTCCCCACTAAGCTTAATCATTTCTAGCTTTTGACTTAAACTGAGAGACGTGTGATTCTTCCTTTCACTTGAATACTTAGAGGCCACTGTAGGGTTATTGATTGGCCTAATTTCAATACTGTTTTGTCTCAGGAAATAGGGAGGTCCAAGAAGAGAAAGATGGTGGGGATGCTGGTCACGGAGCAGTCAGAACACACACATTTATTAAGTTCGCTGTCTTATGTGGGTGTGGTTTCTGGCACCCCAAAACAATTATAAGAGCAACATCAAAGGTCACTGATTGAAGGTCACTGTAACAGATCTAATAATAATGAAAAAGTTTGAAATATTTTGAGAATTACCAAAATGCAACAGAGAGACATGATGTGAGCACATGCTGTTGGAAAAATGGTGCCGATAGACTTGCTTGACGCAGGGCTGCCACAAACATTCAGTTTGTAAAAAACACGGTATCTGGGAGGCATGATAAAGCGTAATAAAATAAGATCTTCCTGTAATACGATGAAAGCATTACAAAATTATAGTATCAAAGGTGAATTAATATGAGCCAAAGTTCCATTTTTCACCGCATTCTGAGTATACCAGATAAACAAAGTACCACTAAGTAGAAGAATAACAGGTAAAATTAGCAGTATTTTGCTAAGCCTTGGTAAAGTCTTTTTTGGCATCCTACACAGAAACCGGGAAAAGGATTGGTTCTAAAAACAGTGTAATAAATCTTTTTCAAAGTAGTTAGTTGCTGATTCCTTGCTTTTATGAGAAATGTGATAGAACTGGCAGCTTATAGACAACGTATTTTTTAGAAATAGATCACAATGTGATTTTTGACATATGACTAACAAGAATGTCAAATAACTGAACAGAATCACTTAAAAAAATCCTCCCATTGTCACTTACTTATTTTGTAGCAAGATTTCTTTTGTTTATATTCATAAGAAAGGAAAACAGGATTAGAAATGAAACTGAATTTTGTTTTATTCTTATAAGGTATATTCATCTATGAATATACAAACTATTTGAAAAAAGTTCCCATTCATTTCAGAGAGGTACTTTCAATACATTTTCACTTTTTATGTTTCATATTATCAAAATGTTTAACACATTTATATTTCAATACATTTTCACTTTTTGTGTTTCAAATTATCAACATGTTTAACACATTTATATAAGAATTAGGTTGTTTTCAGTCAAATGTGTACAACTAATAATTGTAAGTATAATTTAATATAGAAGAAAACAGGTTTTTTAAAACGTATGATCTCAAAAAATAAATAAATTTAAATTTGTATAGCTATTTTGTTGAAGGGGGTCACAAAAACAAAATAGTTTGAAGCCCACTGATCTATTCTAGCTTTTCCCATGAAATATGAATCTCATCTCTAAAGTGCCTGTCAACTTCTATTTGCTTCAAGTTATTACACTAGTTAGAATGAATTTATTCTGAATTACAGTCTTAGAATGTGTCTTTTCTAAAAGGTACTTGCAGATCTGACCTCTCTTTCTAATCAGTGATGTAGAGATATAAGGACATCACTGATTTTTCTCTGCAAGATCCACTGAAACGGCAGCTTAGATTAGTACAGCCTTCCTGTTTAAGCCTCTAGTTTGAATACAGGGGACTAGGGTTTCGTGAAGGGGCTTTGTCTTTAAATTCTGCACTGCTGCTTTTCAAGTCACAGCCATTCTCTCATTTGGACAAGTCAAGTGTGTTCATTCCTGTTAGCATTTTCAAATGCTCTTTATTGATGGTAAACACACCTGGAAGTCAGTGGGCCATTGACACAGTTTGATAAACTTGTAAATACTTGCACAACTTTTTCCTCTGAAGCTCATCAGTCCTCTTAGATAAAAGCCTGGACACAGAAGTCTTTCATCATGTCCCGAATTCCAGAAAACTTTGGCTTCAGAAGAAATAAAAAAAGGCCAGTTCTAGGGCTCTCTATCCTCCCTTACTGAGATCACTACCTCCATAAAGCCCTAGAGCCTGAACCTGGGAATGATCATAGGAAACACTAAGGTTGTCTGTAGGTTTTACTAAAAGGAAAAGGAGGAAAACTGGAGGAAAAAATAGAGACAGGGCAACAGAGTGCCCTGTAGTTATTCTAAACTCAAAGCTTGTGGGTTAGGAATCAAACCAATTAAAGCCTTCACAGTAAGAGTGAAACGTACCACGTCTTCAAACACAATAGGGTATCATCTTGAAGGTTTTTTTCAACGTGTCCTGTTGTGCCTGAATGTGGGAGCCACTAGCAGTCTTTTCACCTACTAACTGTGATTTTTTTCTTTCATCAGTAAGTATGTGTCACAACAGTCTTAATGTCTTAAAATACAGTTGTCAGAGTGTGAAAACAGAGAGAGACCACATACGCAAAGCTATTGTTATTCCTCTCCTTCTTATGTGATACCCAGTTCATATGAAAACACATCAGTGGAGTGACAGCTTTTCAGATAATGCCTTTTCAAAAGTACTTTGAACTGAAAAACACTTTATAAATAATAGTTTACCAACCGAGATGCTGTAAGGACAAAACAGAAGATTTAAAGTCATATTGGTAATTAGGAGGTTTGGTATCTGTTTGAAAACTATTTTGTGCTATCAGAAAAATCAGTGAAAATTATAAAATGCTAAGTTTTCTGCCATATATATCATGAATTTGCCACCTGCCTATGATGTGAGTAAACAAGCCTATAATGAGTGAAACGGAAAGGCAGAAAAGAAATTCACTGTCAAAGTCTAACTGCAATTGTTGCGGAAGGTAAATGATAATATCATCTTAAATCCCACAGAGGCACTAATAATTAAGACGTCAGGAAGCAAGGTTGGGCATTTGTAGACAATCAGTAGCCCACCCTCCAATTCTATGACCTAACCTTGGATTCATACCCTGGCTTTGAGATCTCTGAGAGAACATATCTTTTTATAAACAACCGCATGCCATAATTTAGCATTGTGGATACAGAGTGTTACATCACAAGCTAAGTGAAATAAGACATAACTACTTTGCAAACATAGCTTAATGGACAAAATCAATATAGCATCTAATTAAGGAGCTATTACACATTGTAATAACACAAGTACTATGAACACTATTGAACAAAACTCAGTGCTCTTGCAGCCCTGTCAGCTCCATTTCTCGAATTCACAGGGAATCTGCAACCTGCTGTCAGACTGAACTCTCTAGAGTTGTCTAGTACTTGAGAAAGTTGATACACGATGATCAAAAATGTAAAATTTAGTCCCAGCTACTCGGGAGGCTGAGGCAGGAGAATGGCATGAACCCAGGTGGTGGAGCTTACAGTGAGCCAAGATCGCGCCACTGCACTCCATCCTGGGTGACAGAGCGAGACTCCGTCTCAAAAAAAAAAAAAAAAAAAAAAAAAATTAAAATTTAAAAGCAATTGGAATTGTTTTGTTTAAGCAGCATAAATCATATGCATATATACACATACACACATATTTGTAGTTTTTCAACTCGTATCCATACAAAAAGAGTTCTTTTGATTGGAGAAGTCACTTGCCATAGTTACATTGCCTGTAATATATAGCCTTTTATTTCAGTCTTTATTATCCTAAATTATCCTAGGCTAAAATTGGGCATGTGTCTTACTGCCCCTTTAGAAGTCAAGCTGGTGTTGAAATGTTCTGTCAGGGTACACTCCGCTTTTCCCTAACGGAGATTTTCTAATTCACTGTAATAACTCGCTCGATTCCCATCTAGCCTAGAATTCACATGCTCTGGAAACAATAGCTGTGATCATCTTGCTTTTACAGCTATATTCCCAGAATCTTGCTCAGTGCGTGGCACATCATAAGTGCTCATTAGACAAATGTAAAATGAATAAATTCTATGCATTAAAAAATACACGATAATATTTCTTTCATAAAATTCAAATAACTAAAAATATAAATAACGAATGATGGGGATTTCCATTATTGCTTTAGAGGATACTACCGATGCTGATTTGCAGAAGTGTCTTCTTAAAATTTTGCTATGAATTACAAGTGCATCATCTTGAATTGCAGAATGAAGAGCAAACAATCACTGATATGCATTGAATAGCTTTCATGTTCCAATCATTGCTTGGCACCCTGCATGCATGACCTGATTCAAACCTCATTGTAAACCTTTATATTACCCTATAAAGAAACAGGAGGTGAGAGTGGTAATTTGCTTAAAGGCACCCAGTGAGTGGCAGAGCTTCAGTTCTTAGCCACTATTCTATACTAGTACTTTGCATATACTTGATGCATGGCCCTTCGTATACTTTATATCATATCATTTAGTTGTATTATTTTCACTCATTCATTCAACTGATACTTTGTGAGCACCTACTACATGCCAGAACTGTGCCAAGAGCTTGGTATACAGCAGTGAAAGAACAGACAGGATCCTTGCCTTATAGTCTAGTAAAGATGAGATGCATTAAATAGTAATAGTGACAACCATAAACATTTTTCAAGCATTTACTATGTACTATACACCATTGTATGTTTACACCTTTGTATATTTGCATTGAATATTCAAGACCAAAGACCATTCTATGAAGTAAATTAGTCCCTTTTAATTGATGAGACCACTTAGGCACAATGAAGCTATATAACCTGTCCCAAGTAGCACAGGCGTTAATGATCAGAACTAGGACACCACATCAGGTGGTGAGGCTCGTAACTCTACACTCCTTGTCTCTGTGTGCTATTGTTTTTATATTGCAGTATGGTGTGATGTACAGCCAGGCTGTGGAGAGCCTTGTAAGTCATTTAAAGGCTTCTGACTAGAATCTAGGTCACTGAAGGGGCTTAGGCAAGGAACTGATATCTCAAATTTGTGTGTGAAGAGTGGATGAGCAAGACTGGAGACATACAGCGCAGATAGAAGGCTACCATATCCAGCTGAGAGAAAACAGGATTCAAAAGATATTATGGGGTCAGAGTTGAAGGAACTTAGAGACTGACTAAATACGGGAGATGAGAGAGTAGAAGCAGTCACCGGGCCTCCTGGACCAGTGATGAAGTGAACGACGGTGCCATTTCCTAATATAGGAATCCCTTCTTATCCATAGGGTCTGTGTTCCAAGATCCCCAGTGGATGCCTGGAACTGTGGATAATATCAAACCCTATATATACTATATTTTTTCCTATACATCCATGCCTATGATAGCTTATAAATTAGGCAAGAAAAAGATACTAATAGAACAATTATAACAATATACTGCAATGAAAGTTAAGTGAATGTGGTCTGTCTCTCTCTCTCTCTCAAAGTATCTTAATAGTTTCAGACCACAGTGGACTACAGGTAACTAAAACCACAAAAAGCAAAACTGTGGAGGGGGGGATGTGGGAAGGTACTGTACAGAAATCCCTGAAAGAGAGGCAAATTTGGAAAGAAAGATGGCTTGGCAATTGTATTTTCCAAAGATGGCCACAACAGCATCTTCCATCCCACGTGCCCTTGTGCAATGGCATAACAGGTCCCTAGTCAAGAGGAGGAGTTTAATTCCCCTCCCCAGGAATCTTGGCTGACCTTGCTGACTTCCTGACCAGCAGAATGTGATGGCAGTGAAAGCCTAGAATGGCGACTGCTAGGTTATACAAAGCTGGTAGTTTCTGTCAGGCTCTTGGCATGCTCCCTCTTGGGATATTCCTCTTCAGAACCAGCTGCTATGTTCTAAGAGGCCCAAGCCACATGGAAGGCCATGTCTAGGTGCCCCAGCTGGTGACTACAGTTGAGCTCAGGTCAACAGATGGCATTAACTGCCAGCCATGTGAGTGAGCTACCCTGGACTTCCAGCTCAGTGGAGCCTTTGGTTAACCTTGGTTAACATCTGAAAGCAATCGCAGTGTCCTAAGTAAGAACGCAAGAAGTACCTGGCCAATTCACTGAACCACAAGAGATGATAACATTGCTTTCTAAGCCACTGAGTTTTGTTATGGTTTGTTATGTAGTAATAGATAACCAAAGTAGTTGATGGGTTCTGTTTTAGACACGTGGAGTTTAAGATGCATGGAAAACACCCAAGTGGAAATGTTCCAAAGACAATTGGGTAGATTTTATGTAGTCTACTACTACCACCACTGTCTACAAAATATGTAGTTGAGATCTGGAGCTGAAGAGAGACATCTAGGCTGGACTTACTGATTTGAGAGTTAGGAAGCACAGAGAATGTAACTGGAGCCATGAAAGTGGGTGACAGAATCCAGAGTGATTATATTGTCAAGCGCAGAGTCCTGAGAAACAGCAGTATTTAGGGATCAGGTAGACGGGAGGTGAGTCAACTAAACAGAGACATCATTGCCAAAACAGTCAGGGAGAAAGTCAAAGTGAATGTGGTATCACAGAAGCTAAGGAAAGACTATTGCAACAGGAGGGATAGGTTAACTATTAAATGGTTCCAAAAACTCAAACATGATAAAGAATAAAGAGGTTTCACTGGTGCTACTGACAAAGCAATGGGTAACTCTGGAGACATCAGTTTCAGTGAAGTATGAGTGTGTGGTGAAGGTAGAGGAGGACAAGTCATGAGCTAGGGGTACTGTGAAAGCCCAACTGTAAGGGGGTAAACAGAAGGCAGAGAAGTGATCAAAGTGACTAAGCACACTATGTTCAAGAAGGCTGGAAGCACCGGGCGAGGTGGCTCACGCCAATAATCCTAGCACTTTGGGAGGCTGAGGCAGGAGGATTGCTTGAGCTCAGGAGTTCAAGGCAGCCTGGGCAACACGGTGGAACACTGTCTACAAAATATACAAAAATTAGCCAGGCATGGTGACATGTGCCTGTAGTCCCAGCTACTCGGGAGGCTGAGGTGGGAGGATCACTTGAGCCCAGGAGGTCAAGGCTGCAGTGAGCCAAGCTGTGACTGTGCCACTGCATTCCAGCCTGGGCGACAGAGTGAGACCCTGTCTCAAAATAAGTAAATAAATAAACAAATAAAATAAATAAATAAAAAGAAGGCTGGTAGAAGAGAGAGGCAGTAGGAGGCAAAGTCAAGAGATTATTGTTTTCCAAGATGTGAGAGACTGGAATGTTCAAATGTTGACTGGATGGTATCAGTAGAATGAGGACATTCTGAAGAGAGAATGGGATCAAGAGGACCCCCGCAAAGATGAACCTGGAATATGGGGAGAAAAGGTGGAAGCATAGATCCACATATGTGGAGGAATAAAGATGTGTTTACAGAAAATGAGAGCTCCCCTTGCAAGTTTCTATTTTTTTTAATAGAATGCAGGGTCATCTGCTGAGAGAGGGGTTTGAGTATAGCAGGAAGATCTGAAATAGTTGTTGAGAAGTATGGTGGGGAGAAGTTTGAGAGGGATACTAGGGCTGCCGACTGTTGAATTTGGAAAGTCAGGAGATAGGTACTATTATTCCCTCTTTACATGTGAAGAAATTGAAGCTCAAAGAGGTCAGTGAAGTAACATGCTGAAGGTTACAAAGTAAATAAATGAAGGAGCCAGGATTTGAGTATAGAACTGTGTGATTCTTTCCAGTACATTAGGCTAAATGAATTCCTTGGGCCAGGGGAATAATTTTAGTTTCTGGAAAGAGACCAGTGTTTGAGCTACAAACTTCATTCTTACCTCTTTATTCACTTTGTCCATTTCCATCAGTTTTGTCTAAGACCCTACGCTTCTGATAACTCATCTCTAAAATCTGTAGGCAAAGAAGGTCTCAGGAATAATCAGTAAAGGATGATGGCATATAACAGAAATCCTTCTTTTAGATACTAAATACCATTTAGAAGCTTTGGCTCACTGTTAACTTAAATGCAAGCAGGGAGTTTACTGCACCCTTAGCACAATGATTGTTCCTTAGAATTATATTTACAAAATAAGAGTAAAATAGGACTGCACAAGTAAGAGTATTACATTTAGAAGCTGTGAAATAATTTTCTCACTATGCTTTTCACAGTTCATTCTCCTAGTGAGCTTTGTTCAGAATTCTAAAGCTTTCTCAAGGGTTGTAATCTCCTAGAATTTCTAAAGAGATGATGTGATCTGCTTCTTGGATAGCATATAAAATTTAAGTAGTGGGTGGTGGGTGGTGGTGCATGGACACTGAGGTTCATCACGAAAGCCGAAAAGCAGCGGTTTGCAGCTACCTCCCTCCTTGTAAATAGAGTTCCCGTCCACTCCCTGTGCCCCAGGTCTTTAAGAACAATATTTAGGAGATATTAAGAACTTGTATTTGGAAAATCAGAAACAAGAATTCCTTACAATTTAGGGTTTTGGGGGCGATTCAAGTAATAATAAAGAAGGCAAGTAACTAATAGTTAGGTCACTCTTTGGACAAGGTCAGAGCCCAGAGAGAGATAGCTTTTCCATGCAGGGAAATTCCTACAAATCCCCTAGTCCAGTTGGCAGTTCTCTAGTGCACTTAACTGATTCTGGGGCTTCCGTTAACCATTCCCTATATAGGAGACTTTTACACATCTAGGAAGAAAGTACTTCGCTTATATGTATATACAGGTGCTCTAAAGGTGCACAGAACTGTATAAAACTGAATTCTATGATCACTTGGGGGAACTTCAGTCCCCCTTAGAGAAGGAGGCTACCAAAGCAGTATTTCTGAAATTACAGAGCACAATATTTCATAAAGTATGAAATTATTTTAGTGGGTTGCAAGTGGCGTTTGTTAAAAATGAGAAATACAATAAAATAAAATGGAAAATCCCAGGATGCATTTTACAAGGCAAGGATAAATATTATTTTGGGAAGCATATTTCAGATACATATGTATATGTGTGTGTATATGTTGGCTTTGATGTAACATGTATTTCTTATTGCATTGTCATGGTCAATAGCTTAAAAGCCACTGTTTTCAAGGACTCCAGCTTTACGGAGATTTCTATTAATATGGCCACATTCATGTGATGTTCTTTTTTCTTCCAAACCTCTGCGACTGATAGGATCCTAGGCAGCCCATTCCACAGCTGCCCTAAAATTTTCTTGCAAATCTGAATAACCAAGCACGCCGCCCAAAGTTACAAAGTAAACAGGCGAAAGAGCGAGGATTTGAATATAGGCTTCTGTGAGCTGAGGAGTGCTGACGTGAGCAGAGGTATTCCCTGGCAAAATACCAGCAGCCAGCACCCAGCACCCAGGCTGTGGGAGTCTCTAAATCCACAGCTTTCTCAGTATCATGCTTTTCAGGACTGTGAAACTAATTAGCCAAACTCTATTTTCATTTTAATCATAATAAAAGGTTAAGATGTTGTAAAATAAATACAATATCCATAATAAGCGTTTGTCTCTTTGGTATAATTACAATTTCTTCAGTCTGTAAAAAAGTTCCCTACATGTATGGTTAATAAGTACCATTCGATCATCTTCACAGGAACCATGCATTTTAAGAGACAGTCTAAATTTCAGTCAATACAAACCAAAATAAATATTCTTAATTTCTGTATAGTTACTCATTTTGTTTATATATGTTATTAATGTATAAAAAAGGTAATTGAAATTTATGTAATTAAAATTTCCCAATCTATAGTTTCAACCCTCTTTAACCCCCTCTACAGTGACTGCCACTGTCTACTTTAGGTGGGTGACATGTCAGTCACCAGCTTACAGTTCTTCTGGAACATGCAGAACTTTATATAAAAAGGTTCCATATGGCGGGGGATTCACTATTATTATAAAAATCGAATGTCGTAAAATTCCTCAACCTCCCTAAGGAGAAAGAGAATGTCATAAAGTATTATCATTAGGAAAAAAAAGAATAAAAAAGTGTACAAAGTATTCATCCCAGTAAATGGGTACATGTGACACAGCAACATATAATAAGTTCATTAAATGTAGAATAATTTCTTTCCAGTCTTGCAAAGAAACCAGCCACATGAGGATAGACATATTAATGCCAAAGCTGAACACCAATATACTAGACAAGAAACAAAGAGGAAGACGAGTTAGGGGAATGCTTAAAGGGAAATAATTTATTAACCAGATGACAGAAAAAGGCGTCTTCATCAGGATGCTCTGAGATATAAAGTATTATGATATTTTGCAAAAAGTCAGAGGATACCAAGGCCAAGACATGTACACACACACACACACAGAAATAATATAAAACTATTTGTAACGTAAGTGTACATATGTATGTATACGCTTTTCTAAGTGTTTATATTGAAAAAATGGAATTCTCTAACTACTTAAATTCCATTTTTAATTCAGAGCCAATTGATTTCAAAATCTTTGTTAGCTCAAAGTGCAAATTCTTAAAGGTTTAGAGAAAGGGCAACCAGAGAAAAGGTCAATAAACTATAATCCTTTAATGTGCTTTGCATTTAAATGCTTTTATAATAAAATTAATACAGTGTTCCAACTCCACACGCAAGTTGAATGAAGAAAACCTAATAAACCCAAGGTAATACAAGAGATGATACACTGAATTATAATCTATTTGCAGACTAAAAATAAAACTCAATATACATCTGCAGAAGGGAAAGGCAGAAAAGCCTAGCCATCAAATCAGAAGGCAGAAAATCATATTATTCCTGTAATAAAAATGTGAATTTTCAACCTTTCAAGTAAATTAATTGAAAAAAACTTATAAAAAGATGATATCTGTAATTTCGAACACTTTTCCCTGTTCCATCTAAACTAGATGTAAGCATGGGTAAAAATAAATTTATGGAAAAGGGATGTTAAAAGAGAAACACAGGATACATAATTCTTTCGCTTACCATTGTCTCCAGAAGGTAATGACACAGTGTTTGTTGGCATGGTATCAGAATTCACTTTTCCATTCTCAAATGTGTCATTTTCAGTCTGCTGTAGCTGCCAGTTGAGGCCAAAGAGATGCATTGCTGGGGGTAAAGAACACAAGTTGTTTAAAGATCTGCTGCCTTCAGCTACAACGGCAATTGCTAAGCATGTTTAAAACAAGAGTCATATGTAAAGTTACAATTTCCATTTTCTGAAATACCAAGGATAACTGCGCAATGAAAATTATAAAACAAAGAGTTCCTCAAACAAATATAATTTACATAGCAATGCAGGGCAATATGGTGGCACTTCAATAGTGATTTAATACTATTCACTTCATTGGTACCAGGAAACTCTTAGGAATCAATCATTATTTGCTCTAATTGAGTTCCATTTTTCACCATCTTTTAAGTAACTGGTAGAACACCCTATAACAGCATTTGCCACTTACTAGACCACAGGTCACTTGCAAATTTATGCTACTTTGCTGCAACACCTGTAGATTCTTAAGAGACATGATCCTCTACCTTTGCGTTAAGGTAAACCCAAAAACTTGTCTCACAGATGAATTTGTTGGTACATGAAATTCAGCTGTACAAAATATAATCAAATTTGAATATTCTAAATTTGGGATGAGTAATTTTTGAATTGACGACAAACAATTTAATAATG
Source organism: Homo sapiens (assembly GCF_000001405.40). Classification (NCBI taxonomy): domain Eukaryota; kingdom Metazoa; phylum Chordata; class Mammalia; order Primates; family Hominidae; genus Homo; species Homo sapiens. The sequence goes on along the minus strand of NC_000004.12, from coordinate 182,653,199 downwards.
GTACAGATTAAAAAGCATGTACATGTGTCAGGTAATTTCATGTGAGTTTCTGATGTGGGTAAAATAATTTCATAAATTTATATTTAATACATTTATTAAAATTTATGATTATGTTTACTAATTTGCTTTATTTTAAAAAATTTAAAAAATAACTAGAAGACTATACAACTATAAACATAAGTTTTAAATTCCAGACATAATTTGAAATGTGAATACCCTGTGTATTATTTTTCTTAATTTATCAATGCTATTTAGAAAAATGTGTCGCTGTCATACTCACCTAATATACTAAACATTCATTTGTGCTGCACAGAATATAGTTTAGGAACTAACCCCTAAGGAAGGTTAAATATTTTTAGGGAAACCCAGTGATGGTCATATTACCATATCATGAAAGAGAACTTTTTTTTGATATTTTTAGACATTATTTTACTTACTGTATGTACTGGAATTTACCAGCGCAATGGAGGAAGAATAAGAAGGCAGTGTGATGACTACCACTGTCAAAAAGCCCTTCAGATCCAATACATAAAGTAACGGCACTGACCTGCTACAGTACATGGAGCAGGGGCTTTGGATGCAGTCAGACTTTGGTTCAATCTTCAGTCTAGAATTTAGCCTTGGATAAATTACGTGATATTGTTAGAAATTAGGTTTATTTTTAAAAGGAGGTTTGTTACAACCACCTTATTTAATTTAAGCTCAGGTGAGAAGGTGTAGGCCAGAAGATTCTAGACAGGGCATATGAAGGAGAGCTGGCACAAAGCTGGACAGTTCTTACTGCTGAGGTATTTTATTTAGTCTGGACTCCAGGTTACCGAACTATTTGGAGTCACCTGACTAGACCACGGCACCCCTCAATAAACAGTCCCTTCTGTCTGCAATGCTTCTCCCTGACAGGAAAATACCTGTGCATCCCTCATACCCTGACTGGGTGAAGTGTTTTTCCTAAGACTATTTTAGTTGACTTTCGTATCTCATTTATAAGACATATAACTTTGTATAAGGATACAGTGCCTGATACCTAGTAGGTCTCAATAAGTATCTGTCAAATAAATGAATTAAAGTTAGGAATATTCTATTTTCTGAGATTTTAAAAATCTAAGAAAACACTGTGTGGATAAAATATAGTAATTTAGAGAAAAAGTTAATACATAGAAAACAAATGCGTAAGGCTAAGAGAGGAGAACATGTTAGTAACGGATGAATGACTGCTTTACTATAATGCTGTCTGAAAAGCAGTTGACTGAAAGTCTACTACTACTATATGTAATTAACTAAACTTTAAAAATTTGGTAGTTTTAGGATATTCTATTAACAGTCCACATTCTTTTGTTAATAATACCTGATATAAAAGCATGCTATAGTAAGAAAGATACCAAAAATAGGTAGATAGCGACATCTACCCTGTATATTTTAAATAAATGTATATAGTCACACTCCCTGCTAAAGTTGTCCTTGGCCAGCAATTCCTCTTAAACTCTGATTTTCTTTTTTTTTTCTGAGACGGAGTCTCGCTCTGTCACCCAGGATGGAGTGCAGTGGCACGATCTCGGCTCACTGCAACCTCTGTCTCCCGGGTTCAAGCAATTTTCGTGCTTCAGCCTCCCGAGTAGCTGGGACTACAGGCGCACGCCGCCACGCCCAGCTAATTTTTTGTATTTTTTTTTTATTACAGACGGGGTTTCACCGTTCTGCCCAGGCTGTTCTCGAACTCCTGAACTCAGGCAATCCGCATGCCTCGGCCTCCCAAAGTGCTAGGATTACAGGCTTGAGCCACTGCGCCCGGCCTAAACTCTGATTTTCACGGATTAAGATATAGGTTATAGGATTCTTCAATTTACAAGTTGTCATCATGTAAAAAGGTATAACTTCATGTGTCATTCTGCATTAAATTGCATAGTGTTTGACTTGCTAAACACTTATCACATCATACATTTTTCAGGGTTTCAGATGCTTCACGAGTTTTGAACAAAATAATGGGAGCTTAGTTTTGCATAGAGTAAAATGTTTGACAGACACACTCTGGCATAGCAGCAATAAATATTCCAAGAGGGTCAAAGTTTCCACACAAAATAATTTGTCATCATTGTGATCTTTTAACATAAAAAGTCTTCTTGCCTGATAGATTTGCTCACATTATCGGTTTTAATGGATTTTGAAGAGTAGACATAATCCATGGGATCATGCGCAGATGTCATATGTTAGAAAGTAATGTAATGTTTATGTTGGGAGAGCTATTTTATTTTTTGCCAGATAGGCAACAGCTTTGTTTTATATATATATATATATATATATATATATATATATTTTTTTTTATTACAGAAAATCTCAATAAAGTGAGATGCTGGTTCTACTGAAGATGCTATATAATGAGACTCATATCCAGAAATATTATCTCTTTAATACTGCATTGAAAACAGAAACCAATGAGTTGTTTGGTCTTAGGATATTATCTACTTTGAAATTGTTGGTGTTTCGTATTTAGTGATGCCCTTGACTCTCATTATGCATAATTTAAGATATTCATACGAATGCAGGGTGGTAGTGGGGCTGACTCTCCAAAGTTAGAGAGAGGAGAGAGAGAGACGAGAAGAAGGAGAGAAAGGAGAGAGGCAGGCAGCAAACTCATGAAAGTCAAGAATGCTACAGAAATTACTGAGCAGTGGTGTAATAAAACTAAATGGGGTATCTGGCAGAAAAAAAGGGAAAATTCGCCAAATAAAATACATCTGAAAATAAAGAAGGGTAAGTCCAGTTCTTCAATGCCTGAGTTGGAAAGCAGAACTGAACTCATGGAAAAGCATTTGCTGCCACTATTCATGGATGGCACAAAGGATCCTTGGTTTAGGCATGTCCCAGTGTAGGGTGTGCAGACAGTGGCAAGAAGAAGCTGGGGGCGCTGTGCTCTTCTGAGTCCCTCACTGCCCTGGGTCTCAGGTGAAGACGTACAAGCCAGGAGTGATACCAGGCATCCCCGGCCACAGACATGGTCCTTGTGCTGGTGGTAGAACATCATGATGCAATATGCATTTCAAACCAGTCATTGAACAAACACTGTGTGTCAGGAACTGTACTAGTACTTCATTGGTATTATCTCTAATCTTCACAAAGGTTCTGTTGAATGGTTATTATGACTTATTTTTTTTCGTTTTAAATCCAAGAAAGTGGAGATTAGTTGAGAGTTTAAGGTTGTTTGAGAGTTTGCATGCAGTTTGCAATGGATGTTAACCTCAAACCCCGACCTTCTGATGACAAAAGATGTATCACCACATACCTCTGTATTCTACCAGAGGGTAGTGGGATGTGAAAATCCATAGAGAAGGAAGTGAAACACAGCTTGTGTGGGGGCCACAGGCTACGATAACACTTCTCTACTACATCCAAAGACACTGCAGGCTGGGGCAGTACTTGGGGGCTGGGGCCGAGGATATCACTAGGTGACATCTGTGTGTCCTGGGCACCATTCTACGCAGCACTTTCCCACTATTCTGTCTAAAACTAAAGTTTTACAGTAATATGATGATGATAGTAATGAAATTAAGAACAGGCTATTTTGTTTAACTCCAAGATTCTTAAAAAACAACAACTTAAAAGTTACAAAAGTACAAAAGTAAGCATTATAGTTGTGAACTTTAAGGTTACAGAAATAATCATGTAGATTTAATCATGAAAAATTTTTATTTCTAGTATTATGCTTCTTAGTTTTATGTCACTTCCATGTATTTCTAGGTGAATATAATAGTGAAAGTGCCTGGATTCATATCCAAAATGTTATCCAAGGCAGAATGAAATTTGTAGATGACAGCAATACTGCCTATCTGAGATATATATTTATCAGTGTGTTTTTCACAATTTAAAAAACCTTGAAGTCCATTATCTTCTTTTTTTGTAGAAAGAATGATTATATTTGCCCCATGAGGTAAATATAATAAGAAGTTGTCCAAATGTTAAAACTAGTAAATACAAGATTTTTACCAACTATAAATGGGAGTATTTTGCAAGACAATTTTTAAGTTGGTTGTCTGGAATTGGGATGTATTTTCTCATATTAAAAATCTCAGAAATGGTGGTGAAGTCCCCAGTGCATCTACAAAAGTCTGTTTGTATACCCCATAGAAATATGTATCCACATAGTAACAAAAGGCATAAACAACAATATTCACAGAAGCATTATTTGTAATAGCCCCAAACTGGAAACAACCCCAAACTGGACATCTGCCAGCAGTAGAATGGAAAAACAAATTATAGTGCAGATATACAATGGACTTCTACACAGCAGCATTAGGGAATGAACTGCTGGCAGACACAACAATATAGATGAATCTCACAAGCCTAATGTTGGGCAAAAGAAAGCAGTCACACACAAAAAAGGGAATACTGTATAAGTTCATGTATATAAAGTTCAAAGGCAGGTAAAATCAACTGAGAAGAATGAAAGTCACCATGGTGATGACCTCTAGGAAGGAAGGAACAGGTAGTGGCTGGCATAGTCCCTAGAGGTTTCTGGAGTGCTGCTCACATTCTATCTGGGAGGTGGTTCCAATGGTGTGTTCACTTATTGCGATCCATATACTTTTCTAAATGTATATTATACTTAAATAAAAATTACTTAGGCAGGGCGCAGTGGCTCACCTCTGTAATCCTACCTAGCATTTTGTGAGGCTGAGGTGGGCGGATCACTTGAGGTCAGGAGTTTGAGACCAGCCTGACCAACATGGCAAAACCCAGTCTCTACTAAAACAAAAATTAATCAAGTGTAGTGGCAGGCGCCTGTAATCCCAGTTATTTGGGAGGCTGAGGCAGGAGAATCGCTTGAACCTGGGAGGCGGAGGTTGCAGTGAGCCAAGATCATGCCACTGCACTCCAGCCTGGGTGACAAAATGAGACTCTGTTTCAAAAAAAAAAAAACAACTTAAAAGTAATCCATCTAACACCCAGCATAGCTAAAAATAACATACATTTTTTTACCCTCCCTAAATCTTCGCTAAAAGTGGTTTCCTCCATAAGGCTAGCAGCCTTTCCTTTCATGATGTTGCAGGTGAGTCAACTGTGATGGTCTGTGCTCCAGCCCGAAGAGGTAACAAATAAATGCAGATGCAGAGTGAAGACAGTACAGAAGAAGGGCACATGACTCCACCAGGTGGGAGGAAAAGGAAAGAGTGAGGAAAGACTTTCCTCAGTGCAAATCTCAGGAAGTGCAAACTTTAAGGAGGAAAGCAATACGATTAAACAAATTCATGTATTGTGGTGATGACTGTCAGCTCATGGCCCTCCCAAATTGATTTTTGTTTAAAAACATTATGATTTGTCTTGGCACAAATGTAAAGAAATGGAAACCCTTGTGTGCTGTTGGCTAGGATTGCAACATTTTGTTGCAAACACTAGGGAAAACAATATGGTGATTCCACAAAAAAATTAAATATAGAAATACCATATGATCCAGCAATCCCACTTCAGGCTACATACCCGAAAGAACTGAAATTAAGGTCTTGAAGAGATACTTACACACTCATGTTCTTACCAGCACTATTCACAATAGTCAAGAGGTGGAAGCAACCCAAATGCCCATCAATGGATGAATGGATAAAGAAACTGTGGTATATACACACAATGGAAGAGTATTCTGCCTTAAAAAGGAAATATTGTCACATGCTATAGAATGCGACATGCAAACCTTGAGGACTTCACGTTAAATGAAGTCAGTCAGTTATAAAAATACAAATACCGTATAATTCCACTTGCATGGACTATCTGAAGTAGTCAAAGTCATAGAATCTTAAAGTAGAATGGTGATGACCAGGGTTTGGGAGGATGGAGAAATGGAGAGTTGTTGTTTGATAGGTACAGAATTTTAGTTTCATACTATAAAAACATTTTGTAAATCTGTTGCACAACAATGCTAATCCTACTGAGCTATACACTTAAAAATGTGTAAGACGATAAATTTTATGTTGTGTGTTTCTTACCAGAATTAAAAACAAAAACTATTATAACTTGTCACCCTGCAGAAAATCGTTGTTGTTAAGATGAAGAAATGGGACTGTGACACAAAGTCGGAAACTTAACCCAGACGGTATGAAGTGACCAGCATCTTACTGTATCTGACTGTACACTGAAGGTCTCTGTGTTTGCTCCTTCAACTTAAGCATGTTTACAAATGGTTTAGAAGAGATGAAAAAGCAATGTTTGGGGTATAAATGTCATGCTTACTTACAGAATCAGGATTTTCAAGGGTTTCTTAATTCTGATATCTTTCAAATTTTTGCTTAATTTCTCTCCTTCCCTTTACTACCAGGTATCTCAAAAGAAGAGACCACAATACATACTTCCTCAGCACACACTTCTTTTCTCCTCACTTTAACTGATGTTCCTCATTACTGTACTAAAATCTTTCTCACAATGGTTATGGGTATCTCTTTTTAAATTTTTTTATTTTTATGTATGTATGTATGTTTGAGATGAAGTCTTGCTCTGTCACCCAGGCTGGAATGCAGTGGCGCAATCCCGGCTCACTGCAGCCTCCACCTCCTGGGTTCAAGCTATTCTCATGCCTCAGTCTCCTGAGTAGCTGGGGTTACAGGCACCCGCCACCACATCCAGCTAATTTTTCTATTTTTAGTAGAGACGGGGTTTCATGATGTTGGTCAGGCTGGTCTTGAACTCCTGACCTCAAGCAATCCACCCGCCTCGGCCTCCCAAAGTGCTGGGATTACAGGAGTGAGTCGCCATCCCCAGCTGGTATCTCTTAAATTGCCACATCCAGTAGCCTCGTGCCAATATTCATCCTGTTTACATCTCAAGAGTACTGGGCATTATTAGCCACACATCATCAATACTTTATTTTCCTTTCATAATTCTCCTGGTTCTCTTCCCAGTTCTCTGCTGGTTCCCAGTTGTTCTCCTTAAATCATTTTGTGGAAGTCTTACAGGCTATTCACAAATAACTAAGTTCTCCTGGACATATATTGGAGTTACTCTTCCCTGCTCTTCTGAAGCCTTATAACTTTGCTTCAGATAAAGAAATGTGGGCAAAAGTAGTATGTCTTACCTCTGTGAGGAAGATTTAAGAACCAATATGTAATGTGTTGCATTCCCATGCAGTAATCATGCAAATGTGCTGAGTACTGTTTCTGTTAAGTCTAGGGCCTTGAGTGAGCAGAAACCCCTTGACAAGAACCACCCTGCACATGTAGCTTAAGCAAAAATAAACCATCATGTTAAGCCACTGTAGTAGGTAGCCTCTGAGATGGCCCCAGATAAGCCCTGTCTTCTGGTATTCACGCCCTTGTATCATCTACTCCCCTTGAGTTTAGGCTTGATTTAGTGACTTGCTTACAATGGAAAGCATATGGCAGAAATAATGCAATGTCTCTTTTGAGCTTAGGTTACGAAAGACTTCAGCTTCTTTTTTGGTTGTTCTCTCTCTCTTTTGGACTGCTTTCCATAGGGAAAACCAGCTGTCATATTATGAGGCAGCCTCATAAAGAGGCCCATGTGGTAAGAGACTGAAGTCTGCCAAAAACCTTGTGTGTGAGCTTGGAAGCACATCCTGCAGCACCAGCTGAGCCTTCAGATGAAACAGCAGCCCCAGTCTGTAGTTTGACTGTAAACTTAACCTTACAGACTGTGAGGCAGAGGCACCCAGCTAAGTTGGGCCCAGTTGCAATTACAAACTGATACAGCCATTTAGGTTTTTAGGGTTGTTTTTACCACTTCATAACCTGCCTACTCCTGACTTATACAATGCCTCCCTCCATGTATTCCCCAAAATATAGACATTTGCCAAAGTCCTTCCTTGACCTTCCTTTCATGTTAACCACTTTTATAATATCAACTTCCAATTCCATGTGGATGGATGACTTTGAAATATGTATCTCTTAACACTGAATTCTTTCCTGACTGGGCTATACTTCAAACTTTACATTTTTCTACTAGACCTACCTAGAAATCCTGTGGTACTTCAAACTTTACTAAAGACAAAATAAATGGTCTTTACCTTCATAATTGTTTTGCTTTCTGGGTTTCTCTTTTCTGTTCATGATATCACTTTAGCCTGGGCAGTGAAGTCACTGATATCATGAACAGAAAAAAGAAACCCAGAAAACAAAACAATTATGAAGATAAAAACCATTTGCTTTGTCTTTAGTAAAGTTTGAAGTAGCACAGGGATCCCTTTAAAATAAGTTGTAACATCTGACATTTGTCATCTATAAAATTAATGAGTATACTTTTTATACTATCACCCAAGTCAATGAGAAAAAAAAATTATAGTAATATCAACTCAGGAGTGACTAACATGGATATGAAGTCATTGATCGTGGTCAAAACCTCTGTTACTAACAGCCAAATAGGCTACTCTAGACTGCATCTTTTTAGGTTGTCTTGTGGTATTCATGAACTGTAACCATTTTCAGATGTTAAAAATTAAATCTTTCTTATGTAATTAAAAAATTATTCTGCAAACTCTTAGTATGTTTCTGTAGATTTTTCCAATAATTAAGAAAAAACCTTATTAATTGAAATAATTTTGAGACAATATGTTAATAAAGATTTATCAGTAAAATTTTATGAAGGAATTTTTTTTCACACACAAAGACCATTAAAGTGAGAGAAATTACAGCATGCATTCCTTTTATTTTCCAAGGCTGGAGACGAACGGAATCCATGGTATTATAGTTATTTCACCTCCTCCCCATAAAATAAAAAGGGGGCATGCCATTGTTTTTAACCCGTATATGTTGGTGTCACACTTAAAAGCCAGCATGTGGAACACTTGAAACCAAAAATGTGTAATTAAAGAAAATTATATACCACCAAGTAACAAATTCAGTGCCATTTTTAGCTCCATGTTGAGAGAAAAAGGTGCCAAATTTTGATCTCGTCTCTGGGGACCATGCCACTGAAGTTGTTACCACAGCTACTATTATTTCTACTGGCATGCTTGAGTCCCCAGATCCTGCCAAAAATGGATGGGAAGGAAGGGTGATGACAGCTGGTGACATAGTCCAGCAATTGCCAGAACCTTGGAGCAAATTACAGGGGATGTTGTGAAGGGAACACAGACCCGAGCACCCAGCCATCAGTCACCTGAAGGTGGTGTGTGCCACCAGAACCCTGAGGAGTGTGCTCTAAGGTTTTGGCAACACAGAGTAGCGTGCTGGGAGGGCCTGCCAGGGTTGGCTAAACGCTGTTTAATATTACAAGATCAAGTGAACATTCTCACAAAGACAAAGAGGATGAGGTAATATGGGAAAGAGAGTCTGATAAGAAAAACTGACTTTAAAAATACCATGCTGAAAATGCCTGCCATTCCATTTTGTTTAGTCTCCCAAACCTCAAAACTTCATCAAAGCAAGCAAGGATGTAGAGTTTCCCTTTCTTGCAATTCACTTCACATTCACTGTGGTACACTTCCAAAAGGAATCTTTCTGAGAAAGATTCATTAGGAACATATTAAGTTGCAGAAAATAAAATCAGAGTCTGACATTACATAGGTAAGTACATTGTTTTCAACACAGATTGTCTATTGCATCTTGTGGGGCCTTTTGTTTGTATTAAAAGAGACTGGAGTCCCTGTCTGAATTCTGGCTTTAAATAATTGTGGAACTTTGGCAAGTTACTGGATCTTTCTGAGGCTTGGCTCTCTCATTTACAAAGAAAATCTGAAGGGTTTGCACTAGATGACCTCTAAGGTCTCTTCCAGATTTATATTCTATGATGTTAATATATTTTAAAATACAAATATTTAGGCTAAATTATTGAGCACAGGGAAAAATATCTGGCATCAATAAGATGTCAACACATTAGAATACCGATGTTGTTCTTGATTTTAATTTTTAAAACTACATTGCATAGAGTCAAACTATCATGTTATACATACGATTCCTTGGATATCTTGGGCTTTGAATGCAGAATTGTTTCATTTTATGTATCAATTTCATGAATACATAAATATACACGATGCACATGTGTATTTCATGTGCTAATAATCAGATTTCACAGAAAAAAATAAGAAAAATACTCTTAAATATAGGGCAATCATTTGATTGGCTACATGTATCCAGAGTGCAACCAAGCTTTCAATGTAAAATGAAAGTATCGCATGTGAAGACTGCAGTTTGTAACTTGGACCCCTACTGGTCTAAACTGTCATTAGGAACACAGAGTTCTCTATAAATTAGCTTTTGTTTTGGATTTCCTGCTGTGTTCATATACGTGTTGACAGAATGTGTTGGGCAATATTTTGGCATTCTAATTCATTATTATTTGTTATTAACTTTTAAGGCTAATATTATTTCAACACTCTATAGCATGCTGACCCAAATATTGTTATTTTAAATCAATATTTCTTTTGAAAGCTTTCATATTAATATGCACTCTAGTTGTCATTAAGGAAAATAAAATTATTCTGTCAACTGTAGGATATTTATATTCAAAAGAACTAACATTTGATATAGGAAGTTCCTCTTTGTATTACATGATAACATTCTAAAAGTATAGGCTTTATGAACGAACAGGTTTGGAGGGAGATACAGAATGGCTGCCAATATTTTATATTTCTATGCTGTTTTTCCTTTCCATCCTTTCTTGGCATAATGCAATTAATGGGAAAAAAGAATCATATTGGCTATCAAAATGCCTTGATGGGAACACACAGTGATTTAGCTTTGAAGGTTTGTTTCTGCCAGGATATTTGACTCATATTCTTTTATAAATGATAACATTAAACAATTCTACTTGAAAGTTTCCTTGCATTTTTTCTTTCTGAACTACGTGGATGCAGAGTAAGACACCTATGGATGCGGCTCAGGAAATGCTAATTCCAGAGCTGCCTTTGACAGCCAATGCTGAAGCTGACAAAACGAAAATCAAGCTGTTGCTTCTGTCACAGAGAGAATTAAGTTAGAATTTCTAAAACAGACTGTTTTCCTGATGTTTCATTAGTTTTCTCTTGCTTAAAGGGTCTGTTCTCTGAATAAAAGAAGGATTCATCCTCCAATGTAATGGAAAGAACAAAGTGTTAACCGTCACGATCAGCTGCCCAAAGGGGTCAGCCATTACCTATAAGCTAGAGAATTTTTGAGATAATACTTGTCAATATTGAAGAGTATGGTAAGAGGACTTATTTCAATAACATTCAAAATACAGAATGAAATCATTTACATGATTTGTGGGTTATTCCCTGCTTCCCAAAATATTGAATTTGTTGTTATTGTGAAATGTATGTAATAGATGATTCATTAGTGAGTTACCTGCAGCTTTGCCATTGAAATCCAATAGATCTATCTCATTATTCAAAGGCTTGCAGTACTCACTCAATTTTCATTTGGGTTCCTTTCTCCCATAACAGCTTTAAGAATTGCACACATAGGCCAGGCGCGGTGGCTTGCGCCTGTAATCCCAGCACTTTGGGAGGCCGAAGCAGGTGGATCACTTGAGGTCAGGAGTTTGAGACCAGCTTGACCAACATGGCAAAACGCCGCCTCTGCTACAATCACAAAAATTAGCCAGGCGTGTGGAGCACACTTGTAATCCCAGCTACTCGGGAGGCTGAGGCAGGAGATTCACTTGAACCTATGAGGTGGAGGTTGCAGTGAGCTGAGATGGTACCACTGCACTCCAGCCTGGGTGACAGAGCAAGACTCTGTCTCAAAAAAAAAAAAACAACAAAAAAAAACTGCATACTACTTTTATGTAACAAATGTTTATGTATGCTACTGACTTAAGCATAAAATTATTTCTTCACTTGTTTTGGCTTTTTAAAAAATGGTAAAATATACAAACTGAAAATTACAATTCTTTGAAATTTTAAGGCATTGTAATCACCATTACTGAAAGATCCAACTATTGAAATATGGAGATCCTTAGAAGAATGTCAGTATATTAAAACATGGCAAAATCCGAAAAACAGCTCCTATGTAATAGTCCAGTTCTCCAAGGCGTTACATTTGAGACAGACACTGATTCGTGAGTGTGTGTATACGTGTGTGTGTTTGCACAGGTGCACGTGTATGTCAAGAGGAAACTTGAAACAGAATCAATGATCCTTCAGTAATGTAGGCACGAGCAGCTCATGTGATTTGTTGTTTATCACTCAGTCAACTAAGATGAAGTGGGTATCTGCCTTATCAAGTTCGGCTGGCTGTGAGACTGCCTTATCAAGTTCAGCTGGCTGTGAGAAGCAGAGGGCTGTGGAACCCACTACGGCCTCTGGGTGCCTGCAGCACCTTGTAGGTAAGGGTTATTTGGACAGAGGACATCAGTCTCCCATGAGTGTCTCATCTTACTCCTCAGGCAGAGGAGAAAAACGTTCTTATGAAGCCTGCGTTCCATTTGCTCCCTCTTCATCTGGGATCACTCGGAGAGCAGTTTTCCTTAGTTACTCCTAACTTAACCATTATTAATGAATATTTATGGAGCATTTGTGGAAATATATTTCAAAGCAAAACACAGAGGAAGCTGCAGTCTCTGATCCCTGGGAGACTTGCCCACACTGCCAGCCTGCTTCTGTATTTGGTGGTCTCAGTCTCCTTTCCTAAAAATAAATGGCCCACTTTCTTATTTTAAACATGCAATGCTTCTCTTTATGTGACTCTTTTCCAAGATCATGAAGAATGTATTTGAAGAAGTAAAAAAAGGCATCTAAAAATATCATTACTCTAAAAATGGAAAATGTAAAATTTATGATTATTTGAAATGACTGAAACAATATAGTTAGGTTTTATAAACAAATTCTATGTAACTCATATAGGCTTACTAACCATATCATGCAATTAGCTTGTTAAAACTAGAAATGTAGTTAACAAAAAGATTAAGGATCTGGAATAAAATTGGGAAACCCAGTGGAAAAGCCCCACAGCATTTTCAGTTCCCTCAGCAGTGATTCCTGTATTGGTAAAAATGTGCCGATCACCTTTATAATAGTGAACCTTCTATAGTATTATTTTGTAAGTCAGTATTTTACATTTATATACTTCTTTTTTAAGTGATTGACTTAAAATTTTAATACATTTATTTCTAAAGGAAATTCTGTATTACCTTAAGGGAAAAATCAGTGTATCTTGATATGAATAGAAATCAGCAAAATTACTCTTATTTACGTATTTTTGAGACAGAGTCTTGCTCTATTGCCAGGCTAGAGTGCAGTGGCACGATCTCAGCTCACCGCAACCTCCGCCTCCTGGGTTCAAGCAATTCTCCTGCCTCAGCCTCCCGAGTAGCTGGGACTACAGGTGCGCGCCACCACGCCCGGCTAATTTTTTGTATTTTAGCAGAGACGGGGTTTCACCATGTTGGTCAGGATGGTCTCAATCTCCTGAACCCGTGATCTGCCCGCCTCAGGCTCCCAAAATGCTGGGATTACAGGTGTGAGCCACCACACCCGGTCCAAATTACTCTTTATTTGTAAAAGAGATGTTAAAGGCAAGTGTCAGAGATGGCTAACATCTGCTGAGACCTTCCTCGTGACATAATCTGACATAAGAAAATAAGAATTCAAAATGGAATTCATTTCTCATTTTGTCTTTCATTGTTATTTATTCTTCAGTTCATGTTCTATCTATAAATTCTTAAACCTTAGGAGAAACAATGCTCTGTGATATAGTGGGAAAAGTTCTGGACTTAAAATAAGGAGACCTAGATTATGGTTCCTTTTAAAGGACTTGCTGACTGGACAAGTCACTGATTTTCTGGGCCTAAGATTTTTCTTTTAAAAAAGTGTGGATAATAGTACTTAATTTACTAGGTTGTTACAAAGAAGAAGAAGAAGAGCTAAAATTAACTGAGCACTTACATTTTGCCAGGCACATTATTCAATTTTCCCCATAGCTGTACTATTTTGAAACTTGTTTATATTGAGGAAGAAATTCAGGTTTACGAAGGTTAACTACCCTGTTCAAGATTACATAGTTATTAAGTGACAAAGGTGAGATACAAACACAAATCTGGCTGCTTTGAGAGTCTATACTTATTAACAGTATTTTAAAAATAAATTGTACTATGGTATACAAATTTCAAATTATATCTTGTCATATAAGAGTGTGAGATCACTGTGATAAATATTACTTCTTACTCATCTTTGTGAATTCAGTATTTAGAAAAGGTATTCAAAAACAGCTAAGTTTAATGAAATTGACTTTGATATTAGAAATAATTAAAAGGAGATACATGAAAAAATAAGCAAAAATCTGAAATCTGCAAAACCACCTGTACAATTTTCTCTCAAAACCAAGAGCCCCATATTCTACAAATTATATGCAGTAATCTTCTAGGTAGCTTTGGATATCCTTCTGTCTTTCTGGGAAATGCAGGATAATATGTGACAGGTTTCCTCTCCTTCAGGGGCAGGTGGAGGCTTACTGAAAGTCATAAAGAGAATGGGTTCCCCAGTGGAGGAGAAAACAGAAAGGATCAGGCAGTGGCTAAAGTATTAGGGTGATAAGACAATCCCAGGACAGAGCCAGCCAATGTCATGCCAGGCTGGCTGATGGACAGCCACCAGAAGAGGAGCATTAATTCCCTCCCGGATAAGTCACCACGATAAAATGTAACAGGTAACAGAAGGACTGGAAGTTCTTATCATTAATAACATGAAATCTTTTCTCAGAAAATATCTTAGTATTATACAGAGGTGGATCTAGCTAAAAAAACATACTTGTTCTTCGAGTCACTGTATAGACTGTACAATGGGAAGATGCACAATGGGGGGGCCTCAGAGTAAGATTCTTTGCACCTTTAGGCCCAACTCAATCATGAAAATGAGACGTGCTGACCTCCTTAGTTATCAAACACAGGGCAACATGACGCTTATCTCCAAACAGCTTTTGCGATGTAGGATACAGACACACACATCTGTATGTTTTTAATTTCTTCAAAACAGATTGAGTACTCATGAATGGAAAGAAGTCAGAGATATCTTTTCCTTTACCAGTTTTTAAAAACATTTTTTTGAAAATTCTTTATAAATAAAATTCTTAAAGCATGCATGTACGTTATCTGAAATTAAGAGAAAGGAACAAACAGAAAGAGACTATGGGATTCTTGCGGCAATTATAGATCTAGTTACCCCAAATTTCCAAAGTGACATTTCTACTTCTAGATGTTAACTGGAACACTGGGCTCTAGGTAAACTAAGTCAATAATGAAAACTAAAAAAAAAAAAAATTTTTCCCCTAACACATGGATAAATTTTCATTATATCACAATATATTAGTTTTAATACCCTGACAGTTGATATTTTTGGGTCACATTTAGGTTTATGTGGTAACACTTAGAATCTGTCCCTACGTCAGCATTTGTCAAAACACATAATCTCAGTTATTATTTAGGCCTTAGCAGGAAAATCTTGAATGCTCAGATTCAGTAAAGTTCTGTCTTTTATGCACTCTCTTAGTTTCCTACATTTCTCCTTTTCAAACAGTTACTATAACTGTAATTAATTACTCAGTGTTTGCATTCTACAAAAGAATATAATCTCTAAGAGGCAAGGACTGTATTTTCACTGCTGTCTCTGTCACAGTGTCTGACCCATGGTAGTCACCTGATAAATAAATGTTGAATGAATGACGGATGAATGAATGGTCAGTTCCTTTTCTGACAGGTGTTATATTACCAAAGTCACTAAAGAAGAAACTGGAATTTTTTTAAATCTATTTTTTATTTTTTAGAGATGCTCTTGCTATGTCGTTCAGGCTGGAGTGCAGTGGCTATTCACAGGCATGATCATCAGGCATTACAGCCTCAAACTCCGAGGCTCAAGTGGTGATCCTTCTGCCTCAGCCTCCCAGAAAGCTGTGACTACAGATGCTTGCCACCACGTCTGGCTTTGGAATCTTATTTTTAAGGAAAAGGGACAATGTGAGCAGTCTGCAGACATTCTAAGATGATGTGGGAACAACAAACTCTATACAAATTTAAATTTTATTTGTATATTCTAGGATGAAACCTTTGATATTTGTATCTTTATTTGTATATTCTAGGATGAAACCTTTGTTTGATATAGTTTCCATGAAACTTAAAGGTTTTATGCTGAATTCACTTCTAAAATTCCTAGTAATTCAAGTTTTTTTAACCTTATTTATGCCATTTACTTTTCTTTCACTCCTCTCTATGCAGACATTTCTCTCTGAATATGCCGCTGTTAGTACCACTAATGTAAAAGCAAATGACATATGCAACACCAATTAAATATTTATGCAACGTAGCAGTAAAGTGGTAAATATTGCATTAAGCTTTCCACTTGTCATTAGGAGATGTTGCTACGTTTTGCAAAAATGATAGTTTAAAACAGAGAAAACTTCACTATATTTCATGAATAAGATATTTATATCTAGCATAAACTGGATGTAAGCTGACTTTAAAGGTATTTCTTATTGTTCTGTCTTTGAATATTTTTCAAGTCAGAGAGATCCCTATATTTAAATGGTAAACACAATCTGTTTAAGTGTATTCTTTTCTTTTCTTTCTTTCTTTTTTTTTTTTTGAGACAGAGTCTCACTCTGTTGCCCAGGCTGGAGTACGGTGGCGCGATCTCTGCTCGCTGCAACCTCTGCCTCCTGGGTTCAAGTGATTCTCCTGCCTCAGCCTCCCGAGTAGCTGGGACTACAGGTGCGTGCCACCATGCCTGGCTAACTTTTTGTGTTTCTAGTAGAGATGGGGTTTCACCGTGCTGGCCAGGCTGGTCTTGAACTCCTGGCCTCCTCCCAAAGTGCTGGGATTACAGGTGTGAGCCACTGTGCCCGGCCAAGTGTATTATTTGCATATGTTATTTACTTTAGCTGACCTCATATCAAACTAAGAGTAAAATACATTATGTTTGTGGGGAGAGGAGGAGCTTACTTTCTATACTGGTAAATTCTTTTATTCTGAGTCTTTAATCACCATTGAATCAGGCTTAAATATGTCCTTAAGGATTCCAGAATAAAATAAAATATTGAAAAACTGATTCTAAATTTTTAGTCTTACAATTTTCCATCCTCTAAAATATAGGCAACACATTTTTTCCTACAATGTGATGAAATCATGTTAGTATTAAAATGCTTCCATACCATCTCAGACAAAAACGCATTTTCTGACTATAATGCAACTCAGAGTGAAGGGAAGAAGCTGTAGTGGAAAATGGTATGTAATTCATTGCTTGGCTGTGTTCTAGAACATTATAAAACAGCACTTTTATTACAAAGACATGTCCAAAAAGAAAAAAGAATGTCAAACACATTTTATTTTGCCATATATAGTTAAATGGCTGATTTTTCATGAAGCATAAAGGGCTGGCGTATTTTCCCTTCTGACCCTGAGTTGCACATATATAGCTACTACCATAATCAATTTCAAGGTACACAGAGAGGTAAAAGTGTTCATAAAATGCAAATAGGCCCAGAAGTAGGACAGATAACTGCTAAGGAATCATAACTGCAATGAACCTGGATTCGACAGGTTATGTTTTGCCAGATCTAGGGAATGCTTATGTTGTTAAACAGCCTTTTTAGCAGGCATATGACAACATGTATTTTAGAAATCAGTTGGTAGCAGCTGTTCAAAGGAAATAAATAACTACATATGTATTTTTTAAATGAAAGGAATAGTAAAAATTTGAGTAGTTCTCCGGTTTGCTATACTTGTCAGGAGCTCATAAGAAAAACAAAGCTGAGTTATTTGTTTTCATTGGGCAATGAGTTAGCAAAACAGTCCCTTAAAAATTTCAGATTTTTATGGAAACATTTTTGTGGGGATAAAAAAACTATTGGGTATTGACTGGGTGTTGGGAGGTAACAGCGAGTGACTGTTAAAGGATGCAGGGATTCTTTTTGGAGGTGAGAGAAATGTTCTGTATGGTAGCTGCAAAATTCTGTGGACATGTAACACTAAACACCATTGGACCGTATATTTAAATGGATAAATCACACAGTATGTGCACTGGGTCTCAATAAAGCTGTGATTTAAAACACTCTGTTGTCAAATGAATTACTGGTTAGGAAAAACCTGGCCAAAAGGGCAAGATAATTGAGAAAATATACCACCACAATATAGTCTGATAATATTTTTTTCTCTAGTGTTCCTTAAAAAGTTCATGTACAAATACCTTTGGTGCTACTGTACATGGAGAAATTCTCTGACTCTGCCTAGCAGTGCACAGAGATGCTCACGAAATTAAAGGTCTATAACGGTGTTATTTGAAGTCTGATTTGAGGGCTTATTTGCAGTTTAATTGGCGTCATCCCAAGCATTTATTATGATTTGCATGTAGCAATGCGTCAATAATGTTTATCCTTCATGAGGGATTTCTGGCCATTTTTCTATGTGTATAACATTGACATTTCAGGTTATCTTCTACCCAGAAAAAAGAGCTTTCTGTGAGCAAAGAACAGTATCAAGACTCCTACCCATCGTGTAACGGTGAACAGACGCAGAACATGGACTCTTCTCCTTTTTGCCATTCTTTGGTGAACAACTGGTGGTTACTGCTCATCTTTTTTTTTTTTTTTTTTTTTTAATTTCAGAGTCAAAAAAGAAGAATGAGTACATCAGGGCCCAGAGAAGTGCAACAGGTATTTCTTTGGGTAGGTCTGTATCACTAACTGTAATCATTGAACCTAACATTTGTGGTTAGAAATCAGTAGAATTTTTGTTGCGTAAAGGCACAGCAACTCAAAAGGTTAATGGATTAGAGCAGGATTTTAGCTGCAGGCTCAGTAATCCAAAGAAAATGGTAAGATGACTCCAATGAAAGAAAGTTTACCATATGTACATTTGATTTTTAAAAACTGGGATAGGTGAAATCATATCACATTTATTCTATCATGAGTCAGCTAAGGTTTCTCAATTCTGCTTGCTCCTCTATCCTAATAGGGCCTCATGATCTCCCAGTTATGGCTACTTTTCTAACAGGTTGTCTAGACTTGTACTATCCAAATGATAGTTCCTAGCCCCATGTCGCTGTTTGAGTTTAATGAAAAACAGCACAATTTAAACTTTGGTTTCTACAACTTACTAGCTACATTTCAAGTGCTCAACAGCCACATGTGTCTAGTGGCTACTAAATTGGACAGTGTGGAAACAGAACATTTCCATCATGAAACGGGACACGTGACAGCATTTCCTAGACCTGTGCTACTCATATTGTGGTCTGAGAAGCACGGCAGCATCACCTGAGAGCCTGCTGGAAAAACCAATCTCGGTTCTCACTTCGGATCTGCTAAATCAGGACGTGCATCTTAGCAAGGTCCCCAGGCGATTCCTAGGCACAGGAATGCTTGGAAAGCACAACTCTGGACCTCCTTTCATCATACTGCATGTTCTGGAAGGCCACTGAAACAATCTTTCAAAAGCATAAATGTGACTCCTTTTCACTCCTATGCTTAAATCTCTTCAATTTCTTCTCTATTTTTACTTCTTAAAAAACCTCACGGGAGACAGTATAGTGTAAGAGTCCTTGTGTGTGTGCCTTCAGGCGAGCCATCTCTCTAAGCCACAGATTACATTTGTTAAAAGAAGAAACCTCCTAAGGTTGTTGTGGAAATTAAATGAGGTAATTCATACAGTTTCTAGAACAGCGCCCGGCACAGTAAGCACTGCACATGCACCATGGCAGATATTTCGCATTTCTCCTTGCTGTTCCTCAGATGACCTCATCTCAAGGTGATTTTCTCACTAGCCATTGGCGTGAGGTGAACAAAGCTCCAGTTCATGCATCAGGTGCCAGATCAAGTCTTTCCCCCAAATCTACAGCAAAACGTAGGTATCGCCTTTCTTCTCTTTTTGCTCATCAAGCTGGTATGAAAGCATGTATGGTGTTAAGAGTGTTTTTATGCACGTCCTCATCACTTGACTATGAGCGTCTAGAATGAAGAGCTAATTTGGACCTCTGACATCTATCAGAGTGGCCAAGAAAATGTTAACTTAAAAATAGTTACTGAAAAACCATTAAGTACCAGAGTAAGTTGAAGAACATTTTTAAAAATCCTCGGCTGGGCACAGTGGTGGCTCATTCCTGTCATCTCAGCACTTTGGGAGGCTGAGGCAAGAGGACAGCTTGATCCTAGGAGTTTGAGACCAATCTAGGAAACATAGGGAGATCTTGTCTCTACAAAAAAATAAAAACAATTAGCTGGGCATGGTGGTGTGTGCCTGTAGTCCCAGCTACTAGGGAGGCTGAGATGGGAGGATCACTTGAGCCCAGGAGGCAGAGGCTGCAGTGAGCTGTGACTGCGTCGTTGCACTCCAGCCTGTGAGACAGAGTGAGATCTTGCCTTGAAAAAATAAAAATATAAAAGATAAATAAAAACTAATACTTAGATTAGATAAGTATGGCATGAAAGCTAGAAATTTAAAGAAAAAAACAGAGTGAGAACCTGTCTCCAAAAAATAAAAATATACCAAATAAATAAAAACTAACACTTAGATTAAATAAGGACTTTACAGGTATGTCTTGAAAGCCAGAAATATAAAGGGAAAAATACATTTGACGACTTTAAAACTTGTGAATGAAATATGGTAAAAATGACTCTGACCAAAGTTAATAATAAATTGGAGAAGTACATAACATGTGACAAAAAATTCATATCCTTAATTGAAAATAGCCTTTTTAAATCAAAAAGAAAAGAGAATAGCCCCAATAGAAAAGTGGAGGCTATTCACACACAAAAAGAGAAATACAAATGGCCAATAAATGTATGAGAAGATAGTCAGCGCTACTAGTAATAAATCAAAATAACAACCTTTTAACCTAAGAGATTGGCAAAAGTTAAAAATATGCATAATAAAATATAGACAGATAAATAGATGTAATGACTAGCGTTGGTGGTTATGTAAACTGACAGTTGCCATGGTTTTCAAAATTTAAAACATGCCTACTCTGTGGTACAGCAAACATCCTTCAAAAAATGTATACCAATAAAAAACTGGATCAAATGAACACATACGCACACACCAACATGCACGGACACAGGTACAAGAAAATAAGTCACTGTATTTTGGGGAACTAGTTAACTAAGAATAGCCACTAAATAAAATTATATAGATGATGTATAATGAATGATATGTGAGAAAAGCCTAGTATAAAATGCATTTAAAAATATGGACCTCTAGCTGTATATGTACATGGGACAATATCTGGAAGGATACACACCAAAAAGTTGACAGCATGCACTGTGGGATTACAATTAATTTTCACTTTTTAAGGTCTTTCTTTACTCTCTGAAATTTTGAAGAAATAGAAAAAATAAACAACAAAGCCTGTCCACCTCCCTCCCTCCCTCCTTGCCTCTCTTTCAGAAGCTGTTCACCTTGTCTATCCTGAGACAACTTACCTTAGAGAAGAGACATGTTAAATCTACATTGTCGTAAGTTCTCATTATCTTACTGGAAGGTAAGAAAAAATATTCGAAGAAATAATTCCTCAAGCTCTTTTTTAATGTCTTAGGCTTTTACTGTATATTAACGGTCAATATAAGAGAAGGGAATTCTAAGGGAATGGAAAAAAAAGCTTCAGGAAGGCTGCATTTCTGTTAAAGGTTGCAAGGTCAATCTCATGATGACATTGGTCTTCCTCATTGATACTGGGGTTTATCAGACTGATCTGGCTGGACGGGCAAGTGTTTCTTTTCTCCCTCTCTGCTTTACATGCACACTTAACAGAAAAGGACAGCCTTCCCTGAGAGAAGTGTCCTGTTCTTTTCTTCAAGGGTAAAGGCAACGTCTTTAATCAAAAAAGATTTACCATGCGAACTGATGAGCGAATGAAATTTTTTTACCTGATTAAAAATAAAATCATTGTGTTAGTGTGTTAGCCCTTTAAATATAGGAAGACCAATGAAAATTGGAAGCACACATGTGCTTAATTAAAGTGATAAAAGTATGAGACAATTCTTTGAAGATAAAAGTAATTTTTTTGCTAGATAACACTGGGATTGTATCTTCTTAATTCCTAGCACAATAACTAGATCAAAACAAATGTTCAATAAATATCTGTTGAACTGAAAACCCTACATGAGTATATTAACTAGATAATTTGCATGTTGCCATGTGGGGAAAAATAAAAGCAAAGGGAAGGTTTATGACCATGGTACTAGTAGGAATAAAGCAGATTGGTAATTACTAAAAAGTAAAACTAGGCAATATGAAAAAAAAAGGAAAATTTTGAGTTTTTACTTAGAAGTCTGAGAGTTATATTCACTAATGGGTCCTTAAAAAGAGTACAAGTCTCACAGGTAACAGTGACTGATCTCACATTAAAATGCTATTTTTTCCTGCTAGTCACACCATGAAAATAAAATTAAATGGCATTAGAATTGATATTCAAAATATTTAACAACTGGAAGCACACAGGCACTTATCAATCAGAAAGGATGCCTGACCAGTCAACCTGACACTGAATTCCAGCCCTGAATATTTATCTACCTGGTGTGCCCCATTTAGTAAAAAAAAAATAATAATAATAAAATAAAATAAATAAATAAATAAAATCCCCAACAAACACATATTCTTTTTTATTTTTAAGTTCCAGGGTGCAGGTGCAGGATGTGCAGGTTTGTTACATAGGTAAATGTGTGCCATGGTGGTTTTGCTGCACCTGTCAACTCATCACCTAGGTATTAAGTCCAGCATGCATTAGCTGTTTTTACCTAATGCTCTCCCTCCCCTCAGCCAACCCCATGACAGGCCTCAGTGTGTCTTGTTCCCTTCCCTGTGCCCGTGTGTTCTCCTTGTTCAGTTCAAATACATATTCTTAATTTATTACATCCCATTTATGACTGGTCCCTTTCAGAACCATTTAAAATTCTTTAGCAGCACACTTCTGACAGGTACAAATAATATACACAGCTAACTAGAAGAGAATCTCTTGATGGCTGATACATTTTCTAACCGAATACTAGAAATCTGTCTCTGGAATATTGATTTTTGTTGTGAAATTACTCATTTACCTTCACTGTTATGAAACAACAGCAGTATTGTTTCACTAGGGTGTGATCCTAGTCAAGAGACAACCCCTTCAGTATCTGGTTTGACCGTCTTTATAAGGAGAAAGTTAACTTAGATTAAAAGATGACAGAAAGGTAACAGAAAGGTTTCATCTTGCTTTTACCTCTGACTGGTAGAGGCCGTCAGAGGTACTGTATGAAGCACTCTGATGAAGATAAGCAGCATGTAATCGGGTTAAGGAGAGAAAGTGCTGTGAATCATTAATGATGTCTTCCATGGTCAAAAAATTGGAAAAAATACTGTATAACTTGTCACGTAGTTGCCATTCCTGACTCAATTGTCTCTAAAGTTCCTTCATGCTCTACAATTCTGTTTTCCCATTGAACACTGACACAAAATGGTTATTTCACTTTCCAAAGTGCATAATTATATCACAGGAGTATTGTAGCCAGTGGAAGATACTGGTCCACTGCAGAAACATCATAGTATTCTACATACAGCTCTGCAATACTCTTATTCAGTTATAGAATTTCATGGGGCATCACAAATTGCTTTGTAAACCTGAGGATGCATCACTGGCTATTGTTCTTGGTGGATAAACCACAAAGCCTGTGATTTATCTCAGTGGACACCATTAGCATTTCAATGTGGTAGGCCTTTTCCTATACTTAGAAGAAGATCAAAACACAATGTGGTCATTTCTGGCATTTTAAAAAGCGATTTCCAGTAGTGTGAATGCTCAGATATGTTATGAAATGGTTAAATAAAAGCAATATTTACAACTTCTATTAGTAGCTTCCATTATTTGGGTTACTATCAAATGAAAAACATGATCAATACTACATCAGAAGAGAAGAAAAATCCACATATATGAATGAGTATATAATCCATTCATTGCTTTATGGACGCCCAGTTCTCTGGAGAGTGTTCCTGAGTGCAAGATGATGGCCCTGAGTGATGAGTTTTACATTTAGATGGCTGAGTGAGCTGAGAGACTTACAATATCACAAGCAGTGGAGAGCTCCCTATTGAGTACGCATTGAAGGAAATCCTGCACAGGGTTCATTACTGCAAGCGCATGAATTATTTTGTGTACATGAAATGCCACAGAGCTATCCATGTTTCACAAGGGATAAGTCAAACACAAATGTACCCTATAGCTTTTGTCCAAGAATATTACCTCACTACCCACAAAACCTGCTTTTCTATGTATCTAAATTTGCTGAAAATTACTGAAAATACTCTGTGATTTATGATACATTATTACCAAACTCACCCCCACCAAATATAATCTCACAATATATTTCTAGACCAAATGAATAAATACAAGTAATAAAACAATGTAACACCCTGATTTACAGACAAAGTAATTCTAAGAACTTGTTCTTACCTATAAAATAAGACAGGAGTATTGCCAGGAGCACCGAGACCCCTACGGCACACAGTGCAGTGCATTTCCAGCTACAGTACTTTGAAGACTTCTTGAATTTAAAAGCACTTCTTGATAGGGTGTTTCTAGGTAGTGGCCGAGTAGGTGGTGAATAAACAGAGCCAGATGCCATTGTGTATCCTGGGGTTGCAGTACTGAACAGTGGCGTTGTACCTGTTCCTGTTTTGAATAGGAAATGCCTGTGGAAAAGGAGAATATCATTATAAGATACAAATATGTTACGATACAAGAGACAAGAGACAGCGATGCATTTAGCTCTCCTGTCTCTTTTGCTCTCTCTCTCTTTTTTAAAAGAATTTATCCTATATAACCTAAAACATTAAAAATTAAGGAAATGTTTTAACCAAAGAATCTAACTCACAATAATGACTCTAATGAAAGAGACTGATTTCTAATGTAGATAGCAGGATTTATACATATAAATGATCATAAATGATCACTGTCCCTTCAAGTAGACATCTTGAGAGACTATAAAGATTTTCTAATCATACTGTTTCCTGAACAAAACCATTTTGGAATGTCCCTTGATGAATTACCCTAAGAGCATTTTCACAGTTAGCAAAAGAAACCCAGCTACATGGCCATTTACTACTCATGAGACTATGCGCTCATATAAACACGAGTATGCATGATCACGCGGATCTTCTGCAGACTGATTTATTTTCTGGATGTCCATGGAAACACTGTCCTCTTGGCCTGCTTCTCTGCT
This sequence comes from Homo sapiens, assembly GCF_000001405.40. Taxonomy (NCBI): domain Eukaryota; kingdom Metazoa; phylum Chordata; class Mammalia; order Primates; family Hominidae; genus Homo; species Homo sapiens. The sequence continues at coordinate 182,628,120 of NC_000004.12, read as the reverse complement.
AATAAGTACTATAAAAACAAGTTCGGTTACAGGCAGCTGCTCAGTTCTCAAACGATGCAAACTATTTTATTGTTAGCTTATGTCAAACATAATCAGGAGTGTGAACCTGCTGGGGGTAGGGACAGGGAAGGAATCATGGAACATCTTCTAACACCAAACCTAAATAAATGAAGGGGTCAGTGAAGCAGATTCTGGATCAAATACGGAAACATTCCCTAACCACCGAGCCATACAACAGAGAGCAAACTGTCTCTAAAAGTTGTATGCTGTCTTCCTTGACAATGTTTAAGCAGAAATTGTGTGGTCACATGACAAGAGCACTGTAAAAGGAATTCTTCAGGAAAGGTAACTAATTTTAATATTCCTATTAACAACAGAAGTCTCCAAATTTTAAAAAAGCACCATTTGTTTCATGGTTTACTTTTAATATTATGCTGGTTACTTACAGTATATTCAGTGAGTATCCACTGAATATACAGTATATTCAGTAAGTGACACTTATTACGATGTTCCTAATACATTCAATGAAGTCAACAGACTGTGCTCTCTTTCACATTCAGAAGATACAGAGATCTTCCAATCTGATATGGTACAGTCTTTATGCAAGGTCATTTTAGATAAGACATAGCTAAATACTTCTAATTTTAATACTCATATACTTATTGTATATTGGAGAAATACTGAATATATCAAACAAATTAAGGGGCTAATAGGACAGAATTGGGAAGCCAGACTGCCAAGGTTCAAATTCCACCTAACCACTTAGTAGGTATGTGTCCCTGGCGAGTTACTGAAAGTCAGTTTTGGTTTCTTAATGTATAAAATGAGGATGGTAATAGTATCTACCTCACAGGGTTATTATGAAACTTAAATGAGTTAATATTTAAAGTAAAGTGCTTGGAATATACCAAGTGTTATGTAAGTATCCAATTAATAAAAAAGGATCACACTCATTTATTTTATGTATATTATTGCTTAGAAAAGGCTGAATAGGTATTTAAAAGTTACAAAGAATCAATCTCCAGAAAACTATTACGTGAAAAATAGTGAAGCTGGTCTACAGATACGGTAAAAGTCATGAAAGTTGGCCTAATACAGGTCGGTAGAGTGGAAAGAATTCTGGATTGAAAATCAGTCCCTGGTCTATCATTTCCTAGTAATGTGGTCCTAGGGAACCTCAGTTTTTTTTCTTGACCTGTAAAAAAAATGGCACTAATGACTTACTTATTTTAACAGGGTTGCAAAACTAGAGCTTTTAGAGACTAGAGCTAATGTCTCTAAAAAATGCTTTGTCAAACACAAAATTAGAACAGATGCAAATGATGAGTTGCCACTTGTACAAATTATACTAGCGACTGTATTATGAGCCCATCTCCCCCCACTGAACTACTTTAAAAAGCTAATTTAAAAGTTTATAGCCTGAATTAAGTGATATGTTGGAGGCAGCATCAGTACCTCCTACCATATTCAGCCTGGTTATTAAGCGCTCTGAAACAACACTGTCTGAGTTCAAAGCCAGACTTCACCTATAAATAGCTGCAAGATGGTGGGTAAGTTACTCAAGTTTTGTGTCTTGGTTTTATCATCTGTAAAAAGGGCATAATAACAGTACCTACAGTTTACAGGCATTTTCCAAGGATTAAATGAAGTAATGCATATATAAAGTGTTTACATTAGTATCTAGCACAAGGTAAGTGCTCAATAAGCATTAGTTATTTATTATTTTGCTCAAAATCACATATCACAGTCTCTATTCAAAGGACCAAAAAAGTATAATTTGAAGATTTTAAATGCCAATTCAAAATGTAACATCATCAAAACGAATGTGTACAAAATTAATTCCCTGGTTTACAAATTTGATACTGGCGATTTCACACTGGCATGTAGTCTGGATAAGAAGATGGACTATGTCATTTAGATCAGGCATCAGCAAACTTTTGCTGTAAGGGACCACAGAGTAAATATTTTAGGCTTTTCCAGCGATATCACTGAACTCTGCTGTTCTATCGTGAAAGCCGCCATAGACAATGCATACATGTTTAACTCTGGCTCTGTTCCAATAACACTTTTTTGTAGACATTGAAATTTTAACTTTATAGAATTTTCCCATGTCATGAAATCTTTTCTTTTCATGCTGTCAATTATTTAAAGATGTGAAAACCATTCTCTGCTCACAAGCAGTACCAAAAAGTAAGGAACAGGGCTAGATCTGGCCTGTGAATCATGTTGGCCCGGACCTAGATTCTCGCTCTTTTCAGGATTATACATGAAGAGTGAGCAGGAGGCTCAGCAGCCCGTAGAAACAGCCTATTCCCTCAACGCCACTGGAGAGGATTTAAAAGGCAGCCTAAAGGGTGCAAAGCATGCCTCTTGTGAAGCTTGGACAGATCCATGTAATTGGACAGACATCCTATTATTATCTTCTGGAAGTTCCACCCTAAAAAGTCCTGGCAAACACTGGTGTATGAATTTCACAGGGCCAAATGATCATCTTTGCCAAGTATAGGAAAAGGACTGACATTTCCTATGACTGTGGGACAATTCGCTTACTTTACTGCAGCGGTCCCCAACGTTTTTGGCACCAGGGACCGGTTTCGTGGAAGACAATTTTTCCCTGGACCAGGAATAGGGGGGTGGGGAGGATGGTTTCGGGGTGAAACTTTTCCACCTCAGATCATCAAGCATTAGATTCTCGCACAACCTCGATCCCTCACATGCGCAGTTCACAACAGCGTTTGTGCTCCTGTGAGAATCTAATGCTATCTCTGATCTGACAGGAGGCGGAGCTCAGGCAGTAACGCTCCCTCCCCCGACTGCCACTCACCTCCTGCTGTGTGGCCCAGTTCCTAACAGGCCGCAGATCTGTACTGGTCCACAGCCCAGTGGTCGGGGACCCGTGCTACAAGTGTGGGCTTTGGCATCAGCTCAGTCTTGGATGACCCCTCCTGGTATCACCGATGGACCTGAGCTAGGTGTCCATTCTGTCGGCTTCATTAACAACAATAATGATAACTGCCATTTCCTGAGTACCTACTAAGCACTGTATTGTTGTTTCATTACAATTTTCACCATAATGCGGTGAAGAATAAAATGCCTATTTGTATTTTCAGCCTTCATCCTCCAAATCTCAGCTCAGACGTTACTACTTGACCACCCAATCCAAAGCCCTGTTCCCTCTACTCTCCATAGTATTACCACGTATTATCATTTTCTTCAAAGTGCTTATTACAATCAGTGATCTTGTTATTTATTTGTGCGGTAAATCAAGTTTCTGAAGTACTATTGAAAGCATGTTTTTTCCTCCTGACTTTTTTCCCTTTCTGTGTTTCCTCTGCCTCAATCCTCTCATTCTAGTTTTATTTCATTGCCTCCAGGAGAAATGAAATAAGATGAAGGAAGAAATAGCTTGAGTCTCTTACCGGTTTTCTAAAGCCCAGACTGCTGAGTGAAATAGAGTGGACTGGGGAGAAAAATGGTGTGAGGGGAGAAAGGGCTTCCCTCCAGAAAGGGGAACATGTCCACGCTGGGAGCAGGTGGAGAACCTGAGGGGAGCTGGTAACAGCAGAGGAGCAACAGGGCCCAGGGAGAGAAGCCTGCCTTCTGCTTCGTGAGTGGCATTCTGGGGAAGTGGCAAGACTCCAAGGAAGGCTGAGGCTCTTTCTACTGCTTCCATGCCATGCTCGAAGGGACAGAAGTAGCAGAGAGAGCTACCTGGCAAAGCTGCGTGTAGAGAAACACGCAAAACTCAGGTAGCGACAGGTTTGCAGGCCCATGGCCAACGACGTAGTCCCTTACCTTAGTCTTTGGTCCCATGAAAACCCTCTGGGGGAAAGTGGAAATGGAGAGAGGCTTTGGGATATACCCAAAATGTCAGAAAGAAACCATATTTAGAAAACAAAGATTCCCCTTAGACTAGAAAAAATATTTCATTTTATTAAGGGCTAGGAAGAGAGAAAGAGAAGAATGGCTGAAGATATACCATGTCCCAGGGATGAAGGCCCTGCTCCTGGCCTCCCCGCGTGATTCCTGGAGAAGCAGAGACCACGGCGTATATCCAAGGGGCCTGAGAGCAGAGGAAACCTGTGCCTTACATCTCAGACAGAGAACGGAGGTGATAACAGGATCTCAAAGAGAAATAAACGCATGAAGCATCCAGGCGATGCAGTCAGGGAGCCTCGCAGAGATTCCTGTGCCTGAGCATAATTTCTAAGAAGCGGAATTACTTCTATGGCTGCAAGAGAAGCAAAGAGATGGCAGAGTGTGCCACTGGACAAGCAGGGGTCTCGCGGATAGGAACGAAGGCGACCCCCGCAATATCAGGAGGATTAGGAAAAGACAGAGAGCATGAAAACTAGATGTCTTAGTGGAGAAGAGTGTAACACCAGAAGCTCCCTGCTGTGCTCAGAGCATCATGGAAGAGCTGGGGTAAGGGAGGGAGGGACCCAAACTGCCTGAAGAGAAGATTCTAGGAATGAGGCTTAAAATAAAACAGGCCGGGTGCGGTGGCTCACACCTGTAATCCCAGCACTTTGGAAGGCCGCAGCGGGTGGATCACAAGCTCAGGAGTCGAGACCAGCCCGGCCAACACACTGAAACCCTGTCTCCAGTAAAAACAAACAAACAAACAAACAAACAAACAAAATACAAAAAATTAGCCAGATGTGATGGCGGGGGCCTGTAATCCCAGCTGCTAGGGAGGCTGGGGCAGGAGAATTGCTTGAACCCAGGAGATGGAGGTTGCAGTGAGCTGAGACTACACCACTGCATTCCAGCCTGGTGACAGAGTAAGACTCTGTCTCAAGAAATAGGGTCAGACGTGGTGGCTCACACCTGTAATCCCAGCACTTAGGGAGGCGGGGACAGGTGGATCACAAGGTCAGGAAATCGAGACCATCTTGGCTAATACAGTGAAACCCCGTCTCTACTAAAAATACAAAAAAAATTTAGCCGGGCGTGGTGGTGGGCGCCTGTAGTCCCAGCTACTCGGGAGGCTGAGGCAGGAGAATGGCGTGAACCTGGAAGGCAGAGCTTGCAGTGAGCAGAGATCACACCACTGCACTCCAGCCTGGGCAATGGAGCGAGACTCAGTCTCAAAGAAAAAAAAAAAAAGAGACTCTGTCTAAAAAAATAAAAATAAAAAACATAAACAAATATTTTTAAAAGTTGCATTTCTAACGTACTATACTGATGGACTATGAATGATATATTCACTCCACAAATCATCTATGGTTTGTCTTCTCCCATTAGAATGTAAACTCTATGAAGTCCTATTCACCTCTGTATTAACAGGGCTTAAAAAGTTCTTGGCATGTTGTAGGTGTTCAATAAATATGTGTAAAATAAATAAAATGGTGACTATTATGTAGACGAGGAAAAGTGAGCCTCAAAAAGTTAAGTACCTTGGCCAAGAAGCCACAGCTAATAAAGGAATGAAATCATATAATATATAAAATAGCAATAAATAAGGCTGGAAATTATAAAAACCAAAAAGCAAGCCTGGGATGTGTGTTTTAGCTTTATTCAAAGTATGCTGTTTCTCCACGGGAGATAGGATTTGAATCTGAGCCTATGGGACTCTCAAGATTATGAACTTAGCCTCAACACTAAAAACGTGAATATCTACTACGTGAGAGACAGTAAGTTTGATAGAGGCTGACTTCAAATCAGACACCTCTGTTTAAATTTCCAAAACTTGAGACATCAGTAGATCATGAGATCACCAATCTTGGCAAGGGCTTGAGTTGCTATGAAATTATTCTTTTTCTTTTTTTTTGCGATAGAGTTTTGCTCTTGTCATCTAGGCTGGAGTGAAGTGGTGTGATCTCGGCTCACTGCAACCTCCGCCTCCTGGGAGGAGCCTCAGCCTCCTGAGTAGCTGGGATGAAAGGCATGTGCCACCATGCCAGGTAATTTCTGTATTTTTAGTAGAGACGAGGTTTCATCATGTTGGCCAGGCTGGTCTCGAACTCCTGACCTAGGTGATCTGCCCGCCTTGGCCTCCCAAAGTGCTGGGATTACAGGCGTGGGCCACCATGCCCTGCCGCAATTATTATTTTTCTTAGAAGAAAATGTAATTTTGAGATATTGCTCAAAACAAAGATGTAATATTCTAAAATCACATCTTTGTGATTGTATATTTTGTTATTTGTTCTAACATTACTCCAGCTGCTCAGGCTGGTGCACAGTGGTGTGAAGACAGCTCACTGGAGCCTTGACCTCCCAGCCCCAAGTAATCCTGCTTCCTCAGCCTCCTGAGTAGCTTGGACTACAGCATGTGCACCACCACATCTGGCTAATATATATATATATAATATATATATTATATATTATATATATAATTATATATAATATATAATTATTATATATTATAATATATTATATATTATATATTTTATATATAATATATATTATATATTTTATATATAATATATATTATATATTTTATATATATAATACATATTATATATTATAATATGTATTATATATTATATATTTTATATATATATTTATATATATTTTTGTACAGATGGGGGTCTCCCTATGTTGTTCAGGCTGACCTCAATCTCCTACCCTTAAGCAGTCTTCCTGCCTTGGCCTCCCAAAGTGCTGGGATTACAGGCATGAGCCACCATGCCTGGCCAGCCACTGACTTTAAATCTCAGAAGTACCCCTCCTCAGATTGGGACCTGTACTGTACTCAGATTAGTCACAGAGAAGAGGTACTTTTGAGATTTCAATCCGATTGTGTATATCAGACTGGGGCCTTGGTGATGTACGTGCATAATAAATACAGAAATGCTATAAAACATGGGAAGAGAAGCCAAATCACCTGTGCACTATATTTTAAAACAATGAGGCAGGAGGATTGCTTGAGCCCAGGAATTCAAGACCAGCCTGGGCAATACAGTGGGACCTCATCTCTACTAAATCTTTTTTTTTTTAGACGGAGTCTCGCTCTGTTGTCCAGGCTGGAGTGCAGTGGTGCGACCTCGGTTCACTGCAAGCTCTGCCTCCTGAGTTCACGCCATTCTCCTGCCTCAGCCTCCCGAGTGGCTGGGACTACAGGCGCCCGCCACCATGTCCTGCTAATTTTTTGTGTTTTCAGTAGAGACGAGGTTTCACTTTGTTAGCCAGGATGGTCTCGATCTCCTGACCTCAGGGGATCCACCCGCCTTGGCCTCCCAAAGTGCTGGGATTACAGGCGTGATAAAAACTTTTTTAAAAATTAGCCTAGCATGGTGCCATGCACCTGTAGCCCCAGCTACTCAGGAGGGTGAGGCAGGAGGAATGCTTAAGCCCAGAAGTTTGAGGCTGCAGTGAGCTGTGATTGCACCACTGTACTGCAGCCTGGGCAACAGAGCAAGACCCTGTCTCAAAAATCAGTCAATCAATCAAAAAATAAAATCACCAGTCTTTGATATTTTCAGATCACTTTCTAGTATGTAAGTAAAGAAAGAATTAGTAAAGATTGTTTAAACTGATGTATTTTGAAACTACTTACAAACAAATGGTGTCATTTTGTGTAGACGGATTCCTTCAGGTAAAATTAGGCCTCAAAATAGATATGTGAAAATATACATGTAAAAATCTCTTAGACATTACTATGATCTATGTCAGTATATTTTCTATAGCAGAGAATATTTGGTCTCAGATTTCGCAGGACTCTGTTAGTTTTGGGGTTCAGAAAGGATACCCTCTTTCCAAAGGCAACAATGGCTCTTTCATTGCACTATATCAAACACTGCCAAAGTGCATATTGTGATTAATGTGTCTTTAAGCCCAAGGACTTCTTTTTACCCGTTCTCAAGGTCCAACACAATGGTTACTTTATGTTTAGGACTCTACAAATATTTAACGAAGGAATGGAATACTGAAATTCGGCTATATGGAGAGTAGACAGTGAGTTTCCGCACAAGGAAATTATCATCACCTAATTCTCTATAAAGCACACATTTTTGTGTGTCATTAGTCTCTTCCCATCCTGTGACTCTGCCGAGTCATACAGCTCTGGGAATATGCTTCTCACACGTAAAAAATTCTGCAAAAATTGCTATCAAAAACATATGCTTTTGACCTGGCATCCACATGAGGTTTGTAGAATAAAGGCAGAAATTTTCTTTACTTCTCAGACCATATTTGGGAATGAAAAAAAGTGAACCTGTGAGAATATTCCCCATTGTATTCAGCAATAAAGCAGCAGCCGCGGCGGCTTCTTTTTAACACAGAGCACACCTTTTGTTCTGATGTTTCCAATGATGCCCTGCACGGAGCCTGCCTCCAGTTCCTCAGCTATTTGTGCCACTGTTTTCACTCTGGTGATGAGCTAGAGAGACACACTTGAAGAGAGACTATCAGAGACTGAGATGAGGAAAATCAATTTCAAAGCCCAAAAGACAGCTGGTGCAGAAGGTCACCGAACACTAACAGTTGCTTTGTGGCTCTGGAATCTTGAGGGGGATTCTATTTAACAACAACAAGACAAGAACGGTGGAACTGCATTGCGTCATTAACTTGTAATGCTATGTAGAAACTAAAACATATATAGGAAGGATGACTCTACGTTAAGCACAATTAATAGTTGCTCTTATGTCTTCTTAAGTTGAAAGGTTTGTTTCTTTGTTGATCTGGCTTTAGAGTAACCTTTTGATGTTAGCTTCTACCTCTAATCTAGCTTCTATTGTTTTTTTTTTTGAGATGGAGACTTGCTCTGTTGCCAGGCTGGAGTGCAGTAGCGTGATCTCGGCTCACCGCAACCACTGCCTCCCAGGTTCAAGCGATTTTCCTGCCTCAGCCTCCCAAGTAGCTGGGACTACAGGTATGTGCCACCATGCCCAGCTAATTTTTTTTAATTATTTTTAGTAGAGACAGGGTTTCACCATGTTGGCCAGGATGGTCTTGATCTCCTGACCTCGTGATCCGCTTGCCTCGGCCTCCCAAAGTGTTGCGATTACAGGTGTGAGCCACCACACCTGGCCTTCTAGCTCCTATTTTTAACCCATTCCATGATGTATACCTCTATGGGTCACGTTGCAAATTGACTGAATTTCCTCATCTTTTTTGCTGTCCCCATCCCTGCCTTCTAGGTCACTGTTGAGTAACTCTGTCTTTTAAGTCTCTCTAACTGCCAGACTTTGGGTAATTTTTAATTACTCTTCTTTCCTGCTCCCAACCCCCACCCCCGAGTAGTCAACCTGTTGGGGGATCCTGCAGTCTTTCCTTTATAGCATTTCTTTCTCTTCTTTTTCTTTTATTGCTGAGCAGAGAAGTTCTGTGTTCTTATACCTCAACTTCTTTTAACCTGCTTAGCAGATGCAAAGAAGAGGCAAAAATAACATTTCATTTCAAATTTTTTTTTACCCTCAAATGAAACATCATGTTTTAAATTTTGGACCCGCACAGTATACCGAATCACCTCTATTTGTTCAGTCAAAACTTCTGTCTCCTATCTTAGGCCACTTACAATTGCTTCTTATAATTTGTTTTGCTTTTTTTTTTTTTAAACCCCATGTCTTAGCAGGCATGCTTTGTTCCTTAGTAGCTGTTCACTTTTGATTGATTTTGTCTTTCAAAGTAATAAGCATAAAACTTACCATCATAAGATTTTTAGTGGCAAGATAATCAGATTATCAAGGAAATTTAAATGTACTTTTCTATATCATATGTAATATTAATATATCAAAGTTCATTTTAGAAGATGCTAACAAAATTAAATAAGTCATAATACATAATTAAATTGAAAGCTTATAGGAGTCACTAGGAAAAATGTCTTAATACTGGTCTTTTGTTCAGGGGATTAATATAATCATTTTATCTTTAATATCAAGAATACAGTTTAATAAATTAGAAATTATAGGGACCCAATTGAAAAGCATCCCTGGAAAATGTGTTATAGCATTATTCCAAGTGGTTTGAGTCATTTCCTCAATGGGAGATTAGCATAGAAAATAAAAATCAAAAAGAAAGTGTGTAACTACTGAATGAAATAAATTCTAATTAGATTAACTTCATAAGCAGTTATCTTCATAGAAAATAGTTTGTTTCCTTCAATGTTTTATATAGTGTTAAAAACATTTTTAGAGATTAACAAACAAAGCAAATAATTAGGATAAAGAGAGTGTAGTAGTTAGTGCTCAGCTTCTGTCCCTGAGGCACTGTTGAAACTTTTATTAGTGACATACAGACACCTGGAAAAATACTTATCTTGTGTAGTAACATCTATTATATCGTATAGGGACAAAGGCACTACTGCATAGGAAATGTTGATGCTTTCCTCCTCTTATATTCTTTCTTGGACAAAGAGAATCATTTACATTAAACTAAAAGTGACCTGATTAAATAAAATCCCTTGATGTCCTGCTTTCTACTGACACATGTAGGTAAATCGATAAAAAGTAATCTAGAATATAGATTGCTTTCTTCAAATTAGATGTTTTGATTTCAAAGACAATGTGTCAATAAGAAAGACTGGCTATGTTTGGCCAAATTTACAACCTTTTCAATATCCAAAAGTTCTCACTTAAGAGCTGAGGAAATTTTAAGGTATAGGTTCTTCTTCCTTCCAGCAAAATATAACTTTCTGGATTTAAGAGGCTTATTAAAGGTCTCACAAGATTTCCTCAACATCAAACGACTTTTCCAAAATGACATTTTCAGATCTAAAGCAAATGAATCCCACACTTGTGGATTAAATGTACCTGGAAATACATGAAGGCTAAAATTAACTACTGAGTTCAAGATAGTTTTAGTCACTTGATGATATCAAGACAATGGACGGTTTGCCTAGAGTTCATTTTAAGATAAGATGATTTTTAAAAGTACTGTTAAAATATATAACACTGAATTGTTAGTGTGTGTTACCTTCCATAACGCCTATTATTACTCATTTAATTCCTTGTGGTCTCTAATTGGGCATTCATTAAATATCACAGAATCAGCCCAAAATATTTGTCAGTATGTATTTGAAACAAATAAGGTATCTGAAAGATGATATTAACTATTACCCACGCATTGTGAATGCTTAAAATCTGTTTTTATCATAATCTTTAGGATTTTCACTACCAAATTCTGAATTTTAAGTTCCAAAGCCAACTGGATTATCTGTGAAATGTATATTTAGCAATGTGTTCAAACTAATTAAAAGCTGAAAAAATAGTTTATTTAAATAATGTGCTTTAGAGAATGATGAAAGGAATAGGAAATTTCTGGCAGCTATTAAACAGAAAACTAAAGAAAAAGCCCCCATAGAAAATTACCCGTTCTTACTCAAGGCTGGGTTCCTGTTTATTTTCCTTACCTTCTGGCAACTGATTCTCAATAGACATCCAGAGATATCTAGCATAATTATTCACTCTGCTCAAATGCCTAGCTATTTGGAAATAATTCTCCATCAGCCGAGGATGCTGGCCCTCAGAAGCTCTGTAAGATTCCTGAACTGAAAGACTGCAGAGGCTGCTGGGAATCTTCCGGGAGAAGCCCACCCACACGAGCATCTGCAGAAACTTGCAAAAGGTGTTCTGCAGTTACCTATCTTTTTTTTTTTTTTTTTCACTGTGTTAGCCAGGATGGTCTTGATCTCCTGACCTTTTTTTTTTTTTTTTTATTATACTTTAAGTTTTAGGGTACATGTGCACATTGTGCAGGTTAGTTACATATGTACACATGTGCCATGCTGGTGCGCTGCACCCACTAACTCGTCATCTAGCATTAGGTATATCTCCCAATGCTATCCCTCCCCACTCCCCCCACCCCACCACAGTCCCCAGAGTGTGATATTCCCCTTCCTATGACCATCATTCTCAGTAAACTATCGCAAGAACAAAAAACCAAACACCGCATATTCTCACTCATAGGTGGTAATTGAACAATGAGATCACATGGACGCAGTTACCTATCTTTTACACGAAAACAGTTCAACAAGACTGATAAGGAAGCGCCGGTTTTGGTAGGGCTTGTGAACTGCTGTGGTAAAGGGTCAGAACACCAACATGAGCAGAAATGCAACTGAGAGACCATTCCATACATTAAAGCGGTAGGTTTCAAACTTTAGCTTACATCAGAGTAACCTGGCGGGCTTGTTACAACAGTAGGTCTGGGGTGAAACCCCAGCAACTGACGGGGCTGCTCCAGGAACCACACTCTGAGAATCACTGCAGTAAGGTATTAGGATATCAGTTTCTTAGCTTAAGTTTAACTTCAAGTCTCCCTTCAAGACTGTATAACAAATCAGAAAATCAATTCAAGACTCCTGCTTAGAAAGTCACTGCTGGTAGCTTACTTCGAGTAGTCAATTTAGAACAAATGAGTTATACAACGCTCAATCCATTGGATCTCAGAGTCAAAGGGCTTAAACATTTTTCATTGCTTTATGTCATCTCACTCTTTTTTTTTTTTCACTTTTCAACATCCCCCTTTTTTTAACTCTTCCCTTTCAACTTCACCTATTAGTTAAGTTTTCCCTAATCAGTTCCCTTACGCTAATGTCATTGCTACTTTTAAGTATCTACCGTGTGTACTGGCTTTTACTTCATCTCCAAATGAGATACCAGCATCTATTTCCTTTTGGGTCTTCTTTATGTTTCATAATATCTACATTTCCATTTGCTTTAAAACCACTCATCAGCACTCACCTTATTTCACAAGTACCTTGGCTAAGGGGTTCTCTTTCCTTTTCTCTTGGGACTCTATACTTGGATTTCTGAGCCACGTGTAAATCTAGTTGATACTTTACCTTGGGCATTTACAACTTCCCAAAATGCTTCATTAATTTCTTCGCAGAGAGAGTACTAGTTCTCCACTCTCAACCTTTCTGGCTGGGGTAGTTTTTATATATTCTTTTTTCCTCTAAAAGCCTTGTTTCAACTTATTACCTGTATGAAAATTTCTATTAAAAAAAGAGCTACTTCTAATCATTCTCTTTACCTACTACCAGAGATTCTTCTGAAAAACTCAATTCTAAATATTTAAATGTAACGTGTAAGCACACACACACACAAATATAATCTCTAATCTCTTTTCACTTTACGTATCTGCTATTTGGAGAAGAAAAAAAAAATACATATATATATATATATATATGTATTTTTTTTTTTTTTTCTGAGAAACATGCCTTTTCCCTAACTCTTCTTCGAAACTGCTGAGGACAAAGTAGTGACAATTAAGATGATGCTCCCAGTGCTGGCTGCAGTGGACGCCCTGCCATACTCTCAAAAAGGCTGCAGCAATGGTAGCTTCGGATCTATGAAACAACGTGAAGAAACTGAATTCTTACTGAGGTTGGAGGCAGCAAAAAAACCAGTGTAATTGAAAAAATACTCCACATTGAATTCTCATTGTTAGAGTTAAAGAGAAAGTGTTTTCTTTCAACCTTTAGAAATAATTTTAAAACATGCTTTCGAGAGTGTGTGCAGGAGAACTTAAAGAGTAATTAAGTGGTATGAGGAAAGGAAAAAGTACTAGGAGGACTAGTTTTTTAATTAACTTTTTCAGCGACCACTGGCAGTAGATTTATACTTGACAAAAAAGCTATAACTAAAAATAAAAATGAGCAAATGGGATTTAAAAAATAAAAAGGCTTGTCTCAAGGCTTGATTAAAAAGACACAGCTAAGAAGTAATAAGTAATAAAACATACTCATAGTAAGTCAGTAATAAACTAAAATTCATTATTTTTCCTTGAATTTTAATCACTGGATTTCTGCTAACTTTTAAAAAGGATGATTCTAGGAAAGGCAGATAAGTAAATGTCTATGTATGTGAATTTTCTAAAAATTGGCCATTTTGTTCAAAATGGATTGATTCTTTCTAATATAAAGGTATTAATACTATGCATTTAATGATAAATGTTTTATAGGAAGTAATATACTATGTATACTATGCAATTATAAAAAGAAAATATTTTAGATTCCCACTAAAGTGCCTCTTCTATTATTACCAAAAATTAATTCTGGTATGCATTTTAAAAATAAACACTTTAAATAAGAAAATAAGCAACCAACATTACAATGTAAACTATGTACTTTGATGGGAAAACAAAAGAACAAATATGTAATGATTCTAGCTGTGACACCGTGAGTTAGTGAGACTGATAAACTACTTCTTCATGCTGATAGCATGTTGTGGTCTCAAATCTATTACACTTTTGAATTGATGTGCTATTATCTTTGGAAAACTTTCACACTAGGAGGTGATTCCTGCAAGAAAGGTGTCTTAAATGCAAAGCTTATAAACAAGATACACTTCACTGCTGCTACCTGAATTAATATGACCTATTAGTAATTGCACAAAATATGCTTTCAGACAAAAACTGGTTTTACTATTTTACATAAAAATGTGCAATATCAATATATTAGTAATTATACATTTTGGCATTTGCCTTTGTATCCATTTATAATTACAATGAATATGATAACATGTTCATAGTAAGTATAGCATTATGTGTGTTAACCAAGCTCTGAAAATTGGGAGCTAAAATTCTAGAGAGTGTTAAGAAGATTGGGGGAAATATATTTTTGTGAGTTCTGTACTATCTTTCACACTTACTTCTCATAGTCTTAAGTAAACGGGAGAATTATATAAAATTTAAGCATAACCACAGCTATGTAAAAAGTATAGGACTACAATATGAAGCAAAGTGTTTCTATTACGACTTACTTTAACTTAGACAGGTCTACAACCAAGTACTAAATCCCATTATAAGTATTGTTTGGGAATGTTAAGAACTGAACAACAGGACTAAATATACAAAAAAATATTTTTAGCCATTATGAAGACTAAAATCGCTTTACAGTCTTTGTTTCACATTTTGGTTACTTTAATGAAGAATCCATGTCATCAAGTGTACAAACTTGTATTATATTCTTACATGTTTTCATATATCAATTACACCTATTGTTGGCAGTTATTATACACTAAATATATTAAAATTTAAATGGAAATGAAAAAGACCATGTTAAAATTCCTATGTGCTATCTGGACAAGACTTCATCTATTTAATTATTAATTCATTTAATTATTGATGGCCATCTATGCTTAGAATTGTTCACTAAAGTTCTTTCTATAAACACAAGAAAGGAAGTATAAGCTAGATCAAGAGAAGAATTTCAGGGGTGGTTGTAAGTAGTTTATGAAGAATAAAAGAATTTCCGGCGGTAAGAGTTGAGAGTTGTTCATGGCATTCTAGTAAGTCACTAATCTGATGTGTATGTGACAGTGAACAAGAAATGGATGACAAAACAAAACAAGGCAGAAAACAATCAGTTCAAAGAGTGAAAAGGGCTTCAGTGAAGCTTACTGAACAACTATTTGCCATGTGCCAAGAAAATATTATCAAACTTTAACTTTACAAAATTCCCACTGTGTGTGTGTGTGTGTGTGTGTCTGTGTGTATTATAAAATCTGCTTTTAAAGAAGAGGAAACTGAGACTTACTGAACTTGTCAAAGGTTAGAAGGAGCAGGCAAAGCCAGGTCTTTCTGGCCTCCAAATTTACGCAGTCTCTATATCAGGTACGCATTTTAACTCATATGCAAAACAAACCAGTGAGATAAGAAGGTATTCAAACTCTATTTAATTACATATCAAACTTGTATTTTTCTCCTGTCTAAAAATCAGAAAGATATTAAGCTTTTATAATATTTTACGCATGGGTGATCGTGGAACCTATACTCAGTCTTTCTGTTGGAAGGTTCTCTAATGCCTGAGGATCCTGAGAAAAGGAGAAGAGGAGTTGACAGTGATGCTGTCACCTTTTACTTTCTGCTGAAACTCTGTGTGTGTTTAAGTAAATACAATATTCTGCACAATGTTTCGCGATGAGTTGTGGTGTAGTCTTGAATTTTTTTTTTTTTTTTTTTGAGACCGAGTCTCGCTCTGTTGCGTAGGCTGGAGCGCAGTGGTGCAATCTTGGCTCATTGCAACCTCCGCCTCCCAGGTTCAAGTGATTCCCCTGCCTCAGCCTCCCCTGTAGCTCAGATTACAGGCATCCGCCACCACGCCCGGCTAATTTTTTTTTGTATTTTTAGTAGAGACGGGGTTTCACCGTGTTGGCCAGGCTGGTCTCAAACTCCTGACTTCAGGTGATCTGCCCACCTTGACCTCCCAAAATGCTGGGAATTCAGGCATGAGCCACCACACCTGGCCTGAAAATCTTTTTTAACCACATAAAGGTTAACAAGGTATCTCACAGCAAAATACCCAAAGAGTTTAACCTTAAAGATGAATTAAATATACAAAAAGGAGAAGAGTTCAATTTTGCTGACCTGTTCAATGGTGACAAGTGGCTGTCAAAGGTATCTTATCAAGAATATATTTTTGAAAAAATTAATAATCTGTCCCTCCAAGTAGAGGAAGTGTTCAAGAATGATAAAGACAGTATAGCTTCTCTAAAGAAATTATTAGTTCTGAGAGAATATTTTGAAAATTTACATTTGGAAATAGTCCCATCAATATATGACTTTGCTGCAAAATAAATGTATGTCATCTATAGCAATTTTTTATTTTCTAAACTGCTTAAAGGTCTGCTAACTCATATTTTAGTGGGTTTTGTTCTTATTTACTTAAAATGTAAAAATGTAATAGCTACTGATTAGCTTGCCAGATGATCAGAGTAGACATCAGAGAAATTAACCAAATTTCAACACAAATGTTTATATAAATGTTAGAATTGAAAAATATGGTATGATTAGTATTTAATACATAAAGTTCACTTATATTTAACTATTATAAATATATATTTAATAATTAAATACATCATTAGATGAATAAGTAGAAATAAAATAAAATTCTGTAAAATTGTTTTAGTTCATCCTTTCAATTCTTAATCTGTGTATGATAACAGGCACAAGCTTAGTAAATTGCTGCATGTGCCTAATTTAAAATTTAATAAATACACATATTTGGGGGTTGAGGTTTTGTTTTTTTCCTGTCAAATGTAATAAAAAATTTTTTGGAGATCATTACTAGAAGAAAAGGTAATGAACTTATATTTGGAGACCTGTCATCTAGCTGAGTATTGCCACTAACTAGTCATGTGACCTCAGGCCAATTACTAAATCTCAATGGGCCTTAAAAAGAAGATAAGGCCAGATGTGATGGCTCATGCCTATAATCACAACAATTTGGGAGGCTGAGGTGAGAGCATCACATGAGCCTAGGAGTTTGAGACCAGCCTGTTCAACATAATGAGACACCCTGTCTCTCCAAAAAAAAAAAAAAATTAGCTGGGCATGGTGACATGCTCCTATGGTCTCAGCTACTCGGGAGGCTGAGGCGGGAGGATTGCTTGAGCCCAGGAGGTCAAGGTTGTAGTGAGCTGTGATCATACCACTGCATTCCAGCCTGAGAAACAGAGTAAGACCCTACCTCAAAAAAAAAAAAAAAAAGTAACTTTAGTTGGGCATGGTGGCACACACCTATAATCCCAGCTCTTTGGGAGAAAAAAATAGAGAGAGGGTCTCACTTTGTTGCCCAGGCTGGAGGACAGTGGTGCGATCATAGCTCATTGCAGCCTGGAGCTCCTGAGCTCAAGTGATCCTCCTGCTTCAGCTTCCCGAATAGCTAGGGCTATAGGCACATGCTACCAAACCTGGTTAAGGTTTTTATTTTTTTGTCAGAGGTGGGGTCTCACCATGCTGCCCAGGGTGACCTTGAACTCCTGGCCTTAAGTGATCCACCTGCCTCAGCCTCCCAAAGTGCTGGGATTACAGGCATGAGCCACCACACTTGGCCAGATTAGATAATCTTTATGATTTTAAATTTGCTCTGGAATAGAATCTATCTTTCTCAAAAGCAGGCAAAACATCTGCAGGTCCTTTCTTGAGTTTTTCATACTGGTACACTGTAAGACTAACCAATATTTCCTGCATAAATGAATGAATGCATTCAGGCTTCATTTTATGAATTATCTCTAAGACACCACTATCTCAGAGAATTTCTTTCCCATATTATCACTGTTACATATTATCACAGTTATTTGTTTTTTCTAAAACAAATTCTCTTTTTAAATATTTACTTCATAGTTTATCTCTGTTAGGAAGTCAATTAAGTTGAGGATTTAGTGATTATTCTTACTGTCAAAAAATCTGCAAAGGTAAAAAGCTACCTAATTGTCACAAAAATTAATTAACATGTAAGTTCTTGGTAGCTGTCACTGCATTTTATCACATCTTTATTTCCTTGGTAGATGTCAATTTACCTTTGTAGTTATTAAATGAATTATTTTTCCTTTAAACACATAGCCTAAGAAAAGAATAAAAAGCAAAGAAACTGAAGCATTAGGTACTTCACATGACATCTTAAGGAACCCTTATAAAGTCGTTGTGAAGTATTACAATCCCATTTTATGGAAACACAAGATAAGAATGTGTAATTACCCTGACCAAGGTTACACAGCTAGTAGGATGTTGAGATTTTAATCCAGATCCTCCTATCCCCAAACCAATGCTTCTTTCCACACACCATGACCAGACGGTAGCAATATTATATTACTGTGAGATGTAACTGGAACAATTTCTGGTAGCAGTATTTCAAGTGGTTCAGAATATGAAGTGAGATGCTACGAAAGCACAAAGAAGGTTACAGCAGAATCAGAGGGGTTATCAAATAGAATTGATTAAGTTTAGTTGGTTAATTGCATGTCCAAGAATTTAATCTTATGGTATAAGAAGAAAGAGTTCTCAGACTGGTGTAATAGAAAACAGACTTTACCTCAGGTTTGAAATTAGTGGAGAAGAAAGTAGGCAAAAGCCTGTCCAGGAAAAAATAAAGGAATGCAGAAAAAGATATGCAATTATCTTTGACAGGGTGTATATTAATTGGTGATGAAACCAGAGAATGAAATTCCAGAGAAAAACACAGTTTTAAAATTAAGGCTGGGTGTGGTGGCTCACGCCTGTAATACCAGCACTTTGGGAGGCCCAGGTGGGTAGACTGCATAGCAGACCCAGTCTCTACAAAAATTTAAAAAACTAAAAAATTAATCTGTGCACGTTTCCATCATGGAGTAGCCTCCCAGCAGGCTCCTCCGCAAATGGTTCCTGGCCTAGCGTCCCCAGTCCCATCCCCAAGAGTTGCCACTGAGGTCCCACCAGCCTGCAAGCAAGAGCATGGGCCATACCCTCCAGTCCCTCCAGCCTCTTGCTTGGGGCCACCCACGACTACTACCTACAGTAGGTTCCACTTCCAACAGCAGCTCCTGCGGCGGCACCGAGTGCCATAGGGAAGCCGCCCCTGAGCCCCTGGCTGACCCAGGTCACTGGCGGGCGAGCTCCTTTCATGGCCATGGTATTTTTATGGTCCGCAGAGCACCCGGGGCCTCCTAGGACCCCTGCAGCAGGACCGCCTGTGGCCTGGCTTGGGGACCTCCCAGGAGGCAGTCCGATGGCCTGTCCAGCAAAGCCAGTGCTGGGTCCTAGCCCTGACCTGAGCGGCCACCCCCAAACCCGGGCCTGCAGAAGCGCTAGGACGCCAGAATCCCTCCCCGCCGCCGCGGACCCTGCAGACCGGGCGGCTGCAGCAAGCGGACGAGCAGGGCGCTCTTTTACATCAACACAGCTAACACCAAAAAGGAGACAGCCCTCCTCACTGTCCCAGCGCACGTGAGCTCTCCTGACACCTGTAACTTTTCACCTTGCACCTCGTGGAAAATAAACGCCAAGCAGCCGGTAGACAAATAAATAAATGCTAATAATTAAATATTAAGAAATTATCTGGGCACCATGCCACACCTGTAGTCCATGCTACTCAGGAGGCTGAGGCAGAAGGATTGCTTGAACCAGAGATGGGAGGTCAAGACTGCTGGGAGCCGTGATTGTGCCAATGCACTCTAGCATGAGTGACAGAGCAAGGCCCCGTCTCAAAAAAATATCAATCAATCAATCAATCAATCTTTAAAAAAACTGAATACACCTTGATTCCAGGAAAAAATAAAATCACCAGGTAGCAAGGATGTCAAGTAGACATAAAATATGTATGCATACTTATGTACAAATACATACACATACACAAGTAAAGAGGACTGAGACATACTTTTACAGACAATACTAGTGAATGGTATTTTTAAAAAGCCTCACAAAACAGTTGCTCGAGAGGAAGAGAAGTGCTTGAGAATGACAGGTCATTTTCAGATGAAGATAATGGCTTAATCGCAATCACTGACTAGGACCAGAGTAAAGGCACAGATTACCTTTTACACTGTTCACGTTCAAAAAAGTGTGATTCAAAATGTGTTAGAAGTAATTAACAATTCATTTCTACAGGTACCATGAAAATTAAGATGATCATGTGTGAACATTTTATATAGATTACGGTTATCCAAAGCCAAACATTATCAGAATATACAGTATCTGCAATTTATTGAAATTACGCTTTCAATATCACTTAAGGACTATAGCAAATGATTAATGCATACTTTCTTGGTGTCTTAATTGCTATTAAAAAGAAACTGGTTCACTCCAATTAAACAAAATAACACTCCCACTCTATTGTACAGTACTTTTATCATGCACAAAAGACTCTAAAGCGTTCAATACCTTAAATAAAACTGGGGTCTCACTTCTGAGTGATGTGAAGACAATGCATCTATGAAGGCTTTTATTGATTCATTCCAAACATTTATTACTTTAGTTAATTAAATGTTTCAAGGATATGAATAGTTGCCTTTCATTATTATTTGAAGATTTTTTTTCTTCTCAAGAACAAAATTAACAGTCTGGGCGTTCCTACCTACAAAAATCCACCTACTTTTTGTTAAGCGACGGGAAGAGTGAGAAAACTAAGAGATTTTAATCTAGTAAAATTAACCATGGTTTAATTTCATGTTTAGCCTACCTAACACATAAAGATAAATTAGACAAAAATATCTCAGTTAAGACAAATGCTTTTCTTATTGTTTGGAGAGATGAGAGCTACTTTATGATGAAAGGTATTAACCAATGAGGTGCCCTTCACAATGGCTGCTATTACCATTTGGTAATTATTTTAAAAACATTTACGGAACACCTAGCATGTGCCACGTGCTCCACTTACTTTATTTCATTTCACACTTATAAATCATTTTGAGTAGGTATTATTATTGCATTGGAAACTGACTTCACATTTAAATATGTGACCTCACATTTAAATAGTTAGTGAAAATGGTGGATGCAGGATTACAAACCAGGTCTCTAAAGCATATGCTTTTCTCATGACGCTAAACTGTGATTTGTATCCCTACTATATCCACCAGGTTTTAATTAGAATATATATCAATACTGACTCCTGAGAATGACCTTCATTTGAGAGCTGCTATTGGTCTAGAACCTTCTTTCACATTTTAATTATTGGCGTGACGCCCACTAAACAATCAAGTTGAGGCTACAGCATTACAAGTGGTTAATAATAATCTCACATTAAAAAATAGGGCTTTTACTCTCACTTATCTTAATAACCATCTTTGAAACTTTATCTCAAACTTTCCTAGAATGAAGCCTCTACTTCAGCCTGAGAGAATGGTTTTGGAAACCCAAACTGTAATGCTGCTGGAGACACAGAGATGTTTATTCTTTGAGTAAATTCAGGACCATATTTTATATACGCTACCTTTTTTTTTTTTTTTTTTTTTTTTTGAGACAGAGTCTCCCTCTGTCGCCCAGGCTGGAGTGCAGTGGTGAGATCTTGGCTCACTGCAACCACTGCCTCCCGGGTTCAAGAGATTCTCTCACCTCAGCCTGCCAAGTAGCTGAGATTACAGGTGCCCACCACCCCGCCTGGCTAATTTTTGTATTTTTCGTAGAGACGGGGTTTCACCATGTTGGCCAGGCTGGTCTCAAACTCCTGACCTCAGGTGATCCACCCGCCTCGGCCTCCCAAAGTGCTGGGATTACAGGCGTGAGCCACCACGCCCGGCCTGCTACCTCTTGTTCTCTTGATATTGTGATAAGTGTTCTCTTGAAACTCTGAGAAGAAAATTAAGACAAATATTTTAAGTATTATTTTAGGAGCTACATATTTTGGAGGCCAATAGAAGCTTTTTCTGCGAAGGGGGTCAATAAAAGTTTAAATATTTGCTCTAAGTTAGCAATAGAAACTATTAGAAATGTTCAAGTCTGGAGCCTTACCTGCATTCAACCTGCCTTTCTCGTTTGATTTCTTATTCTTATTTATCTAAGGCATAAGAAAATTTGGACTTAAAATTAACTTTACTCTTGGAAATAAAACTTAGTGTGGTAATCACACGTCCCTCTTTGCCTGGTACAGCTATCAGTTTATGCTGCAATTCCAGGGTAACTGTTGATATGGCCCCTTCTCACTCTGCAAGTGTCCTGGCTTTAGTAATGAACTATATGGTCACCACAGAGCTTAGGCACTGAATTAAGCTTACAATAGCTTCCTCAATTATCCTCCTCTCTCTGAGACAAAGGTTTTTTTAGCCAGGGCTTGAAATAGGCCTTAAATATTAACAGCACACAGCAAATTCTTGAACTTTATATCTCCCTCTTCATGTTTCTTCCCATTCTCACAAATAAACAATATCCCTTCCTAGTCCTCTTAAGAAATACTAAGTTATAAAAGGTGCCATATTTTAAGAGACTTAGAATCCAAGTGATTTTTTACTATTCATTAGTATATAATTTAAGTTGACTTTCCCTTTTTTTTTTTTTTTTAAATAAATGATGATGGTGAAACTTTAAGAATTTCCTACCATTGGCCCAGGTCCAATTTTGAAATTTTTGTTAAGTAACCTTAGGTTCTTCATTTTTGGACCTCTTTTCCATATTCAGTAATATTCCTTTTCCCCACAGGTACCCTGTGTCTCCCCAAGCTGTCTTTAACAAAAGCATATGGCATCAGCATCAGTCAGTCAACCTTAGTCATCGAGCTACCTTCCCAGGCATATTTTACTTGAAGTTGTATCTTTAATTACGGAGGATTCCACTACTTACTACCTCACTAATGGTAGTTTATTAGTTATCAGTAAGTGGGTGGAGGTTAATTCTTCAGCTGGGAAAGGTTTCCTCTGGGGCAGGAAAGCTACCCCATATAGGATGCAGACACACGTCAGCAAGGCTGACTCAGACCCGGTGTGTGTATGACTGTTTTTACCTTCCCTACAACCATTTTAAAGAAGATAAAAAGAGAAAAAAGTATCATATCTTAGTTTAGTAAACAATATCTCTGTTTAGGTATTCTGTTTTTTTAACGACGTTAACAATTGATCTCACATTAATGCGGCTCAAGACATCTCAATATTGAAATAAAAAATGCACTAATAAAGAGGCAATTTAATATGCAATTTCATACATTAATAATTAGCAAAGCATTACTGAACTAGAAGGTAAAAAGCTATGGGAACATAACTAATGAACTATCCATGCCAAAGTAGGCTTCATAATAAAACAAGACTTTAATAAATCTTTTATTAAATGGCTACAAATGAACCGTTTTGTTAACATCTAATAGGTAACTACTAAGCTGTTTAATTCACGTATATAAATGAGGAACTTGCAGGCAATTAACTTTACAGTTGCTGAAGGACAAGGCTTCTCAATGAGAGTTACTGTACCATACCTTTAAGTGCTGCTGCTGTACTGGGCCAATTCTAAGCGTTTGCTCAGCTGCTCTGTATTCTTGTAGCAGCTATTATTACATACTGAAGCAGCTGAAGTATAAAATAAACAAAGGGCAAGCTATAGGCTCTCCAATGCCCTAAAAGTGAATAATCCAAAGTATAACAAATAGTGAGCTCAAAGAAAAGGAATTTTCAGGAAAATTGTAAGCAAGCACTTGGTATTATACATAGGGACCGATTGTTAATAGGAAATGATGACATAATAAGGAGATGCTTATGAACTGCAAAGGCATTTTTGGATCTCAGTGTGACTCTAGGAGATCTGAAAGTCACTGGAGATTATAGACCAGAAGTATTCTATTCACTGAGTGGGAATGTACAGTACACAGTCACATTGATTGTCTCCAGCAGGAGCAAATGTTAAATTCATTAGAGAAAGGAAATAAACATTTTTATGGAAGCAAGAAACTGCCTGGTGAAAAAGAATGCTTTTGAATAAATCAAAATGATAGCTATACTGAAACATATAGGACAAAGTAGAAAATCCTTTTATGCCTTTTCCAGCAATTCACATAAACTGTAAGTCTACAAATCACTGAGATTTTCAAGGGTTATTACATGCCATTTTGTAACCAATTACTATCAATTTGTGCTGAAAAGAGAAAAGGGGGAGGAACTAAGAGAAAAATATAGAGATTCTTATTTATTCGTAACTGAATTTTAAACTTCATAGCTTATAACCTTTAAGTGGCAGTTTCAGAAAAAGTGAGAATTAGCAAAATCGGTGTGTGTGTGTATATATATATATATATATAAATAATTGCCAAAGATGAAACAATACACTAGATTAAAAAATAGTTAAAGGCAGACACAAGTCTGGATAAAGTTGTTAATATAGCTGAAACTGAGTCTGAGAATCATACTCAATAGGGAACCTTAACTAAAAGAAGGAAAAATCAATGATAAATAAGACTGGTTCTTCACCTCCAGAGTTCCAACCAAGTGAGACTATTAAAGAAACCACAGTAGTACTGTGTCGGTACAGTGTGAGATTTTCACATCACTGCTTAGCTTCACTCACTGAGTACTGCAAGTTGAAATATCATTTCTTTTGATTAGCGACACTGTAAGATGTGAACTTTGGATAACGAGAAAACAACAAAACTATACTGCAGATTAAAATTTGTTAGTGTAACAACAAATTTTTAGATTAATTATTCTGTATATTTATTAGTGAGATCATATCAGCGGTTGATTTCCTCCCTGAAACTCATAAAACTGTATAATATTAATTCCATTGATGATTCATTAATGGCATTACTTTGAAATGGAAGAAAATCTCAGTAACTACTCACCATGGGAGTGATTTCTTATATGGTCTGAATATAGAGAAACCAGCTACAATTTCACATATGGCTACAGTGGATTTTCTTCTAACCAACTACTTTCTTTCTTTAAAGTCTCATCAATCAAAATTTCCAGTGCAATAAGACGAATAACAAGAACGCATCTTACTCTTCTCAAAATTATTCCAAATTCACTGGAAGACATGGTTTCACGGAATGCTAACTCTCCTACTGACAGTTTTTGAGGCTTTTGTGTTTTATAACATCACTAAAATTAAACACGTTTCTGAGGATTTAATTTGACATATTTCATAAATATTTGTCAAAACAATTATTGTCAACTACAATGTAATATCCATATTCAATCTGATGACTCAACTGGAAAATTACTTTTTTCCTAATAAATTTTTTCCAAATGACAATAGTGAATCGGTGTTGATTAGCTGTTCAGTGTGTGCTAATTAATTACACTGGGTAAATTTACGTCTGTGCTAATAACCTCAGGAAAAAAAAATCCGTATACATGACTGTGTCTTAAGTGAAGAGAAATCTGCTGTTTGCCTATTTTTCCTGTTCTTTCTCTTCCTAATTTCTCCCAGAAGAATGTTCAATAATACAAAATAAACAATAAAACTCAACTACTCGTGGCTGATATGGATAAAAAGATAAGAGTTCTTTAGAACCTTGTTCTTAGGTCAAGAGTAAAAGAAAACACAGAAAGACTTTCATTGTTGACAACTAACTGTGGGGACCTCCTGCTAGCTCATCCTCAAGGCAGAATGGGTTGAGACCATATACCTAATGGTGAGAAATAGCAATGTATTCATTGTGAGACACTTTGTTCACCCAGAAGCTAATTTAAATCCTAATGTTAACCGGAAGCTCTAGGGCAGGACATTTTGGGGGACAGTCTCTCAAGGCGTCAAGAGCTCTCTATTTTCTGGCTTTTCTATGGTGATAACTCTTTTTCTCCAAGCCTAACGGAAACCCTGGGGCAGAGAAGAAATAAAGAATAAGAGGAATGTTGGGGGAACCTCCCCGCAAAGCTGCCAACAGAAGACCAATAAGGTAAGACACCACTGTTGGTTGTGCAATACATAATTACAAGGAGACAGTGACTGTTACGCTCCTGTCCAAAGAAAGAAGGCGAAATTTTATATGCCAGGAGATCCTGAATAATGAAATGGATTAGCTCAAAACAGCTTTCGCTGATCATACTTTTGTATGAGCAGTTTACCACTTGTCAGCCAGCCTTTGCGAGAAGTCCTAACTTTGAACCTTAATGAAACACTATGCTATGTGTACAGAGAAGGACCATTAAACTGCTGAAGCCTCTAGAAGACTGAGAAGCTCATGGGCCATCATGTATGAATCAGGGCAAAATTGTTTTGTATAGTTGCAGACTACTAGTTGTACGGTTACAGTCAGAGGATGGAAGTTTCAGGGATGGAGATTTCAGTTCATTGTAGGGAAAAACTTCCTAATAGAACTGTGTCAGGATGAATGGATTGTCTTAGGAAATAATCCTGCAAGGAACTTTAGAGAGTAGGTCCTATCTCCCTCATACTGCAAGAAACTACAATATCCTTAACAAACTGTCATCTGATTTGTGCTTAAGTGTTATATTCATAGTGGGGCTCCACTATGAATATATGATGTAATGAACAAAATATAGTCTGAGAAAGTACAGAGGTCTAGAACCAAGAAGATGCCAGACATGTCCACTGAATCAAACTACATGCAACTGAGAATAACATTTTACATCTCTGTCCTTTTCTCCACATGCCTGATAATTTGTAGATAAGAAAAAAACAAACAGTGGTAAGGGAAAGTTTCACTGAAGTAATTTATTCTCATCTCTTGTAGGCAACAAACTGTGTGAAAAGAATAGGCACATTCACTGACCCAGCAACTAAAAAAATCACAACAATCTGGAACTGCTTCTTAGAGAAGAAAAAAGAAAACACAACAACAACAAAACCCCAAAACACCACACCAGAATATGTAAGTATAGTAAATTGCTCCTGGTGAGAAAAGGGTTGGGCTAGCTTATTTTGAAATTTTAGATGTTACCTGCTTTCCAGTGGTACATTACTGCCAAGGACCCAGCTGTCCTGCAGCTGGACGGACTCGGGTGTGGTTTGCAGCTCGGCGGGCAAAGCAGCCGGCGGGGCCGGACTCTGGTTCCTTCTATTGGTCAGGGAGTTTCTGTTGAGAGAAGTGATGGATGGATGATGCTGTGCAGAGTGCTGCTTATGGGAAGGCGGCAAGGGCTGCAGGGTAGACTGGCCTTGATTGCTTGCAGGTTGCTCTGAAAAAAAAAAAAAAAAAAAAAAAGAAAGAGAACTCATTATATATATATATATGTATATACACACTACCAATTTCTTGGGGATCCACTGCAGATGAATTAGAATTAAAAACTGCATATAAATCCATAACCTAATAAATTTGCATATTATTCTATTAAGTGGGTGTTCAGTGACATTCTCTAAGAGCAAGTTTACCCTTGATACACAAAGTTCTAATTAATACACAACAGATGGCAAAATTGCTTTTGGTTTTAATTTGTTTCAGATTTTTTTTTCATCTGGTTTTATTAACACCTACAGAAAACAGCATCTGACAGCTCCTCTAATGTGCCTTCAGATTTCAGCTTTTTTTAACAAACCAACCCTGAAATTAAATGGGTAATTTCAGTAGAACACAAAGGTTTTCAAAATGCATATAATCCCTATAATTATTTAATGGAGTTTTTTTAAGCTTTATTTAACTGCAATAAATTATTACAAGCTAGTTGCTAAACAGCAGTAGACTACTCTTGTTTAGTGCATTTCAAATAAGGCAGATCTGCACTATGATCTACTAATAGATGCTAAGTATTCTTTAGCAGAAGGTCACTCTGTGAAGCAGATGTTGTTTCATGGGTACTTAACAGACTGAATCACATCTGATTACAACGTCAGAAGACTCATATACTTAATGACCGTCACATCCATTAGAACACACACAGAACAGATTTTCCAATTTCACAGTAAGCAGTGTAACTACATTCTGAAGTAAGTCATAGGTGACCAGATAGGCTCATGCCACTATGTCAGTGATACAAATATTTTTGTTTTAAACCAGAATCATAAAGAGTCTGACAACTTCAAAACATAAATACTGTGTTTTGAATGCTGTGTTGTAACTGCTAGAAAATTCCGTAAAGCTAATACGTCATAAGTTAAAATTCACAAATTAATGTAACATCTGAGACCTACTTTCCATCTCATTACCTAGCTTTGGATGTGCTAGAATTTACGAAGACTACATTTTACCAAACAGATAGATGACTCTTTAATTTAATGCTAAACTGATATGGTTCCACACACATAAGATGTCAATTTTGGACTAAATGCAGTTCAAAATGCAGTATAATTTTAAAGTGATGTATTAAATCATGCTATTAATATAAATGCACATATTAACAAAGAATAGGAAACACAAGTACTAGCTTCCATCTACGATGTGAACTCCAGCAGTGATTGTTAAGCCAAATAGCACAGTTTAACATTGTAATTCAGTTTGCATGAAATGAATACATAATATGTAATTGTTTTAATATATATTATCAAACCTCTTTACAGGGTACAATGATAAAAATAACTCCTCTCATAGCATATAACATCAGTAATATTACATGTTTCTAATGATCCCTAATATTCCATATCATATAATTTAACAATGAATAATTTCTCACTCTTGTAATGAGGGATAGAGATAATACCTAAATATATGAAAATATCGCTACTTCCTTGCAGTTTCTGATATGGGGGAACTTCAAAAATAGAAACTCTGTCTTCTTGAAATTTCCCATACCAGAAACTGCAGGAATCCTTCTTGGTTTATTGCTTTGGTGTTCATGAAAAATTATGATTGTCTAAATCTCAGACTGAAATACGCTTTTGAGGAAATGGCACATACAGTTGTCATTGTGTTAGAAAAAGAGAAACTAACAGTTTAAAATTCATGAAAGATTTATTATTCAGGTTTCATATAATTTATTAGAGCATCAGTGTATGTGACTAGAATCTCTATGGATGTCTTTAAGGTACATTTCAAGAAATTGCTGATAGCATGACTAAACAAGCTATAGTTATGAGGGCCTAGACTAGGTTGGTGTCAACAGAATAGAAACAAAGAGAGAACAGGGAGAAATGTTTCCAAGGAAAAAGTAACAAGACTTTGCCTAAAAAGAAGCAGTGGTATGGGTCAGATGACTCCATGATGCCATGAAAGAATATTATATTATAGAGAAGAAATTATGTTAGATATTATACTATGTGAAGAGCAGAATATTACAAGTCATAGTAACAAATTTAAGTCCTGATTCTGTCAGACATCATGATAGTAAGCCTCAGTTTTCTCACCTGTAATGTGAGAAATACTATTGCCCCATCCAGGTCTTAGTGCAATTGTAAGGATTCAGTGAAATGCACCCACTCATTCATTTATTCATCACACACTTAGCCATTCATCCCAAGTACATTTTCTAGACTTGATATTCCAGGAATCTGCTACGTCAGTCACGGATGAAAGCTCTGTGTAAATGGTAAAATAAAGCATTATGGACAAGAACACTGTTACTGAAAGAGAAATGATTTTAAGATCCATTATCATCATGTTTCAATATGTTGAATTTAGAATTCTTATTCCTAAATAAAAACGTAACCATTGGGAAAACTTCCATTAAGGTTTCAAAAATAAGCAGCTGCTGCTTTCCTTAGGTACACGTCTTCATTTTGTAAGTGTCTGCTGAGAACTTACAGCGTACAAGACACCACACGAGGATCCATGCTCTTGCCAATGGTCTGCCCAGGCTAGTGCAGCAGTGTGCTGTTTACTGGAACCTCTTGAATTGACAACACAATCAGGAGGCCTACCAATAAAACAAATCCAGCTGATGAAAGCTAGGTTCAATCTAAAATTTGGTGGAACAGAATACATGCAAAGTCTGAATGATATAGGGTGGATGGCCGGAAATTTAAAAAAAATTTTTTTAATTGTTTTTTGAGACAGGGTCTCGCTCTGTTGCCCAGGCTGGGGTGCAGTGGCACAATCACAGCTCACTGCAGCCTTGACCTCCCGGACTCAAGAAAATCAATCCCACCTCAGCCTCCTGAGTAGCTGGGATCACAGGCATGAGCCACCTCACTGGCTAATTTTTAAATTTTTTGTAGAGACAAGGTCTCACTATGTTGCCCAGACTGGTCTCGAACTCCAGAGCTCAAGTGAGCCTCCAGCCTTGGCCTCTGAAGGTGCTGGGATTACAGGCATGAGCCACTGTGCCTGGCCTGGACAGAAATTTAAATTCTGCACCAGACCACAAACAGGAGCAAAATCCGGGGATTCAGTTAGGGTCAATGCTAGCTCTACAGATTTGGGCTTACAAAACATGAGAAGTGGCTGGAGCATGTATTTATCCGTACCAATTTACTCAAGATAGAATCAGTATATAAAGTGTAACAAGATAAAGTACAACACTGCCAAAAATAAAGATAGAATACAAGAAAAATAAAAGTGTGAAACATAAGATAAAGCCAGATTTAAGGTTAGTGGACAAAATACCTACTGTATAGTACTATACATTTTTAAAGAGGAACACAAATCTGGCTTTAAATAATCTACTTGCCAGCACAAAGAGGGAAACATAATCAGTTGCATGATTTAGAGTATTTTTAAGATCGAAAGGTTGCTTATGAAAAACATTACTATTTTTCATTTTATTTCTGTTACTGAAAATAGAGATAACATTTCTTTTTAAGTTTGTTTTTTTCTTCCTCTGAGACAAGGTCTTGCTCTGTTCTCTGGGCTGGAGTGCAGTGGTATGACTACAGCTCACTGCAGCGTCTACCTCCCATGCTCAAGTGATCCTCCTGCCTCAGCCTCTCAAGTAGCTGAAACTACAGGCATGTGCCACCACGCCCGGCTAATTTTTTTAAAATATAATTTTGTCGAGATGGGGTTTCCCTATGTTGCCCAGGCCAGTCTTGAACTCCTGGGCTCAAGCGATCCTCCCGCGGAGGCCTCCCAAAGTACTGAGACTGCAGGTGTGAGGATCTGTACCTGGCTCTTTTTAAGTCTTTGCATAAAGAACAATTGAATACCCAGGGAAATCTTTGTGACCAAGGTTCAAAATGGACACAAGGAAAAAGGACAGGGTCTAGACTTGGAGACTATAAAAGTGTTTAAGGATCTAACACAGCTGGGCAGATCCGCACAAGAACAACCAGAACAGCCACTGCAGCCTTTCACTTTAGACAAATTCACTGATACACAGATTGATAAAAAAGTTCTGGATATAATGACTTTGAGTGAGTTACAGATGGGACAATCAGACCTCACATAGTCACCAGGTTTAATGTTACTGCAACATACCTCTGAACATGTCGATTTACTCCTAGAAAACTCCAAATGGCTTTCTAGTGCCTATCAAACTTGAAATGAACTCTAAAGGTGAATGTTATATTTGGTCACAGATACCCCAAAATATATTTTTGCAAGCTCTCCCTCGTGTGTCCTCTTCGCATATTCCTTGCTCTAGCCACGCTTGCTGTAGCCACTCCATGCCTTACACCTTTCTACTTAGGCAGAGTTGCTTCTCTCTGGAAAGACATTTTCCTCCATCTTTCTATCTCCAAATCCAAATTACTTTAAGATCTAAAAAAGGTGATGCCACCTCTGTTTTCTCCAGGTAAAAATCATTGATCTTTCTTCGGAGTCACCTTATTGTATCTGTCCCTTTTTCATGGCTCTATTCGCATTCCCCTCTGTGCTAGAGTTAAGGTTGTAGGGCTCATGTCCCCTGCTCAGCTCCCTACGGGCAGGATTCACATGCGATTCACCTTTGAGCTCTATGGACCTCACAAGGGCAGACACTCAATAAATACTTGTTGAATGAATGACTATTTGTGAAGAATTCAATGAGAGAGTGTGGAAGTAGTAAAAAGTTGAGCTTGTCCATACTGCCTTTAACTATAAGGTAATTTGCAAATATGTTGTATTTCCCCAACTTAACTCTTAGATCCTGAAAGGCAAGGATTCTAACTCAAATTTTTTTGGATCTTCTGGTACTTTCACTAAGCACGTACTTCAAGGACTCCCAAAAATGTGCTGATTGATTGATGACATTTATATAATAGCACCTTGTGGGGTCATCTCATTCAAGCAAGGAACCATGCCACTCACCCCAAAGACTGGAGTTTAGGAATATTTCTTTGAAAATGTTCTGATATTTAAAATCTACCTTTAAAGATATGTGAATAATATAAAGATCATATAAAATATATAATATATAAAATGAAAGCTATAAAATAATATTTAAAAATTATTATAAATTATATTTTACCAAACACAGTATGTTTTCCTTTTATTAATATTTTAAAGCTTATGATTAGCAATGCTCTTAGATATTTTAGAAAAGGTATCAATTATTTTTTCAAAATATTCCTCTCTATCTTTCTGAAAATTAAATTCTCGGTACCATGGTTATGAGAAATTATGCATCATACCCAAACAGCGTCTTTATTAAATTTACTCTTTCTTTCCACGTGCCTTTCCTTTATCAAGGTCCCACTGCTCATATAACTTCAATGAAAGCCTAACAGTTGCATGTTTTTATTCACTATGTTGAATGAAATTAATATCAGATGTTTTTTAAAACTCACATTAATCATAGAGATTAGATAATAAAGACTGCGGTCACCCTGCTCCTCCCTTAGCTCTTCAACAGCGTCACTTAAGGCATTCTGTTCCCATGTTAGACCTGCTGGCATGGGTTAAGAACCTGGATCATGGTGTACACTGAATAAAGTATGTTGACTATTATACCAGGAAAATGCTACGAGCTATTGGATACAGGGTAGATTACAGTGTAAGCAGCTTACCGGCCCCCAGTTCCAAGCAAATGTAAGGCCTATTCATGGAACTCTGCATGGAGAAGAAGAAAAACTGCTGGTGACTTTCCCTAGATAGCAACTCTGTTATTATGAATCAGCATGGTGAGAGGCGCCATTGAGACACATGACAATGAATATGGCATATTTACTTTCCGTGGGATATTTTCTTGCATAAATTACTTAATCTCTCTGAGCCTCACTTATTTGATAGTGCTTGTTTAAAGGAGCTAAAAACACACAGTGCCTGACATAAAAGTTAAGTGCCAAGAACAGGGAAGAGACTGGGTGCACTGGCTTACACCTGTAATCCCAACACTTTGGGAGGCTGAGGTGGGCAGATCATGAGGTCAGGAGTTCGAGACCAGCCTGGCCAACATGGTGAAACCCCACCTCTACTGAATACAAAAATTAGCTGGGCGCGGTGGCACGTGCCTGTAATCCTAGCTACTTGGGAGGCTGAGGCAGGAGAATTGCATGAACCCAGGAGGCGGAGGTTGCAGTGAGCTGAGATCACGCCACTGCACTCC
This sequence comes from Homo sapiens, assembly GCF_000001405.40. Taxonomy (NCBI): domain Eukaryota; kingdom Metazoa; phylum Chordata; class Mammalia; order Primates; family Hominidae; genus Homo; species Homo sapiens. The sequence goes on along the minus strand of NC_000004.12, from coordinate 182,594,767 downwards.
AGTCTGGGTAACAGAGCAAGACTCCATCTCGGGAAAACACACACACACACACACACACACACACACACACACACACACACACACCAAAACAAAAAACAGGGAAGAAATAAAGGGCAGAACATCATGAGGAAAAACAAAGTAACAGAAAAGCCTTGTCAGCAACTAATAGCACCATCACCAGAAGTGAGAACACACAAGCAAATACGCCTGGAGAGGAAATGTGTTCACTTTATTGATTTATTTAGAGACAGGTCTTGCTGTGTTGCCCAGGCTGAAGTGCAGTGGTGTGATCAGAGCTCACCACAGCTTCAGACTTCTGGGCTCAACTGGTCCTCCTGCCTCAGCTTCCTGAGTACCTGGGACAGATGTGTGCCACCATGCCCAGCTAATTTTTAAATTTTTTGTAGAGACAAAAAAGTGTTTGCTTTAACAGGTAGAAAAATTACGATCAGAAATGTCATAGGGCCAGGCTCAGTGGTTCACGCCTGTAATCCTATCACTTGGGGAGGTTGAGGCAGGAAGATTGTGTGAGTCCAGACCAGATTGAGCAACACAGCAAGACCCTGCCTCTAAAAAAAATAAAAATCAAAAATATGCAAAAAGGAAATGTCATAAGAACAGAAAACAAACTAACCTCTTGCCAGTTCTCACACAGGAAGGAATTTGATCTCATAGTCATGAAGTTCGGCCTAGTCACCTTTTCCTAGCTAGTATGGCCACAGGATCATGCCAAGAAGAAACAAAACAAAACAATGCATATCTGGGCTTATTTGCTGGCTTCTTTTTTTTTTTTTTAAGACTAAAAGCTACTGCTGGCAGCTCCCAGGCTGCCATGTGCAACTCAGCTCCAGCTCCTCCCTGGTTTACAGCCTTGGGCTGTGGTCTTCAGGGAGCAGAGTGGAAATGGACTTTGAGACAGGAAAACTGGGGAAGAAAATAATACCTGCTGTGAGATGAAAATATCTTGGTGTGAGTATATGTCTGCATTTGTATGTGTGTGCTCGGTTCATGTGGGAGGAAGTAAAAGGTGAGTGTGAGATGAGAGGAAAGGAGGAGAGTGGGCTGGCATTCGCTTTCAGCAGGTGTGCACAGTTGGAAAGGTGTCACTGCAGCGACTCCAACTGCTCTGTCCCACCCACTTCCTTCACCCTGTTCTCCTTCCCCTCCTTCCCTGGATCTCCATGTGGCCTGGCTACACACGTCCCCAGGGAACAAATACCCTAATCTGGAAGGGAGATAGAAGCTAAGGGCGGACAGCTGTGCTGCTTCAGAATACGAGTAGTTTGAGTAAAGTCAGTCATCAAAAGACAAATGGAGTCAGGAAGGGATGGAGAAAGGAAGATGGAGGGACGGAAGAAGAAAGGACAGAGAGGGACAGGCAGAAACTGGGTGGAGGTGGAGGGAGACAGACAGACAGACAGAGAGACAGAAACAGTTTTAATTTCACAAAACTGTGAGAGAATCTGAGAAGCACCGTTACACAAAACACCTCCTGGGTATTCATTCATCAGCATGTGGCTTCCTTACTCCTGAATAATAATGATAGCAAGTGGAATAAATGAAAACCCTCTGGCCTTAGCCCTCTTAAGAGCTTGCAATATGATACACATATTGTTTTATATAGCAAGGGAGTTGTCAGGTAATCTAGGTTGCCACATTGCCTAAAACAGAAAGTACACTGGACTCTCAAAGACAAAAAGAGAATGTGAAGATTTAGATTCAGTCTTTGATTATTTCTTCTAATGCTCAAAGGATGACCCTAAAGATACTAAACCAAATTCTGTCAGTTCCTTTTCAATTGTTGAACTTGACGAACATTTAAAAGAAGCCAAACATATTTATGGATGATTTGCAAAGGATGGAATTAAAGTCTTCATTTCTGTGTCCTAAAATTCGTTTTCACCTCACTTCCTGGCTATATCTTTACTTTCTCTCGTCTCAAACAAAACTTAAGTCTTCTTCAAAATTGACCTCTTTCTTAAAAACAAGTCATCAAAACAAATTGTATAAAACTTTTTGTTTTTGTATATTTTACTATCATATGATTTTTTTTTTGACACAGTCTTGCTCTGTGGCCCAGGCTGGAGTGCAGTGGCACAATCTCAGCTCACTGCAACCTCCGTCAAGTGATTCTCCTGCCTCAGCCTCCCAAGTAGTTGAGATTACAGGCGTGCGCCAACACGCCCAGTGAATTTTTTATATTTTTAGTAGAAACGGGGTTTCACCATGCTGGCCTGGTTGGTCTTGAACTCCTCACCTCAGGTGATCCACCCACCTTGGCCTCCCAAAGCGCTAGGATTACAGGTGTGGGCCACCATGCCCGGCTCCATCATGTGAATTTTAACTACAGTGGCCAGAGCCTCAGGTGGATCTTCCAAGTGTACAAGGACAAAACGAGAGTTGGTTTTTGATTTTGAAAATACCAATCTAATCCTTGGTGTAGCTTAATCTCTTATTTCATTATCGACTAACTCTGTGGCTTTCCAGAAACTGCTTCTCCTTGATTTTCTAAAGTTAGGTAACTTCAGGTAACAACACTTCCCTGATCTGGTTACATTTCAGGAGCTATTAGAAAGGTGGTATTATAATCCATTCCTTTAAAAATAAATCTGTTGCAGATGTAAAAAAAAAAAAAAAAAGAAGAAAAGAAAGGTGGTATTATAAATTCAACATTTTTATGACACTGAAAACAGTAAATTACCATTAAAATGCCTCTTTTGTCCAGAAAATCTCACACACATTGCAGACATTTAGTAGTCATTATTTCCCTCTGAAGGAAAAAAATTAGGTGGCAATAATTTTTCTTATAAATGGAGAAAATTTGAGTTAAGGAAATAGGTGCTTATACTCATATCACAAAGTCTGTGAAGCTCATCGGAAAACAAAAACAGATATTCAGGGGTTTTCTTTTCCTTTCGTTTTCCAATCCAGCCCCTCAAATATTCTATTAATAATATAACCACCTAAAATGGCATAATAAAAATTGGAAAAGAAAGACCTCATTTTACTCAGAAAATCACTTTCACATAAACCAGTTCCTGTAGTTCATTATTTTTTCTAGAATTCTCACACAAGCCCAGTGTTTCAAAGTGAGTTTTCCATTTAAATACCTCTGTAAGCCCTTGGTTAAAATACAGTACTGTGTAAAAATTTTCACCACCGTAAATATCTGTCAGATAGTTGCCTGTAAATCAAATGAAATTTCAAAATGTGTTTTGAACATTGTTATGATGCAATATAAGTAAACACTATTGTTCTTAAGACCTTCATCATCAATTGATTGTAAAACTATTTATAAAAAGACACTGAGTATGAAATGCCCTGGTGATAAATAAAAGGATACAAAAGAAAGACTTAAACTGCCTAGAAGGTATTACTCAGATGAACACAGATGAAGTGATTCACTGTACTTACTGGGTTAGTGAGAATTTGGTTTAGTATCTTTAGGGTCATGCTTTGAGGATTAGAAGAAATAATCAAAGTCTGAATCTAAATCTTCACGTTCTCTCTCTCTTTCTCTCTCTTTTTTTAGATTCTACTGTACTTTCTATTTCAGACAATGCGGCAACCTAGATTACCTAACTGCCAACTTCCTTGCTATATAAAACACCTAGAATTGTTGGGTTAAATATACTACCTTTTGGATGAATTCATTTAGCATCTCTTGAGTGTTTACTTTATGCCAGGCTCTGTTCTAGGCACTGAAGTTATATCCATGAACAAAAAGCCAACAATCTCAGCCTGCCTGTGGAACTTACACTTTGGGTTAATTGACTGAATTGGAAAGAAAGAATAAGCCAAAAGCAGAGGGAAGAGAAAAAACGTAAAGTGCAGGTAAGCTGGCATAGCTTTCCTGAGGAGGTCTGCCAGTTTCTGTAATCTTTTTCTTTTTTCTGGTTTTTTGTTTTTTTTTTTCTTTTGAGACGGAGTCTCGCTCTGTCTCCAGGCTGGAGTGCAGTGGTGCAATCTCAGCTGACTGCAACCTCCGCCTCTGAGGTTCAAGTGATTCTCCTGCCCCCCGAGTAGTTGGGAATACAAGTGTGCACCACCACGCCCAGCTAAGTTTTGTATTTTTAGAGATGGGGTTTCACCATGTTGGCCAGGATGGTCTTGATCTCTTCATCTCGTGATCCACCTGCCTCAGCCCCCCAAAGTGTTGGGATTATAGGCGTGAGCCATTGCACTTGGCCCACCTTTTTCTTTTTCTTTTTTTTTTTTTTTTTTTTTTTGAGACAGGGTCTCGCTCTATTGCTGGGCATGTGCCACCAAACCTGGATAATTTTTGTATTGTTTGTAGACACAGGTTTTCACTATGTTGCCCAGGCTGATCTAGAACTCCCGGGCTCAAGTGTTCCTCCCACCTCAGCCTCCAAAAGTGCTGGGGTTACAGGCGTGAATCAACATGCCCAGCCCTCTGTAACCTTTTTAATGAACAAGGAGAAGACTAGGTAGGTCTCAACTGTTACTGAGACTCCTAGATAACGCCTGGACCCTTGAAGTGTCACGCCCTCATTCAAAGAGGAAACTTTAAAAATTTTCTCACTGCAAAGGGAACAATAAGAAATCTCCTATGTTGTCTTAAACAACTTGTTTTTTCCTGATAGGAAAATTTTACCCACTAGCCTGGGCCTCCCTGGGATTGGAATATTAGATTGAAACTTAAACTATCATTATGGTTCTGGAACCCCAAGCCAAGAAATTAATATTAAAAGTGGTCTTGGGTCAGCAATGCTTCTGCCTGAGGCACCCGGCAGAAGCAAATCAAACGTTTTTTGTTTTTGTTTTTGTTTGAGACAGAGTCTTGCTTGGTTGCCCAGGCTGGCGTGCAGCGGTGCGATCTCGGCTCACTGAAACCTCCTTCTGCCTCCCGGGTACAAGCGATTCTCCTGCCTCAGCCTCCCAAGTAGCTGTGATTACAGGCGCACACCACCAAGCCCAGCTAATTTTTTGTATTTTTAGTAGAGATGGGGTTTCACCATGTTGGCCAGGCTGGTCTCAAATTCCTGACCTCAAGTGATCTGCCCACCTCGGCCTCCCAAAGTGCTGGGATTACAGGCGTGAGCCACTGCGCCCGGCCGCAAACCGTTTTTAAAAGAATATACTCTCAAACCAAGTCACAAAGGATTTCTAAGACCGAACCTTGCTTTCAGTGAGTTCACAAACTACAAAATTTAAGAGGAAACAATCTACCTTCAGCTACAGTCTACAGACAAAACAAAAAGCAGCAATTTGTCTTCCCCAAACTTGGGGTAAGTGTATCTGTCAGATAAAATTGTAAGCATGTTCAGAATGATTAAGGACCAAAAAAAAAAAAAAAAAAATTAAAAACCTAAGAATTAGACACTATGAAAAAATAAGAGGCGATTTTGACAAAAGTAGAATGTCTGTACATAGGAAAAATGTAGTCATTGAAATTAAAATCTCATTGGATTGTTTAAATGGTATAGTAGACACAATTATAGAGAGTACCATTAAACTGGAAAACAGATCTGAGAAAATCATTCAGATAGTACCAGAAAGATAAAGAGTGCTTACATATATACGAGTACTTCAAAGAAAAAAAAATAGAAAAGCTCAATATACATCCAGTAGGAGTTCTAGAAGGCAAGAATAGAGCTTTCTTTAGAGCTCCTAAAACAGCTTTCTCCAAAGCTCCTAATACCATGCTTATGATTGTGAAATTAAACAGAATATATATTTATTCATGTCTTTCTCATTTAGTATGAATGGTCTCTGCTATTCTCTTCTTGTTACTGGATAGCAGAATTTCTGGTTATCTTCTATTTAAAAAGCAACTTATCTTGAGTGGCAGTAACTTCTCTTCAAAGATATTGTTCTGGCTTCAATGGTTGCTGCTCCAAAGTGTGCAGTTAATCTAAATGTCAAGCACTCTGAACTATTTCAGTGGGTGAAAACAAGTGTACATGGCTATCTTTTGATAGTTAAAGTAGTTTATCTTGTCAACCATAATGCCTCAGACACATTTTTCCTATGAAATTCTTAGTTTTGCATAATCATTTCTAACAGAAACATACATAAACATATCTTTTATACATGCATAAAAAACTGGATAAAAATACCTTTAAAATGTCTCAGTGTATGTTTCAGGATATTCTTCTACCCATTTTAAAATATTTTACCTGAGAGAGTAAGCAAAAAAGGAAGAAGCTGTCCCAATCTTGACAATAAAGAACTGACATAAATCAATCAACGCTTTTCTCTCCCCTTATTACCTTATTATGAGCATTTCGTTTTAGTGAAATTAAATTTTATTGACTTTAAATGGAGTATATATGATATGATATAAATAAAACACATTTGTAATATAGATAAGGACAGGGTGGAAGGCAAATAAAGCTACATTATTGTGACTTATAAAGTGTGGCTTATAAAGAGTAAGGAAAGCAAATCACATAGTTCAAACAATGCAGAATTTGCTATGCTTTTCAGATAACATATCACAAATAAAATGTCTGGTATAGAAGAGTACTACAAAAGGAAACAGGAGACACAGGACTGAGCACTTACTCTAACTAAACCTAACTATATAAATCAATTAACTTCTGAGGGGAGAGCAGGATTGGAGTCATGCAATGAAGTCTGAAGTTTTTCAATTTTAAAATTCCCTTTATTTTAGGTAATACATTATAAAATCTTAAAATATATTAGCTTATGTTATGGGTATTTGAAATTTAAAGTAATTAAAAACCATATCATACCATCTTAAGTTATACATATAAAACATTTAAGGGATTGATAGTACAAAAAATTTTACTTCAAGTATTATGAAAACTTCACTGTATTAACTCAAGTCATAAAATACCCTACCATACTATCTTATATTAAAGACATTAAAAATAATACCTTTATTTTAAAAATAAACTCATCCATATTATCTTGTATTATAACTATTAACATCTTAAGGTACATATAATGAAAATCACTTTATATCCAACTTAAATTTATTTCAGATTTTAATGTAAAAAATTTTTAAACAAATTGTAAAAATAACTATGTAAAAGGCTAGGATGCATCTTTCAAGCTTAAAAGAAAACCAGGCCAGGTGTAGTGGCCCGTATCAGTAATCCCAGAACTTTGGCAGGCCGAGGTGGGCAGATCACTTGAGACCACGATTTCAAGACCAGCCTGGGCAACATGACAAAATCCATCTCTACAAAGAACATTTTTTTGAGGCGAAGTCTCACTCTGTTGCCAGGCTGAAGTGCAGTGGTGCGATCTTGGCTCACTGCGACCTCTGTCTCCCGGGTTCAAGCAATTCTCTTGCCTCAGCCTCCCCAGTAGCTGGAACTATTTTTGTATTTTTAGTACAAAAATTTTTGTATTTTTAGCCCAGCCAATTTTTGTATTTTTAGTAGAGATGGGGTTTCACCATGTTGGTCTTGAACTCCTGACCTCAGGTGATCCGCCTGCCTCAGCCTCCCAAAGTGCTGGGATTACAGGTGTCAGCCACTGCACCTGGCCATCTACAAAAAAATGTGAAAATTAATGGGGCCATGGTGGTATGTGCCTGTAGTTCCAACTATTAATACTTGGGAGGCTGAGATGGGAGGATCACTTGAGCCTAGGAGGTTGAGGCTACGGTGAGCCATGATCATGCCACTGTGCTTCAGCCTGGGCAACAGAGTGAGACTGTGTCTCTTAAAAAAAAATTTTAAAAGAAAACTGATCTGTTTTATAAAAGTTATGAAGACAATTATAATACATTTTAAAAATTATTTTTAGCAAAAAGATTCAGTCTGCTTTGAGCTTTTTTTCTGATTCTTCTTTCTTAAATATTTCAGCAACTATAGGAAAAACAAATAATTGAAGAGCACACAGATAAAGTTCCCAATGACGCTACTGATCTTGCTTCTCAAAAATATATTAATTTTGCAGTTATTTTTTTCTAGCATATTATTTGATATGTTATTTCTTACCTGTAGTTTATTGAGTCCCTACTGTCTTTTAATGTTTTACATCAAAGTCAAATCAAATATTCATTTAAGTGTCCTTCCAGTCATAGTATGACATCTAGGCAGAGATATGTATTATCATGAACATGAAATATGTAGATGCAATGAACTTCAATGGAACCCAGCGTATCCTTTCTATTCTTGGCACGTGCAATGAGAGTGATCTGTTAAGTGGAAACCATGTAATGATCATTCTTGATTAAAAGGAAAATAGAATCATAGATGAAGCTACCATAGACGTGTATTTGCTGAATTCCCTTCTCTGTCATTAACAATTTGGGGGTATGTTTTTTGTGTGTATACAACACTAAAAGCCTCTTCCCAATATATGCTTTTATGCTGCTTTGACTGAGCACCTATGAAAGGCAGGATGGTACACTGAAAAGAATACTGAATATGGGAGACATGAGGGCCAACATCGAAGTAAGATCACGTATATGACAATGCCCCGTGAATGGCAAGTACTATAAATGTAAGGTCCTATAATTGTTTGGGAAATTAATAATCTGTATTTTCTAAGGCTTTTTTGTGCCTCTAAGAGAGAGGGTCTTGCTGTGTTGCCCAGGCTGGAGTACAGTACTGTGATCATAGCTCACTGCAACCTCGAACTCTTGGGCTCAAGGAATCCTCCCACCTCACCATCCTGAGTAGCGGGTACTACAGGCATGCAGCACCATCCTCAGCTAATTTGTTAAAATGCTTTGTAGAGGTGGGGGTCTTGCTATATTGCCCCACATGGTCCCACATTTGTGGTCTCAAGTGATCCTCCCACCTTGGCCTCCCAAAGCACTGGGATTACAGGCGTGAGCCACTGTGCCCAGCCGGTTGTGCCTTTTAAAATAGTAGTAAACATGATATATTGAGATTGGAAGCCTGCATCTTTCTTCAAGATGCTCACTGCCACTAGGAACCTTCCTCTCAACATAAAGGTTCAAAAAGAAGCAGTAACTAAGATAGTCTTTCATGGATCTTATGAGCTTTCATTTCATGAGTCTACACATAGTTTGGTGCCAGTTTGTTAAAATTGTCCATAGAAGAGATGAATAAGCACTGGATATATCATGAAGAGAATAGAGATGTGACGTACTGGTCTGCTCAAGCTTCCGTAACAAAATGCCATAGACTGGGTGGCTTAAATAATAGACATGATTTTCTCACAGTTCTAGAGACCAGAAGTCACAGATCAAGGTCTGGCAGGGTCGGTTGGTTTCTGGTGACAGTTCTCTTCCTGGCTTGCAGATGGCTGTTTTCTTGCTGAGGCGAGGCAGACAGCAGGGGAGCAATGCAGGAGAGCAAAGCCCTCTGGTGTCTCTTCTTATAAGGATGCTAATGCGGCAGGATCAGGGCTACACCCTGATGACCTCGTTTAACCTTAATTACTTCCTTAGAGGCCCTAGCTCCAATAGTCACATAGGGGATTACAGCGTCAACATTTGAATTTTGGGGGACACAAACATTTAGCCCATAACATCTGGTTTCCTGTCCCAAATGGGACAGTTTAAGCTCCCTGTCCCAAACTTAGTAACTATATCATCAATTTCCTATTGTAAATACTCCAATTCCTCACCTGTAAAATGGGGTAATAATCAATCTTAAAAGGAAATGTTGTGAGAATTAAAGGAGATAATGTATATTAAAGTATTTTTATAAACTGTGAAGTGTTATTTTAGTGGAAGGAGTTAATTTCCAGGCTTTTCTTAATTATTCAAACAAAGTAATAAATGTTTTTGCCGTATTTCTTTTAGGAAAAAAAGATGTTTACATGTTAGTATATCCATAAGATAATTTCTTTCTATGGGGAGGTCTTTACAAGCATTCTGTTTTCATTTCTAAATTTATAAAGGCAAATATACAGCTGGGCACGGTGGCTCACGCCTGTAATCCCTGCACTTTGGGAGGCCGAGGTGGGTGGATTGCCTGAGGTCAGGAGATCGAGACCGGCCTGAACAGCATGAAGAAACCCTGTCTCTACTAAAAATACAAAAAAATTAGCCAGGCATGGTGGCAGGCGCCTGTAATCCCAGGTGCTTGGGAGGCTGAGGCAGGAGAGTCACTTGAACCAGGGAAGTGGAGGTTGCAGTGAGCCGAGATGGCACCACTGCACTCCAGCCTGGGCGACAGAATAATACTCCGTCTCAAAAAAAGAAAAAAAGGCAAAGAAACACCTAATTATGTTTCCAAAATATCTATTAATATCATTTATTTAAAGTATTTGCTTAAGACAAATCGCTGGCATAAAAGATGGAAAAATGTACATTATTACAGAAATAATTCCCTGTGTATGCAGAGTGTATTGACTAAAATTTGCTTCAACTCTGTGTACTGAACTCATACTTTTAAATACTGATTTTGCAGTCTCTGCATTTAAAGCAACACACTAGAAAATCATGCTCCCACCAAAAACATGTAAAAATGTAAAGATGAAGAAAACAACTTTATGTTTTATGGCATTTACTTCAAAAATCTGATTAAGATAGATGTCTTTAGCTCATAATTCTTCAATGTCATGTTGTCATAGTTCCCATCAGCAAGATGTTTTAAAGGCTTTCGATTAATATTGCATGCCAGAACTGAAATTACATCCTTTGTCGTTTAGCTCTTAATGGTGCAAGTGATATCTATCAAGTACTGTTTTATGAAGTGTGTGTGATTTTTATTGCAGGCTGTTTTCACAAATCTTTTTCAGGTTTCAGAAAGGCGGCTTAGGGTTTAAAACAAATAAGCCCTTCTGTTGAAAATCTTGATGATTCTTAAAACTGCAGTAAAACTTATATTACTATTTATCAATAAAAAATCATCTATTTGGAATCTGTTGCATTCACATTTGCACACTGTCTTGAATATATTTGCTTTAACCCATATTTTAGTAAAACACAGTATTATAATTTATGCAAAATAAGTGCCAAAGACACATAGCTCACAAAGCTTTCATTAGCAAGCATGTACATTATCTGCCTAGTAAGGAAAATATATCTGTAGAAAACACATGCTAACAATTAAATGATAACTGGGTTTGTATTGCCAAAATGTATATTTTATTTTTAAAATATAATTACTAATTTACTTTTAAGAGGAATCTAGTGTTCTGACATTAATTTTAAAAACTTCAAAAATTAAACACTTCAAATACAAGTCATTTTCATATATCAAAGATCTAGAATTAAAAATAGAATCTTACTTATATAAAAATTAGGGAGATATAAATGAAAAGAAGACGATTCTTATATTTGATATTTTTACTTTGAACACAAACTAACATATTTAGGTACTGGCTTTATCACTAACATATTTTACTCTTCTAGTCTTGGTTCCTTTCATCTGTAATATTAGGGGAGTAGATTATGATTTCTAATGTCTTTCTTTCCAGTTTTTAAAAGAATTCCCTAAATCTCTCTATATAATATTTTACCTAAAATACACACACACACACACACACACACACACACACACACACACACACAGAGGTTTAAGCTTCAGTTGCTAACTCTATGTCTTGAATGCTGTCATGCTTTATCAGTTTGCATTTTACAAAATATAAATCTAGACAAGATAAAATAACTGATTTAAAACATTGTAAAGGACAATGGCAAGGGGCTTATTCTGGGATGTGTCTCCCTCGGGCCAGATCTCCACAGCTGATGTAAGATAAAGCTGGCTACAGCTCTCCTGAGTTAGCTGTGGTCTTTAGGGATCTCACAGACATTTGGCTTTTGCCAACTATATGTCGATTACGAAGGAGAATAAAAATATTAACATTAAGATCGACATTCTTATCCAGCTTTGCCCTGCACATTCATCTTGTTTGGATAACTGCACATTTAAAATTAGAGGCTACTTATCTGCTCCTAGACATTAGGGGATACTGCACAGGGAAAAGAGTCTCCACATTCTAATTCCCCAAGGCAAATCGCTGCGATTCTCATTACTTCTGTAAGGAAGAGCTTGCCTTTCCTTCAATGTTTATGTGAATTTTTTCTTGTTGTATGTGGTTCACTGAAGGAATGGCAATAGTTCATTTTAAAAACATTCTCTCCATTAGCTAGAATCGATTTTTAAAGCATTCTAACACGTCCATATCGAGTCTAAAACAATTCCTTTAATCCCTGACACTAAAAAATACTGTTTGCTACTTTTTTAAAAAAAGGACTTATATAGTTCTCCTCTATTTTATATGTTTTTTTTTGTTTTGTTGGTTATAAGTAATTTAATTACTTAGTAACTTCAAAAAAGACTTACTAAAAATCTAGGTTCAACGTAACTATATGGATTCTACACACATAGGCCGGTGGAATACACAACAGAAATTTATACTCATGAAAGCTTATTAAGCTGATTACGCAATAGGCTTAACATGCACTATCCTGTTTAATCTCATAGCTACCTTAAGCTGTAGGTACGTATTCCTGTTTCACAAGTGGGAAAAAATGTACAGAGAAATCAAGAAATCTGGCAATGGTCACAGAGTATGACCCCAAAGCTCTCCATACTAATTTATACAGGAATAATTATTTTTGTCATTTTTGTTCCAGGCATGTTGTCAAGAAGGAAATGAAGAGGAAGTATTCGTATTAAGGCAGTACCGTAGAAATTCAATTTTAAATGGAAGAATGCTTGCTTTACTTTGAGCTGGAGGTCAGAGTGCTATCCAGCAAAGGCCAGTGTGGAGACCCCAGTCCAGCCGTGATAGCAGAAGCATTCTTCCGTTACAGGGAAACTACACTGCATATTAAATAGGGGAACAGAGATGAAAAAATAATTTGAATGTTAGTTTCCAGTTTTATAATTAACACTTTTTAGTATGTGGGCGGTCTTTTGTCTCATTTTTAAATTCTCTATTTGAGCTTTTGATTTTCCTCCCTCTTATGCTAAGAAACAAAAATATATGTGAGGTTAAAAAAATCTCTAAAAGCAATGACTTAAAAAATGACAAGACTCTAGATATCATTCCTTTTCTTCTTGGCCTTATAGTACATCTCAGTGTTGGCAGATTACTAATTAATATATTTTGCATTAAGATATTTTTCCTAATATTCTTTTTTCTTTTTTATTTTTCTTTTTGAGAGGGAGTCTCGCTCTGTCGCCCAGGCTGGAGTGTAATGGCGCAATCTTGGCTCACTGCAACCTCCGCCTCCTGGGTTCAAGAGATTCTCCCGCCTCAGCCTCCTGAATAGCTGGGATTATAGGCACTCACCATCATGCCTGCCTAATTATTGTGTTTTTGTAGGGATGGGTTTTCACCATGTTGGCCAGGATGGTCTTGAACTCCTGACCTCAGGTGATCCGCCCTCCTCGGCCTCCCAAAGTGCTGGGATTACAGGCGTGAGTCACTGCACCCGGCCTATTTTTCCTAATATTCTTAAGGGATTATTAGAGTTATTAAATTAAACAGTACTACAAAGTACAGTCCCATAGGCTCAGCTTTGATTATTTCCACAATTTACTATCAAATATTTGAGACAGCATTATTAAAAGTCAATGGACTTCTGGTTTATAAAGAACCGGTAACTCTTTAATTTCTTACTTTGATCATACACACCACTGCCATGTTTATACTTTTGTGAGGTCATCAAAATAAAGTCAAACAATTTCATGTTATATTAAAAACAATATAATATCTGCTTCCTTTGTGATTTCTTCTTATTTATTATGTAAAAAGAAAAACCTGGGTAATTTAAATTCTTTTAACCTTACACATGTTCTAGAGTACTGGAAAAAATTAAAAGTACAATTTACATTAACATGTTCAATAATCTGCTTTTTGTATGACAATAAAATTAGAGGTAGCACACCTTAAATATATAATTTTACTTAAAAATATTCACCATAATCAAGTGACAGTTGTACTTAAATGATTATTTGAGCAAGATAATTAGTATTCTTAGAATATTTTCTAACTTTCAAACAATGGATATTGTTGAAATCCAAGTTATACACAACACATTACTGCACACATAAAAATGACAAGTGATCGTAGAATAATCTCAGAAACATTCTTTAAATTCAAAATGTACCACACATAATTTGCAATCAAAGTTGACCCATCAGGGTTAGCAGTAAATGTTCTGCCCTGGCACTGAGTTGAAACAGGTAAGTTCATCAAAGGGGCTATGATACCTGCCATGCCTTCCTTCATGCTTGTTGCTCACAGAGACTAGCATAATGAAAACACTTTCTGATTTCAAGGCAAGTCAGAAATATGAAGATTTATAACCTGGCAGATCTAATGGAGCTGTCAAAAAGGGAAGTTACACTCACAGTGAAATGGTCACATCATGATCTAGTTTTCATCCTGATTGAAAAAAAAAATCTTTGTGAAGAACCCTACAAATGTTTTTGGTAAAAGAGATTCACAATAAAAGAAGAAGAAAAATAAAAATAGAGCGATGAAGAGGTATTTTTTCAAAACATGAGAGCCGAAGTCGGAGATAATGTCGTACATGAGACAGTGAATTTAGGAGAGTGCCCCCCTCTAAGTGCATTATTCCCCTTTCATTTAGAATACAGAAAAGAGTCAGAGGAAGACAAAAGAAAAGGAAAGAACCAAACTTCCAAAATAGCATTACACTACATTATTAATAGCGTCACACTAAGAGAAATGACAGCTCTCAAAAGAGTACTTTTGTCTCCACTTACTTTAATTAAACTCCCTAGACTACAAAGTGAATCTCAATCTCTTTTTTAAACATAAAAAAATCAAAGCTGATTAAGATGTGATTTCTGTCCTCTAATGGTCCTCACCCTTAGTTATATACTATTTAAAACAACAGAAACAGCAGCAGCAGCAGCAACGGACCTCAACATCCTGCAAATTTTCTCAAAAGGACCAAAATGTCATACTCTGCTCCTCTGCCTTCTCACAGATAAATTAGTTTCCAGTGTGTCCCTCCCTCTGTAGCCAGCACTAAACCTCATTTAAACTTCAAATGAGAATTATAGCACAATTATACTAGTATGAATGTTTCAATTAATGTAACTTTCCTTATACCAGAGTCCTGTAACAACTTTGCTTTAAAATAAGCTGATGAGATTTTAAAGGTTCACTGCAAAATATGATCCCTGAAAATTAATCCATATTGGCGGAAAAAAAGAGAAGTTTTCAAATTTGTGGAAATAATTTCAAAAATCCATTACAGCCAATGTAATGTCATTACTCTTCTACTAAAAAATCTTAAAGGAAAACATATTTCTCTCTTCCCTATGTGCACTGTCCATCTGTCCCAAACTAAATGTATCATCCTCGTTTTATACTCTCTGCCCAATCCAAGATCTCCTCCTCTTTCTCAACTATTTCACCTTTCCACTGAAATCCCCATTTTCTACTCAAAAGTTTGGTGACATTTTGACTCTTGCTCTTTGATTCTTTGATCCAAATCAACAATTTTCTTGTTAGCTTATTCAAAATGTTATTTGGTTATGTTCTTTCCTCTGTTTTCCCATTGCATTATCCTACCTAGACCCTTCCCTACCTCTCATTTATTAAATAAATCACTCTCTGCTGACTAGATATGTGCTCTGAGGAAATAGAATGCTGCTCTCTCTGCCTACTGACTTTCTCTACTCCAATATATTCTGTTTAAAACCAACATGGCATTTTCAAAACTTTGTTTTTTGTCTAGAACCAACAATGGTTCACCGCTGCGAAGCCACAAGTCCTAACTGTATTTATCCATAATGTTAAGTACCGTGGAGATACAGAAGAAGGCAGGTGTATTGGCCTAAAGGGGCTTATTCCCTAATTGAGGAGATGGGACTTCCATTCCTGAGACAGCGAGAACACAAATCTCAGGCAGGTGCAAAATAATAAACTACATGAAGAAGGTGAACAAGGAAACATTTGCTTTGTGCCGGGGTTGGTTTCGAAGGCTTAAAGTGTAGACTAACATTTAGCTAAACCTTGAAGAGAAGCACAGTTAGCAAAGTCAAAGCAGGAAGACTGGAGATTTCCAAACAACACTGGTTTGGAAAGCAACTTAAGAGAGAGTTCTGGATAGATAAAGTGGGGCCAACCAACCACTTTCACCTCCAAGTGGAAGAATCTGTACCTGATTTGGTAGGCCACACAGAGGTTCCTGGGAAGAAATTTATTATGAGAAAAGAAGTCAGAGGGAGATTAACCTGAGTGCTCTTCCAGAGTACAAGGGCCATGTGACAGCAATCAGGCTGTGAAGTGATGACTATTTTCTTAAGGGCCATGTGACAGCAATCAGGCTGTGAAGTGATGACTATTTTCTTAAGAATGTGAGCTGAGAGACTCATGTAGTATTGGTTGATTCATTCATTCCACAGATATTCACTCAAGCACCTATCACAGCACCTATCAAGCACCTATCACAGCTAAAAACAAACATAAAAACCTCTGCCCTTGTAGAGCTTACATTGTAGCAAGTGGAGGGGAAGAAGGGGAGAACAATATGCAGGAAACATAATAAATTAGTAAATGAAAGGGAAGGTGATATTGACAGAATACAAGGCAGGGTAGGCGATTAGAACTGCTGGAGAAGGAATCAAAATTTTAAATTGGGGCTGGGGTGGTGGCTCACGCCTGTAATCCCAGCACTTTGGGAGGCCTAAGTGCGCGGATCACGAGGTCAGAAGTTTGAGACCAGCCTGGCCAATATGGTGAAACCCCGTCTCTACTAAAAATACAAAAATTAGCTGGGCGTGGTGGTGGGTGCCTGCAATCCCAGCTACTTGGGAGGCTGATGCAGGAGAATTGCTTGAACCTGGGAGGTGGAGCTTGCAGTGAGTGGAGATTGCGCCATTGCACTCCAGCCTGGGCAACACAGCAAGACTCCAACTCAAAAAAAAAAAAATTAAATTGGGTCATCAGAATAGCATTTACTGAAAATATGACATTTAAGCAAAAACTTAAAAATAAAAATGGGAATCCTCCTCAGGAGGGAAGGCAATAAATTAGATTTCAGAGGTGATAATGGTTTAGAAATGTTTACATGTTAGGATATTTATGTGTACCATCTCCTAAGTTTCTGAGTACTTGAGGAATCATAAAGATAGTTAATACTGGATAAATAAGTACTATTACCTATGTGCATGAAAACCATAGATATTCACGCTAATAAAAATAGATTCCCCAAATTTATTTTTCTTCCAGATTCCCTGGATTCCTAGGTTGTTAATAGAGCGCGTGCATTTAACTGTGAATGACTCCACTGCTATTTCTGAAATAACCACTGCAGTCTCCTGTGTAACGGTTTCTTACTTGATGATTAGGAATTTCCTTTAGACATTCATTTCTTCAATATAGCAATACTGCAGATGGCAGAGTCCTCATTTAAACTCTTAATACCTTTAGAAATGCCTCGTGGGCTGATATCCAATCTGATTCCAAGGAGTAAGACACAATTCTTGCCTTCATTTATTCATTCACTGTTTCCCTCATTAATTTATACAACACACCTACATAGAATACCTACTGTACTTCAGGTACTTTCAAAGTCCTAGGAATTCCAGTATGAGTCAAACAGATACTTTCCTGCTTTTTTAAAGCTTTCCTCCCTACTACACTATATTTATTGCCTCCTCGCTTTTGAGCATACAGATATACAGAGAGATGAAGTATTATCTGGTAAATAATCTAAGAGATGAAATATGCTGGGTTCCGAAAGCTTCTCAGAAGGTTTTTCCGATAAGCTAATGCTTTAGTTGCTGTGAAGAATGCATATTCCAAACAGAGAAGCCTTCAGGACGACCGAAAGAGGCTAAGGCATGACAGTGAGAGGGAGCACGAAGCTGCCGTGGTTCAGACTGGCTAGAACACAGAGGGTGTGGGTGGGGCTGGGACAGGGTAGGAGAACTCGCAAGAGGCAGGAAAGGAAGCCTGGAAGACAGGTGGAATAAAGATTTTCATGGGCCTTGCCTTGTTCCGCTTCGGCATTTGCATATTATCCTATTAGCCAAAGAGAGCTGTGGAATGGTTTTAAGCAAATACATGATAAGGTCAGAGACACATTTTATGACGACTACCCTAACAGCAGTGTGGAGGCTGTGTGTATGTGGGTGTGTGTTGCCTTTGGTAGGTGCTGGGTGATGAGAGTTAGTAGAGATTTATAGTATTGTATTGAGTGTATAAACGAAAGCCCTGGCAATGCAGATAAACATGCAGGGCCAGATTCAAGAGATAATTAAGAGGCAGAATAAATTGATTAGCTTTAGCAACACACTAAATGAAGCATTGGGTAAAAAAGAGGGTCAACCATATAATTTCCAAAGTATTTAAGAAGTATCTTTCATCTTTTAAAATTACTTCACATCACAAGATCTCATCATATGAACCCTATTTGGCTCTAACCACTCTCATCATTTTAGAACTCTACACAGGACTGGCTTATATTGCTGTTAAATTATAGTTACTGGAAAATTTATTTTTTTCTTATGAGTGCATTGCAGTATTTGCATTACCTCTCCTTTTAAATAGCAAAACCTTTCTTTGTTTTTAACAGTCCACAGCATTGAGTACAGACCTACCGCATGTGTGTCTCTCACACAAATTGTTTTCGTTTTTATCCCACATATAAGATGTTTTTCCACAGAAGCCACTCAAAGCAGAAGGAAAAAGAAACATACTAGGAGGAAGAAACTTGGTTTTGCTAGGGAACTGAACCTGATGTCTTCAAACTGCTCATGATGTGACAGGATGAAGAGAAAGAAAAAGTTAAAAAAATCTACCGAATAAATATCAAAATCTCATCGAGTGGATTTTCTTAACATTGTCTAAAGTAAGCTTGAGGGCATTCTTGTTTAAAGTGGAATTCTGCATAAGGTCATGCTTAATCCCACCCTGAAAATGAGAATAACTGAATACAACCTAAATTCTTCCAGAGGATGTTCAACTCTGTAACCGGATGAATAAAAATGAGGAAATGTGCAGAAATTGCTATTTCAACCTAGAACTTTACTCTCTGACTTATTATTATTCATGTTTAGGGATGAAAACCTTAAGGACAGAAATTCAGTGTTATTTGTTCCTTTAATACAGTATTATATCTAAAAAGAATTTCTTACTTTTCTAAGACACGTAACTTTAAATGTTTTGATTTCCCCAAATAGAGAAGCATGATACCAAAGTGGTGCTTTTTAGAATATTTAAAATAAACAAAAATGTTATTCTTTATGTATAAATATACAAGTTAAGAAAATCATGAGGACAGAAAATAAGCTGCAAATCACAACACCATAAATATATAATTAGCTTTTGTTACCACATTTTTTCCTTCAAGGGAGCAGCAGATGGAATATTAAAAGCCTGTGTCTCTTTTTAAACCAGAAGTCTGCAAACTATCGTCTGCTGCCATCTACTTCCGTAACACAGTTTCATGGGAACACAGCCGCCACTCGTTCATGTACTGACTGCTTTTGTGCTATAAAACAAAGGATTTGAGAAGTTTCCACCTCATGGCTCTTGAAAAGCCTAAAATATTTACTATCTGGCCCTTTAAGAAAAAGTTTACCAACCCGTTTTTCTTTTCTCAATGAAAAATCTCATTGAGACAATTGTAAACTCGCATGAAGTTTCAAGAAGTAATCCAAAGAGATTGTGTATACTTTTACCTAGTTTCTCCCAATGGTAACATCTTGTAAAATACCAGGATAATCACATTGATAAAATCCATTGATTCTATTCAGATTTCTCCAGTTTTACTTGTATTCCTGGTGTGTGTGTGTGTATTTCTTCTGTACGATTTTACCACATGTTTATGCCAACCAGTTCTCAACAAAATCTTCAGTGCTTCCTCAGTAATAAGGGGCTTTTCTTAATCCTTTGTTTAGAAGGCAAAAATCGGTTATAAAGCCAAAAATTTATAAAGTTGATATTAGCTTCAAGTTTAGCAAAAGTTGGGGAGATAACCTAGGTAAAGACAGCCAGATGTAAGGCTTATCTGTGTCACCGAGGTGACAGGAAACATATGGCTATATGTCTGGGAGTAGAATAAAATACCATTCTGCAAGCAGAACAAACCATCCGCAATTGCATTGTAAAAAAATTTTTTTGAAATAGCTCATTGAGAAGCTTACGTTCTTACTACCAAATCTTGCAGGGAGGGAGAGTTTGAGACAATAGTAGGGTAGGAGAAGAGAAAAAGGATCAAAAATATAACCAGTTTTAGGTGTATTAGAAGGTGATTTGCCATTTAAAATGAAAGCTCTGTCACTTGAAATGACTGTCAGAAAGGCCAAAATAATACATTTTAATGTGTTTTAGTTAAAATACATAATACATAAAACCTATAAATGGCTCAATGAAATGCTCTTACATTTTAAATAAGTATATAGTGGCTCAGGAGAATTCATTTGCTTCATTTCTAAAGCAAGAAACTAATAAAGGAAAAGTTTCATAAATACAATTTAGTAGAGATGGCAATAAATAAATGCATGAAGTAATGCATACCAAATGACAGCAATCCATAAGTAAGCCCTTCCTATGAGTATCCTTTCTGGAATAAAGAGGAGAATAAATTAGTGAATAAATAAATAATAAATAATAAAGCCATGGTAAATTGCAGTTCTGATAAGAGTAGAAATCCACACGCTACGGTATTCAATTTGACATGACAAGTCATTTTAAAAGATTGAAAAGAGGCATATGAAAGAATACAAATAACATAACCAAACGAAATTTCCAAGTTTGTTGTAATAAAAAATTATGAGAGTTGGGATAAATTATGAGAAAGCATTTTGAGTCATGAATGGAGAAGGCAGTATATTTAAAAACTAAGTCTTTTTTGAATTAAAGTACTTTCCTGTGTTTGAAATGAAATACAAAATACTTTTAGCTAAATGCCTTTAAGAAGAATTAATTTTAGTTTTTCATATTTTATTGTAACCTATTTTTATTCCTGAACAACAAAATATACATTTTCTGCTCTAAAAAGTAGTAAATAATGACAAGTGTGAAAAAAATTTCTGCTTAAGCACAGTCATTTCAGTGATGTGTGAAATATGAATCTCAATATTTTTCCTTATTAATAAATAAAACATAACATTTGGGAATAACTGGAAGAGAACTATAGTTCTCCTTTCTTTTTAATATGAAATCGCACAATTCAATTCTGATATAAAGCTTCAGTATTCCCTTTTCTCTGTCTCTCTAGTACCCACCTTCAAATCCTTCAGAAACTGTTCAGAAATTTTAACCGACATGTTGCTCTAAAGTAATAAATATTTGTGGCATTCGTTCAATCTGGGAAACTAGGCTAAAATACAAATATACTGAATTTTCAACATTTCCTTGTAATAATACCCCTGCTTCTTTTATGAACAGTTGTTTCTGATGGTGTCACACAAAATTTCATCACTATAATAGTGTGATGCTCTCTGAAAAATATGATGTGAGGGATTTGATTCCTGTGTCAAAAAGCTTACTTTAATGTTTGTTCTGAGGAATATACTTGAAAACTTATAAAAACACCCTATGGAGATTTATTCCAAATTAATATTTTTAATTGATTTGATACATTTATGTTGTCAATATAAAAATATATATTTGGTTCATAAGCGTATATACACACAAACTTTGGCTCTATTCCAGAAAGCGTTATTATTCGGTAAGTCCTACTCAAATCCTGACAATGCTGAGATACAAAACCTAAGTGACGCCTCTGGAGTCTGGCTGACTCAATTTTAAATCCCCGAGTCTCACTTTTCTAATGTAGAAAATGTGGATTAACAGCTATGAATACTACCTCTGGAGGTTTAAGGAGAATGCAAATCATTGAAATAATATCTGGCACAATCCGTATTGATGGTAGATGATCAATAAACAAGAGTTTTAAAAATTACTATTTGATCTAAGCTAAAGCAGCAAAGCCAAGCCCTAGAACCTAGATGAACTATATGAAGCTCTCTTTATTTCCTCTCCTACTCCCCAACTGCCACTGCCAGCCTGAGTCTGTGACCTTAACAGGTATCATTAATCTTTATGGCACTTCTGACCCCCACAAGATCCTAAAAATTACTGAAATCCCTGAATCAGGCAGGTATCACAATGAATATGAGTTGGTACGTGAATTCAAGCCTTTTTATCAAATCTGTGAGCAACTATTTCTACTCTCTTTTAAAACCACTACAGGAAGTTTCTTTAACCTGATTGCCTTCAATTTTGTTTTTTTCTACTTAGCTCTAAATAGAAGTGACTGATATATCAGTTTGCTAGAATTTGGGAAGAGTCACTGGAAAGAGGTACACCCATCTGTGAATGAGTAGGTTTCTCAACACTGACTATGGCATTAAGATCAACTCCGCTGTGGAATTCTTCAAGGCTACTGCATTTCTTAATGTACTATTAATTAAATGTAGACTTGTGCCTGAGTTTACCATGACGGTACTGAAGTAAGTGACTCAGTAAACTAAAATATTATACTGCTGTGGCTGGCATTTAAGTATGTTCCTCCAGACTGATGGCTACTTAAGTGTGGATGAAAAGACCAATATGATAGATAAGTAACTGTCTTTACAAAAATGTTCTCATTTTAAGACTAATCTCTGATTTGTGGCTGTTTAAAAAGAATATGCTGTTGTGTGCAATTCTGCTACTCAAGAATCAGTACAAAGTCTCTGTTTTAAAAACAGTAATATTGGCCGGGCGCAGTGGCTCACGCCTGTAATCCCAGCACTTTGGGAGGCAGAGGTGGGCAGATCACCTGAGGTCAGGAGTTCCAGACCAGCCTGGCCAACACGGTGAAACCCCGTTTTTACTAAAAATACAAAAATGAGCCGGGCGTGGTGGCAGGCGCCTGTAGTCCCAGCTACTCGGGAGGCTGAGGCAGGAGAATTGCTTGAACCCAGGAGGCAGAGGTTGCAGTGAGCCAGGATCGCGCCACTGCACTCCAGCCTGGGTGACAGAGCGAGACTCTGTCTCAAAACAACAACAACAACAATAAACAGTTTTATCATTCCTAATTGCTGTGTGCCACAGTGGTCTTTGGTTTTTGTTTCACAACAATTTATAATTATGTCACGTTGTTTGAAACTTTCAGTCTTCTATGTTAATTATATACACTTGGAAAAATCTACATTCTTAAAGTGCTCATACCAATGGTTTCTTATATAATTATTTTTCTGTGGAAATTTACATTTTCTGAAACATAGATCATAATACCAAAATGTATTATCAGGAAAATCTAATCCAATTAACTAGAATTCTAAGTTAACTGAAATATTTTATATCTTTCACATTTTAAAAGGGAAGAAAATACAAAGAAAACAAGGTATAATTTGTGCGTGTGTGTTGTGGGGGCAGGGTGTGCATGTGTGGGGCAGGGTCTTGCTTTCTCACCCAGGTGGGAATAGAGTGGTGCCATCTTGGCTCACTGAAACCTCTGCTTCCTGGGCTCAAGCCATCCTCCCACCTCAGCCTCCTGAGGAGCTGGGACTACAGGCACATGTCACCATGCCCAGCTAATTTTTGTTTTTTTTGAAAAGACAGGGTTTTGCCATGTTGCCCAGGCTGGTCTCAAACTCCTGGGCTCAAGTGATCTGTCTGCCTTGGCCTCCCAAAGTGCTGGGATTACAGGCGGGAGCCATCGTGCCTGGCCTAAGGTATAGTTTTAAAAAAAGTTTTACAACATGAACAGGGCATGTCCTCATGATAATACAGCCTCATCTTCATAGCCTGGGCCTTTACACGTCTAAGACAGTAAGCACAATAGTTATTTGTTGTGTTTGCCATAGGACTGCACTTTACCCATATTTGTTTGCAGCTGTTTGATTTTAATGACACAGATTCTGTAATCTAGCATTTAGTTAAAAATCATCCCCCGAATATGAATCTTGCCATTTCTGATTACTGTGTGCCAGGTTAGTCTGTCAGTTCTTAGAGCAAACTCTAATTACAGCACACAGCCTTCTCACAGTGTGACCCAGGATAAACACACGCATCGACCTACAGAACCCAAACCATAGTTTGCTCATTGGCTCTTTCTAAGTTTGTTTGTTTTGTTTTTTTTTTTGACACAGAGTCTCGCACTGTCACCCAGGCTGGATTGCAGTGGTGCGATCTCCACTCACTGCAAGCTCCGCCTCCCAGGTTAACGTTCTCCTGCCTCAGCCTCCCAAGTAGCTGGACTACAGGCGCCTGCCATGACGCCTGGCTAATTTTTTGTATTTTTAGTAGAGATGAGCCAGGATGGTCTTGATCTCCTGACCTCGTGATCCGCCTGCCTTGGCCTCCCAAAGTGTTGGGATTACAGGCGTGAGCCACCACGCCCGGC
Organism: Homo sapiens; assembly: GCF_000001405.40. Lineage (NCBI taxonomy): Eukaryota > Metazoa > Chordata > Mammalia > Primates > Hominidae > Homo > Homo sapiens. The sequence continues at coordinate 182,570,568 of NC_000004.12, read as the reverse complement.
CGGCCCTTTCCAAGTTTTAAAGGCATTTACTACCGCCACTGGTGTGGGTTTGAATCCTAGTTCTTCCACTTTCTAGCTGACTGATTTTCCACAGAGCTAAATATTCTCTCTGGGTCATAATTTCTTACATCTTTGCAGGCATGAACATGATTTAATATGTGACTTGTGCCTGGGAGTCAATATGTGGTATTCTTTCTTCCTATTCCCCTTGCAAATCTACTTCGTTTTTTTCCTGTATTTTCTCTAATGTGATATATGGCTTCCCCTCCCAATCAATATTATCCAAGTTAGAAAACTTGGAGCAATCTTTGATTTGTCCTGCTCCATCACCCTTTCCCCATCAAATGTAATCACTAACCTCCATCAGTCAATTCAGTCCTTAGAAATATCTCTTGAATTTTACTGTTCCTCGATCCCTGCTGCCATTGTCTGAGTCCAGGCATTCATCATCTTTTGCCTCGATTACGGCAATAGCTTATCTCTATGCCTCAAGGCTAGAACTGTCCAAAAGAAATATGTTCTTGAGCCATATACATAATTTAAAATTTTCTAGTAGCCAAACTAAAATCAAAAGAAGCAGGTGGAGTTAATTTTAGTGATACATTTTATTTACCCTAATATATCCTACCTGCACATTCTCTACCTAGTAAAATTCACCTTATTCTTCAAGGCACAGTTCAAACCTCACCTTTTCCGAGGCTTCCAGAAAGACATGAATGCCCTAGACTCCAATTGTCTGGCTTCCTAACTAGCAGTTATCAAATTTACTCACCCGTAAACCACAAAATCATGTTGCCTGGTTCCACTGTGGCATAGTCATCACTGGCTGCCTTGCCTGGGTCTTCACTTCTGCCCATTAATACTTTAGTTTTCTCTTGTTGACGTCCTGTCACATTTCGTAAAGTAGCTGGTCTCAGCTTTTTCTACTCTTCCAGTCTAATCACTCATGTATCAAGCTCAAGACATAATTTGGTACCCTACTTTCCTTTCTTTCTTTTTTTTTTTTTCTTTTTTTGAGACACAGTCTTGCTCTGTTGCCCAGGCTGGAGTGCAGTGGCGCAATATTGGCTTGCTGCAACCTCCGCCTCCCAGGTTCAAGCCATTCTCCTGCCTCAGCCTCCCGAGTAGCTGGGATTACAGGCACATGTCACCACGCCCGGCTTATTTTTGTATTTTTAGTAGAGACAGGGTTTACCACGTTGGCCAGGCTGGTGTCGAACTCCTCACCTCAAGTGATCTGCCTGCCTCGGCTTCCCAAAGTGCTGGGATTACAGGCGTGAGCCACTGCGCCTGGCCTGTACCCTACTTTTCTAAGAAGACTTGAGCCACTGCATTTAAGGTATCACATTTTCCTTCTTGTTTATCTCAGAATTTCCCAACATAGGCCCATAGATTTTGATTACATGTTTTAACTGAGGTGTAATTAACATACAGTACAGTACACCGATCTCAAGAGTTCAGTTTGACAAATTTGACAACTGTGTGTGCCTGGCTAACGGCCATCCAAAACAAGATAGCACACACTGTCTTCACCCAGAAAGTTCTCTTCTACCCATTTCCAGACAATTCCCTTCCTCCTCCCCACTACTCCAGGCAACCACTCTCTGACATCTGTCACCATATAAATGTTTTCTGTGTGTTCTTGGATTTTATGTATTCAAGTAACTGGAATCATACAGTATGTACTCGTTTGTGCCTGGCCACTTTTGCTTAACCTAGTGTTTTTGAGGTGCATTCATTTTTCTATGTATAGCCGTGCTTTGTTCTTTTTTATTGTTTAATATTATTCCATTGAATGAATATATCACAATCCCTTCTCCTACTGATGGACATCAGAGTTGTTTCCTGTTTTAGGTAATTCTGAATAAGGGTGCTATAAACAGTTTTTCACCTGTGTTTTTACATATTTTGATAAATATTGAAGAGTACAATTACTGGCTCACAAGTAAGTGTTTAACTTTATAGACAACTGCCAAACAATTATCCAAAGAGTTTGTACCATACCAAATCCTTATCAGCAAAGTATGAAAGCTCCAATTACTCTACATCCTGCCTGATATTTTAGGTTGTTAGTCTCTGTGATTTTAGCCATTCTAACGGGGTAAACTTACTCATACCTTCTTGACCTTCTAAAGCCACTTCCCGTTAATTCAAAAGAAAAGGCAGCCTTGCCCCTTCTCATTCTGTTTCTCCAACCTTCTTTCAGATACCTCTTTACTAATTATTCCCTCTCTTCTGCAGGTTTTGGTGTTCATCTTCCCTGGATCCTTGCCTTCCAACTCACTGTGTTGAGCTCAAAATGTGTTGAGGGTTCAGTGCAGATCCAAGGTGACTAGTTGCAGAATGCTGTAATAAGCCAGGTGATAGACAATACTGGCTTACATGACTGTGGTAAAGGTGAAACGCAGTACAGCTTGAAGGTAGGTTGGAGGTAGAACTGGCAGGATTTGCTGATGAATTAGGTGCACATGATTCCCATAACTTCATCTATAGTCCTATTATTCTCTTTCCAAAGCTCTATCGCTTACTTCTAAAATTCAAAAGGACAATACTGAACTCATATCTTCCCCTTAACACCAACTTTCCAACTTTACCAGTTTTGATTCAATTCATTCTATGAAGAAATACTTTTGAAGCACTTACTATGCATGTGCCAGGCACTGTTCTAGGCATGAGTTACCTCTATGAACAAAACAGAGCCTATTTCTGTTTTTTTTTTTTTTTTTGGATTACATTCTATTGGGGGGAGACAATTAATAATATAATTACAAAGTAAATTATATGGTAACTTGATACACAGTAACTGTTTTATATAAAAAAAAAATAGAGTAGGGTGGGAAGTCTCCTGATTGTGTGTAGCAGGGATGAGCTGCAATTTTAAGCAGGAACATTGAGCAAAGACTGAATGGAAGAGATGAGAGAGTTAAGCAGGAAGAAGTCTGCCCGAAGAGTATTCCTGATAAGGGACAGTACAAAGGCCTAGTTAAGACCATGCCAGATATATTCCAGAAACAGGAGGAAGTAGGAGAGGAGGTTCAGAGGTAACAGGAGCCAGGTCATGTAGAATCTGGAAGGCCATTTTAAAGACTACCTTTCACTCTGAGAGATGGGGAGCTACTGCAAAGTTCTGAGGACCCAGTGACACACTGAAACACTTTTAAAGATTTGCTCTGGCCTATGTTGAGAACAGACGTGGTGGGCATGGGACGGGAGGGAAGGTGTCAAGGGTGACAGCAGAAAGACCCGACAGGAAGCCTCTGCAGAAATCCAGGTGAGAGACAATGGTGACTAAGGCTAGTGTGCTGGCAATAAAGAGGACAGGAAATTGTTGAATTCTGAACATACTTTGACAATAGAGACAATGGACTAAAAATCTTCTATGTTATCCCATCACAAAAAAGGTAAACAAATCTTAAAAAGCAAACTCCCTTTTGCGCTCTACGACCTACGTTTTGATTTCCAGGGCATAGATTATGTCTCTTTTATTTACCTCTCTATTTAGAAGTTTTTCTTTTTTTCCATTTCCCATTTCACATATCCTTTGCAGTATGTAGTTAACACATGCTTCATTACTTTAATTATCTTTAGGAGAAAAAGCTTCATTATAGTAAAGAATATGGCCTCCTTTATATACCAATAAATTTGTATATATGTCACTATACATACCAATAAATTTCATCTTGAAAATAGTGAAATACTATAGAAAAGAACAGTGGCCTGGCAAACACACCTGTGCGTCTGCTATGAAGAGATTTCAAAGAAATTCTGACATCTACTACTTGTGAAAACAGCTTTAGATTAAAAACTTGTTAATTGTGGAGGCATGAGGGCATATTCCAAACAGGTGTGCATCTTTGTAAATGCATAATGACATTCCATTGGTGGCCTCAATATAAAGACAGAACACCCATCCTGCCACATACAAGAGCTCATGGATAGCTGCTGTTGGCCAAGTTGACACAGTGCGTGAAAGGCTGGAAGAGAGAAACAATAAACACAACACTGGCATAATTCAGTATTGTGATCTATTTGGAAGCAGTCAAAATTTGATTTTCATATTCAATCATTCTTACGGTGTTTCCTGTGGAGGGCCAAAGTTGCAGGCATTAGTTTAGTTTTGTTTAGTCCCTAGGCTGTGGGTTATGCCAGGTTAAGACTTTATTCCATGTTTACAAAAACAATCATGAAGCCAATGGTAATAAGGAGACCCTTAAAATAAATTAAAGCCTTTGATACAGATGTACAACTCATGGCAAATGTCTCCTCGGCAATGGTACCAAATCGCGTCACAAACAAGAGGAAATAAGTTCATTTTTCTGAATTTGCTTTTCACTGATGCCAAATGCCATATGGACATTAAGACACCTTTGACTCAGCAATATTGGTGACAAAAGCAAACCTGTATGAAGGCCAAGGGAAAGAAGCCGTGCAATGTCTTAGCACCCGTCCAAGTAGCACATAATTGGTAGCAGAGGTTCTTCCCAGAGGCCTGATGGAATCAGAGAAAGACACCCTGTCTGACCTTTTATAGAACATTTTAGAAGCAAAACAATCAAATAAGGAATGCTTTCAATAACAATGGTGACAAAGTAAATCAGTCCCCTTTGATCAGAGTGGTGGATCTAGGTAACTGAATCCTCAGCAAGCTATTGAAATATGCAATAATTAAGGGGCCCTTCTAGTTTACTTCAACAGCTGGTCTTAGGTTGAAAAAGAAGACAGAATTCAATCCTACATGCTAATGATTATTTAACAGATGTGGAAATCTCACTGTTCTCTCTCCTTCTTAAACAATGTCAAGAAAAATTTTCTTGAAAGCATAATGCTGTAGATGTCTAATCCTGCTACATATAGCAAGCAAGAAATGTGTTTTCTGTGTATTTCACTTAATAAAGAGAAATCTGGATACTTAAAAGGGTACTATAAAAATTTATAGTACTGTGATTTAAGATAGAAAGTTTGAAAACATACTGGTAAATGATCATTGGTATGAGGGATGCTAATTTCAATAATTAAGGTCATTCCTGGAGGTACTTGGCTTTATACTTTTAAAAATTCTATGGTTGAATAATCAACATAGTGGCAACACTACACTATATCCTTCGGGAGGACTTGAGATAGCTGCTTCTGAACCATAATTATAAGAAACTTGACAATAAAAAATTCTTGCTTATTTGTAGTAAATGGGTGTAGATATGACTAAAATTCACATATAATTTAATTGTATCTTCAATCTTTATAGCCAACACACCTATTATCAGAGAAGAATGAACTGATTTATTACCTTCTCAGTTCTTCGGTTCTATTATCTTGAGTGTTAAACTAAGTCTAGGAGGCAGGATAAATAAGCAAAAATGGGTGGTAACCAAGACTATGATTCACCAGGAATAGCTCTGATAATTCAACCCTGTTCCATTAAGACGTGTACTTTATAAACTGTGCAACATAGTGTCTTTACTAACTATATGACTGAACATATTAATAAAGCTGTATTGCCTCATTCTGGTGATGGCCAAATAATGTATGGATACTAATGAAAAACAGAACTTTTCACACACTGGGTAAAAACCAAATGGGAACTGTTTCAACAACAGGAGATAAGTAAGACGGCACATATTCATTTAAGATATTTATACTGTCATGTTGTAATGAGCTGTTCAGAAACAACAGACATAAAAGCTAAGAGGGGGAATAAACTTGTATATTTAAAAATTACACTGCCATAGAAATATTTGACATTTCTGTGAAGCTAAAAGAAGAGAGAAACAGATGTTAGATCATTGCAGGAGTTACTGCAGATCAACTACCAGATGGAGGACACGTATTGATGCCTTTCTTTACAGATTATAAAACTGGAACCAAAGCAATGCTGTAACAATAGGGCACTTTAGCCATTCATTAACTCAGGAAACAAATATGCCTTCAATATTTACCGTGTGTCAAGAACTGTGGTGGTCTCAGGGATATTGGACCAAAAAAAAAAAAAACAAAACAAAAACAAAAACAAAAAAACAAACGAAAACACCAAGAAAGGAATTGGGAATGTTCGGTGTGGTGAAGAGAATAATTGAGGTGAAAAGACTTATAGTCTCATATTTGTTGAAAGGTTGTCACTGCCCAGGCATGGTGGTGACAGCCTGTAATCCCAGCACTTTGGGAGGCCAAGGCGGGAGGACTGTTTGAGCCCAGGAGTTCAAGACCAGCGTGGGCAACATAGTGAGACCTCGTCTCTATTTTTTATACAATTTCTTTTTTTTTTTTTTAAAGAAAGGTTTTCACATAAAAGAAAGATTGGATTCATTTTGTGTGGAAGTTAAAGAGAAGCATTCAGTAGAGCCAAAAGAAGGAACTTTCTGATACTTTAAGCTAAAAATAGAACAAGCTGCCTCAGAAAGCAGTGAATCCCTATCCAATGGTTCAAAAAGGCAGGAAAATCTTATGCCAGGGATCCTCTTGAAAAGATTCCTGAGCCAGGCGAGAGGCTGCATTTGAGGCTCTTTCCAACCTAAGGTCTTTATGATGACGTGATCCAAGCAATGTTTTAGTAAAATCAAGTGAGGTGAAGAACATACTGGGGCAGGAATGATTGGCAGGAGCGAAGGATCTGGTGGTAGTTGAAACATGAACCATGAAGACCTGCATGGAAGAGATACCTTTAGGAAGAAAAGAATGGACACAAACTATTTCAAAAGAATAATCAATAAAAACTATAACTTTGAAAATGGTTTCTAATCAATAAGGGTTTAGAGAAATGTTAGGCATTATTAGGATATTTGTAACAGCTTTTTTCCTAGTGTATTCCTTACTCACTGAAAGCACTCATTATATGTTTGCCTCTCATTTTATCTTACTTGTTCCAGATCAAAAGATACTTTTAATGTGTAGGAATGACTTCATTTATTCATCTGTTAAAATACAAGTTAATAGTAACTGCCCCTGCTACATCATAGTATTGTTATAAGGATCAATTGATATGAAGCTTATAAAAATGATTAACTTTTTATTTAAAGGGATAATTATTTAATAATATAGAATTATATCAAGTAAAAGTGAAAGTGAATTATATCAAGTGAATTATATCAAGTAAAAGTGAAAGTTTCCCCTTCCCCTCTCTAAGCCTAAATTCTTTTTTTTTGAGATGGAGTCTTGCTCTGTCACCCAGGCTGGAGTGCCGTGGCATGATCTCAGCTCACTGCAACCTCCACCTTCCAGGTTTCTAGCGATTCTCCTGCCTCCTCAGCATCCCAAGTAGCTGGGATTACAGGCATACACCATCATACCTGGCTAATTTTTGTATTTTTGTAGAGACGGCATTTTGTCTCTACATATGCACGACATGTTGGCCAGGCTGGTCTTGAACTCCTGACCTCAGGTGATCCACCCGCCTCAACCTCCCTAAGTGTTGGGATTACGGGTGTGAGCCACCATGCCCAGCTCTAAGCCTAACTTTCAAGATAACCCAGTGTACCAGAGTAACATTTTGAAATATTCATCAAGGTTTCCTACCATCACCACCACTGTATCTTCTCCTGTACCTTTCTCCATATTCTGTGAGTACATGGTGCCTTAGGAAAAAAAAAGTTGTTAAAGCAGAAGTAAAGAATAAATAAAGTATTGATCTTTAAATTTCAAAAGTTTGGACTTATGCTAGAAACAATGAGGCTGGCAAAGAATTTCTGAGTACTCAGAGTTCACTTTTCCAGCACCTGGCCCCTTGACCCCCACAGTACCTGACTGTGATTGCATGACTGGAGCAGAAGAGAATTAGGCACGGTGTTGTTGTGTTGAGAAGTTGCGCTCCATGTTGCACCCCCCACAAAGTTGGATATAATAACAGAAACAAAAGATGAATCAGGGTATGGCAAGATCTTGCCCCTTTTCCAGGAGGGTAAAGTAGCATAGGATAGGAGTAAAGGTGGCTGTGCAGGGTGTTCAGTCAGATGAAACTGAGACAGCCTCAAAGTGGCAGCCTGCTCCAACCCCAACCCCCACTATGCCCAGGGTGTCACGGTAGGGCAGCCATACATTTTCTTGAGTGAAAAATGGCACGGAAATGACTAAGAGAAGAACAGAGTTCAGAAAGGGTCTTGTGATGAGTGTGGACACATGAGGCAACAGCGGCTGGAACAACAGAACTATTTCTCACAGTTGTGGAGGATAGAAGTCCTAAAAAATAATTGTGGGTAGGACTTCAACATATAAATTTGAGAGGACACAATTCAGCATATGGCACTCACCATCCCGTGACACTTTCATAATCTCATTCCTAGGATGGGATAAGTTAATAAGAAACTCTGATTTGACTGTGTCTACTTAATGAGTTTCTACCACTGGTTGGAATAGTGGCTCAAAATTAAAACTTAGTTCACTTAAAAGAATAGATGTTTATGTTTCTTATACAGCCTAAGGTTGCCTAGACAATCTTACTCTCACATACATTTTGTGAAAATGCAATCTATCTTTATATTAAGTTTGACAAATTGCTTTATCTACTCCACAATAGAACATAGGTATTTTTTTCAAGTTAGGGTGTGTATCTATCTATCTATCTATCTATCTATCTATCTATCTATCTATCTATCTGTCTATCTATCTATCTGGATATACACAGTATTGTTTATATACATATATGCACAATATGTCTTATATAGGTTGGTGCAAAAGTAATTGCAGTTTTGCTATTATTTTTAATGGCAAAAACAGCAATTACTTTTTCACCAACATAATATATACTTGTGAAGGTTCATTCTTTTATAACAACTGAATAGTATTATGACACAGCATGAATTCCCTTTTGATGGGCATTTAGGTTGTTTTTAATATCCATGTAATACTTAAATAATCCCTTACATAACTATTCTATAGAATTCTACAGGATCCATTCAGAGAAATGAAAAACTGAAATTGTTTATCCATATAAACAATTCTGGCAGGTACTGACAAAAAGTCTTCCCATTAAAATTTTTGTATGTTTTCATCATAAAATATTACACTTTCAGTGCAAACATTTAGAAAAAACAAAACTACAGAAATCTAAAAAACACTGGGAAAAGAGAAAAACTAAAACTATCCATAATCCATTACCCAGGGAAAATTTGGTTTGTTTCTTTCCTTTTTTTTTTAATATACAAATATCATCAAAATCAAGATTGTACTGCATAGTTCTGCTTTGCTATCTTCCTTGTATCACTAACATGAGCATTTTCCTATGCTATTCTATATTCGGAGGGATTTTAAAAATTGTAAAGAGCTATTATCAGTTAATTTTTAAAATCATTTTTATTTACATATTTATATATTTATAATTTTAAATTTTGAATTCATAAATACAATTTTTAATAAATTTACAGAGCTCTACAAACATCATCCAATCCAATTTTATAAATTCCCATCAATGTTTTGAGTCTTAGTTTGTCTTTTTTTCAATTATTAATTATAATTATTAAATCCTCTTTGGTTTTTAAATTTGCCTACCACTTTTCTTCCCATTTGTAGACAGTAACAGCAAAGGCCAGAATTTAAGACCCGTTGGAAATGTTCCTCAAATTAAACCGTGCATTCTTCACGCAGGACCAGTTCTCTGGCCATGAACGGAGAGGAATGGATGTACTCTATCCTACACTACTTCTAAAATACGTACATATGTCAACACTCAGACCTTACACCAAATAGAGACTATCTCTAAAACATTTGTCTTCTCTGAGGAGTTGTATCTTTGCCCTTTTACTTCTCCACTGTTCATTATATTGTTATTTAGTATTTTCTTTTCCCCTTCTCTTTCATTCAAGCAGGATCTGTTCATTTATGATGTCCTACTGCCTTGTTTCCCTGTGGCACCATCAGAACTGCTGCTATAGACGTGGTGCTATCCCATGGGAACTGGAGAAGCAGCATGAAACAGATGTGATACTTGTCGGTTTTATTCCTGCTGCTCCTGAGAAGGAAGTCCTTTGTTCAAGAACAGAGCAGGCATGACCACCCACTGAGGGCATTAACTGGTAGGAAAGAAAAAGGGAAACTGTGCCTTTGCCTCTCTTGAAAACTTCTCTTCCCTAGCAGAGTGACTGCATTAGCTTCACTGTTGCTTCTGCTGGCATTACTGGGAAATCACTGTTTGTAGGAGAAGCAGTAGAGGGGGCACTGAGCTCGAGGGAATAACGAAAGTTTTGAAATATTGAATGGCTGAATCACCTTGGGAATGGAATCTACTCTCGAGTTAATGTTAAAGAGGAAATTTGAGAAAAAATTGTAAAACACACATTATTATTCCAATTGGCCTTCATACTTCAGTTTTTTAGTTTCCTTGTCTTTTAATAAATAAAAGTGTATTTATGTGGGGGTGTGTGTTTGCATTAAACTACTTTTGCAGTTTCAATTCAAGTAACGTATTCCTGTGTACTGCAATGCTGCCAGGATTCAGGGTGTGTGTGTGTGATTGTGATGTACTGTTGTGGGGATAGTTACTCTTTTTTTAAAAAAAAAAAAAAACCTTTTTTTAATTTTTAATTTTTATAGGTACATAATAGGTCTATATATTTGTGGGGTACATGAGAAGATATTTTGATACAGGGATACAATGTGTAATAAATCACATCAGGGTAAATGGGTTATCCATCATCTGAAGCATTTATTCTTTGTGTTATAAACAATCCAATTATATTCAATTATTTTAAAATGTACAATTAAATTATTATTGACTACAGTCACTCTGTTATGCAATCAAATACTAGATCTTATTCATTCTATTTATTTGTACCCATTAACCATGGGGCTAGTTACTCTCTATAGAATGTAGAAGGATTCTTAATTATCCATTTCTCAAATTAAATTTCAATAAAAGCAAGAGGTGTAAAGAAACTGTGAATGAAATAAAGCTTAAAATGACCGTGGAATGAAAAAATGTTATAAAAAGAATACAACAAACGCTGGGCATTAAAAAAATCAATAGAAAATCTCAAAGTTTATTACAGGGTGCTTGCATAAGGTAAGCATTTTTCTTCTCAATTCAGCTCTCATGTTGCCATTTTCTGGTTTTGCCATTAGAAAGTAATCCTAGAAAGGCAGGTAAATATGTTCAGGAGAACAAAAGTTTGAATTCTAAATAGAACAAAGAATCTTTTGATTAGTGGTTACTATTTCATTGTAATTAAACAAAAGTAGTATGATCTGAGTAAGGACCAAAGAATAAGGAACTCCTCATTTCTATGGAAACAACGAAAATTACTCCTTTCAGCAGTGTTAGGGCAATCTTTGCATTATACCACTTTTGACAAATTTAATTCAAATAATTCTCTCCTGAGCATTGTACTGTTCTCAGGATTAATTAATATCTACAACATAAACTGCTTTTAAAATGTCAGTTAACGTAAGCGCTATAAAATATTTTGGTTGGATGGACACAACAGGGATTGATTTTCAAAAAAAAAAAAAAAAAAAAAAAATCCCGAGGAATAAAGAGAAAAGAAAGAAAGAAGAAAACAGAAAATGCAAAGAATAATGTGAAAGAATAATTTAACTGGGTTGGGAACTCAGTGGTCACAGCTGACACCCTGGAAAATTATGATGCCAATGGAATTGCATTAAATTCCAAGCCTCACTGATTATACCTTAAATAACCATAAGGGTGGATCAGCATGGGCATTTGGATTATTCTTTTACATCATAATTTTGGATAGGATACTTTTCTCTGTGAAACTATCAATTTTACCCTCTTTGGAATTATAACATCTCCAATAAGGAAACATTAGGCTTTAAAGCTTCTCTGGAAGAAGCATAAAAACTGATTTATATCTAATGACAAATCAGGACAAGGGATCTGAGAGCTGATGCTACAGAAATATAGAATTATTGTTTACATTAGGAGAAATACTTTAATGCATGCCATTTTGTGCTATAATAAGATTAAAATTGTTATCTTTTTTGTTTTGTTGCATTGATGAGATTAATACCAATTGTCTTCACTGAAGAATGACTACAGAGGCCTTTTTATGCATTTATATCCCCAATCTACTTCCTCTTACTCCACTGATACACAGTATCTTTTAAGAAACAACATCTTTCAGCTTTGCCATTTTTATCCCCTTCATCTAGAGTAGCCTGTTGGCAAATCAGCGGCATGTCAGAAACGGGTGAGGAACATGAAGATATACAAGTGTGAATTTCATGAGGCCTGATGCTCCTACCATGCCATGTATTTTTGGCCACTAAAACACTACAAATTCTTAGCTTCAACACCCCATGTTGTGCATCTCATCCCAGTAGCAATTACAGCTAGAGTCCAGCTGTAAAAACCTGATGGAGATGCTGTGCACATTCAAAGAACCAAAAGCACAATTCATTAGGAGTGCATCACTTGTTTTCCAAGCGTTTTCGCTACAGGCACGCACTGGCAGGGCAGGGCTATTCCCATTCTTTCCTCTTGTGCACTCCATCGAGGGCAAACCACTGCAAAGTAACCCAGAAACTCACGATTACCTCAGATGCCATTTAAACCCTTCCTTCATGCATTCAAGGGAAGGAAATCGGATCGTAGCCGTAGATGAAAGCAGAAGGTATCGGGCAAGTTCTCTCTCTTTCTAATACTCCAAAGAAACGGAATCAATCAGATCAAGCGGGAAGTAAACTAGGACTGCAACTGAGTAACGGGCAGGTTAGACATTTTGATAGTTCTATATATTTACTCAGAAGGAAATCACTGTAAACATGTATGAATGGTAGAGAGACATCTAGGTAAAAGTGTTTCTGAGGCACATAAAGGGTACCTGAGGGACAGAACCACACCAGAAGTGATTCTGAATCTCAGCTGGGCTGGTGACAGTGCAGCA